>NC_000002.12:233247193-233550224 GCF_000001405.40 Homo sapiens | reverse complement strand
GTCTTTTGCCTGTACTAGACATTTTAAAATGCTGCCCACTTAAAAAGTTTAATATTTTAAGCAAATAAATTATTAAAATAACTGACACCCATCAAGCGGCCACCATATGTACATCTGAACATCACAGATGAGCACTGACTTGAGTTTAGACGTCAAAGCCAGAAGAGAGCTTATATCATGTAGTTTTAGAGCCCTCAGATGTGAAAAAGGCTTCTTTTTTCTTCTGCATCAGAAATTTAAATAAACATCTTTAAAGTATCTCTTAATCTAAATTAGCTTTTTATTTTATTTTGTTTCTAATTGCTAGTGTGGGAGTACATCTGTTTGATCACTCATGATTATGGAGCATATTAATTATAGAAAATGTTGATCATAGAATTAATAAAACAAGAAAGAACCTCTTCCACTAAACTGCCTCTAAACAAAAACAGTTGATAGTCATAATTAGTAAGTTCCTATTCTATACAGAGGACTGTAGTGTCAGGAGGGGTGATAGTTGATCTGGCTTTGACTTTGAGGCACATGACAACCTAGTTGAAATAGAGGACAATTTCAACTAGATATATATCAATAAAAAAAGGGGATGCATTTTAAAAGAAGAGTGCATCTATAAAGCAGCGTAAATAGGTATTGTACGAAGATGGGTTTCTCTTGCTAAAAATTTCTACAACAGACTCACTGATAGGGTAACATATTTCATTGTTTTATTGGCTTACATGATCTTAGCCAAAGTACATAAAAGTAACGTATTTTTCAGGTACTTGTGTTCATGGTCAACTAAGAGGCAGAATTTGATTGGTGTAGTGTGACTGGCCATTAGATCAATTAATTTAAAAATTTTAAATTTAAAGCCAATTACTTGAATTCATCTTTACTCTTAAATAACAAACAGTGAAGTTTCTTATTAATTTCAGTAGTTGAAATTATTTTTTCTTTTGATTATTATCAGCATTTTATGAAAACTATATCAATATTTTTGTTCTTTTTTCTTTTAGAGTGAATTGGATGACTTAGAATATATATATGACCTCTTCTCAGTTATTATACACAAAGGTGGCTGCTACGGAGGCCATTACCATGTATATATTAAAGATGTTGATCATTTGGGAAACTGGCAGTTTCAAGTACGTATAGAAATTCGTTTAGAAATATCTTTGCAATTTCTTTTCTATTCCTATTATTTTGTTGAGGAAATTTTGTTTACCATTTATTATATATCCACTCTATAGAAAACTTTGATAGGCACTGAAAGTTAATACAGATACAAGTTTTAAATTTTTATTTCTAAATAATTTCACACATACAGAAAAATTACCAGAATAGTAAAAACACCTCCTGTATACCCTTTACCTAGATTCTCTAATTGTTAACATTTTGCCACATTTGTGCATGTGCATACACAGACACACATTATTAACGTTATCATTATTAGTGCGAACCGTTTGAAATTAAGTTGAAGACACCAGGTCCCTTTACCACTGAATACTTGAGTGTTTATCTTCTAAAACCAAGGATGTTATCTTACGTGAGCATTGATTAAAATAAGGAACTTCTAACATTGATATAATACTGTTGTCTAATAGTTATGTTCAGATTCCACCAGTTTTCCAGTTCACATCCTTCATGGCAATTTTTCCCCCACTCTAGTGTCAAATCCAGTGTCAAGCATGGTATTTAGTTAGCTAACTCTCCTGTAATCTGGAACCATTCCTTAGCTATACAGTTACTCCATTATCATAAAGAGACAGCACAATTCCTATAGCTGACAATTATTGAATTTTTTCTGAAAAATAAAATGAGCATTGATTTAGATAACACACAATATTAATTTTGTATCCTGCAGATGGCAGGTGAACATGTGATAAAAACAATAAATCCCGTGTCTGTAGCTTTCACAATAGGATTTAAAACCAGGGTGAATTTTGTCCTGTTTATTATGCATAGTCATGTCTTTCATGGTTGCTCTTTGAAACAGTGCTCAATAACCACTGATTGAATTACATTTAAAACTTTGATCTTCCTAGAATGGTTTCCTATGAGAGGTGTAAGAAGGATTTTTTTCCACTTGAAAAAATTACCTATTTCTATTTATTGAGTAATCAATTTTTCTCTACCAATGTACTATGCCAGTTCTGTTATGTCTACTCTTCATTTTTGTGTGAGTCTGTTTTTCAGCTCTCTATTCTATTCCATTGTTCATTTTTTTCTATTCCTGGGCAAATACCACATTGTCAATTTCCATAGCTTTGTAATAAGTCTTGATCTCTGGTAGGACAAGTCTCCCTACATGCTGTCATTCTTCAGGAGTGTGGGACCTGTCTTCATTTTTTATGCTTCTGTGTACATTTCTAGAATCACCTTGTCAGTAATCTCACAGATACACATGTGTGTGCACATACACATATACACACACATACTCAGTGGGATTTCCTGTCTTCATATGTGCACAAGATATACATTTTCATTTTCTAAAGTCCCTTTAATGTCTTATTAAAAAGTTTTATAATATTTCTCAAAAAAAGAATTTGCAGATGTTCTGAGGGAAAGTGCTAACCGGTGTCTAGTTCCCAAGAAATTATAATCTATTACACATCAACCCCAGACACAGTAAAACGTCTATAAGTAAGTCACAAACCGTAATGTTAGGATGTAAAATGCTTAAAGCATAGCTTCCTGTTATCAGAAAGTTAATGCTGTTGTTGACGAATACTTGCTCCACATTTACTTGTAATACGGCATCTCGTGGTGCCAGCAGTATCCAAGATGCACAGTCCCTTTGATGACACTCAGCCAGCTTTTCAAAGTGTTCGTCTGTATTTCTGACATTCTATCAGTTGTATTTGGAACGTATTGAGAGATACATGTTCTGTAAAGTTTGGATATGAAAAAAGTCAAACTGTGTTCTACCAGGAACATGTTTACCAGGGAGATGATCTATGCCTAAATTTTGTGTTTTCTGGAGTGTTTGTGGCTGATGTATTGAAATGTAACTTTCTTTAGTATGTTGATTTTATATACCAAAATATATAAAATATTAAACAATTTATACACTAACAACCAATAATCTTGCTAAACACTCATGTTGAAGTCATCTATGGAAAAAGACAGTTTTGTTTTACCTGTCCAAATCCTTTGCCTTCCATTTCTTTTGCTTACTGCAGTGAATGGAACTCCCATTCTGGCTTGGGAAAGCTGTACAAGCATTGCTCTCAAATGCTTGTGTCACATTTGCCAAGATACCAGCTTGCCGGGCACCTTCCCAATTAGAGGAAGTTAAACACTTGTTATCCTCATCTACTGTGTTTCGGCCCTTACTGTTACCATGTTTAATTTGAGCCAATCCTTATCGTGTTGTTATACCTTCCCTCAAACTACCTTCTTGTATTTTTAGTTTCCCACAGTAGAGAATCCTTAAGAAAGTGGCCTTCTCACTCCGCCTTAAACTCCCCTTATCTTATCAAATAGGCTTTATTTTGCTCTCTCTTTAAGATGAAGCCTTTCATTAGATTCTGATCGAAGCTTGTCCATGTCTGGTAAGTGTTTATTATGGTGTTCATTTTTTTTGCCTTGCCCATTCCCATTGCAGTTCGTGGCTCTTTTCTTCCAGTTGTGCCTCCACCTTTTGTGACCTTTTTCAATATTGCCGTGTCTCTCTTCAGTCTTAGGAAGTGCTCCCAGCCTCTGTGCCAGCCCAGGTTCCACCTCAGGGAGTATGCCCCTACATTCCTTGATGCCTGCTACAGTTTTTGCTCAGCCAGTTTGAAGATTTGAGGTATTTTTCTAGCTGGCAATATTTATCCTCAGTTTTTTGATGCATAAAATATCTGTTTGCAATTTCATCTTCAGGTTTATCACTGAGGTCATGTACAAAGGCAGTTTCACACTCTGGTGAGGCAGCATGTTTTGAGAGTAGTGATTTCTCTCTTCCTTGAATTTCTTTTGGGTTGTGGTTTCCTGGACATCTCTTTTGGAGTTTTGTGCTCATTTCTTCAGAATTGATCAGCTTCTTTCTAGCAGCATCAGGATCTCTTCCCAGTTCTGTGACATGACTCAAAGGGCAGGCAGGCATTCCTTCATGTGGCTTCAGTCTCTGCACTGCCTGTCCATTTTTGAAGCTCTAACACCTTAGCAAGGTCTTCCTCAGGACTTAGAGAACAATAGAATATTGTGCTTGGTATGTTTTCTTGTTAATGGCTATCAAGCATCCCATTTGTTATTTTTTTTTCTTATTGTTCTGTTGTTTAAGAATCACTAGCTTTTCATCCAGAACTTCATGGTGTTCAGATAATGATTTTGTGCTTTAAGAATTTCACCTGCAGTAGATATATCTGGTGGACACTGTGCTTGTCTCTTTACTACCATTATCCTGACAGATCCCCTGTGCCCACAGACAAAGGGTCCCAAATATTCTAATCGTAGCCAGGTAGTGTTCTTTCCACTTACAGTTCAGCAATTACTTCTTCCCTTTGAAGGAGCTGTGCCCTGCATACATGGAGTTCTTTAGTAGGTACTGCCTGTAAGGAGTAGTTTTCAGGACCAATCTCGTGTAATTTTCTCTGGGTTAAAGCCAACATTTTAGTCTCTCTTAGTGTGCCTGGAAGATGATCCCTTTCTTCTAGCATGGAGGCCACTAACTGCAAAATGTGAATGTAGATCTGGCTATAAAGAGGAGCCTGATCCATGCCACCAGCTTCCTGGGGGGACTTTGGCTTCACAGATGGTTGGCATCATTTGGAACATCATCTTGCACATTTGAGGAAGTGGGGCAAAGAAGGCTCCATGACAGCACCCAATTGGCAGCTCTATGACTGGACCAGCCTGTCCCAACATGGCCAGGGTCAGACACTGGCAGAGTGGAGGAGGACTGGGCCCAGCCTATATGTCATCTGGATCAACTTGTCATATGTTGGGCTCATAGGCTCAAGCATCATCTCTACATTGCCGGTTTGCCTCTTCCCTCCTGTCATTTTTAAATCTCTTATCCCGTTGTCATAAATTTCTTCAAGCACCTTAAACATACTTATTTTATTATTTTCTTTCTGATAATTGCAGCATCTGAAGACTTTGTAGGTCTGACTTGGATATCTTCTGATGTTGCTGATTGTATTTCCTTGTGATTTTAGTATTGTGGACTGTAGGCTTCTTGCTTTGCTTGTTTGTTTGCTTTTTAAGAACTTGATTTACGGGAGTAATTTGAGGACTGAGTTAAAAGTGCCTTCTTCCAAGAAAGATTTGTGTTTGTCTCTAACACAAGCCTGAGATCGCTACCAGCCCTTAACAACATCAAATTGATGGTTTTAGAGCAATACAGCTAGTATGAATTTGGGACACAAACCCACATGAGGACCTACTTGTGATTATTAAAGGACATTTTTCCCCCTTCATCCAGTATCAAGGTCAAGGCAAGCCAGTTCCTCATTGTCCTTTATTGTAAGGTGGATTTTTTTTCTAGGTCGTGGTTATATTGAAGGTATAGCCATTTAGGGATTCCAACTTTTTGCCGGATTTTGTCATTGTGATATATTAAGAAGTATATATTTGGTCATCCTTTCCAGTTCCCATTCCTAGCACAGAGCTCCTTGGAACTTCCTGAGTGATAGGAGTGTCTTTTGTTATTCATAATGGGCCCCTTTCCACCAAACCTGAGTTGATGTTAATGAAGTCACTCTTAGATGCCTCAGGATGGAGGCTGGTTGCCAGAGAAGCCAGTCCCATTATTAGAGGGTTGAAACTTTCAGCCCTGCTTCCCTGACCTTGGGGAGGGGAGAGAGACAGGAAATTGAGTTCAGTCACCAGTGACGAGTGATTTATTTAATCGGTCATGCCTCTGTAATGAAACTTCAGTGAAACCTCTTGAAAAATTAGGTTTGGGGCATTTCTGGGTTGGTGAACACATTTTCATGCTGGGAGGGTGGCCACCGCGACTCCACGGAAACAGAGTTTCCTGAACTCTGGGCCCTTCTGGACCTTGCCCTATGTCTGTCTCCATCTGGCTATTCATTTATATCCTTTGTAATAAAGTGTAGTATAAGTTCCTGAGTTCTTAACTGTTGTTCCAGAAAATTATGAACCTGAGTTGGGGTGATGGGAACCCTAGAATTTGTAATCAGCCAGGCAGAAGTGTGAGTACCCTAGGGACTCCGTATGTAGTTGGTGTTTGAAGTAGGGAACAGTCTTACGGGACTGAGTCCTCAACTTATGGAGTCTGTGCTGTCACCTGATAGTGTCAGAATTGAATACAATTGTGTGACACCTAGTTGATGTCAGAGAATTGGAGAATTGATTGTTGTTTGAAAGACCAGTCCCTCGACTCCCTCCTTTGGGTAGGCCTAGGCTTTCTCTCCCCAACTCTGCCCTGTATGGGCATCAAAATGGAAGTTCAGTGTCAGCAAGATCGGTGTCTTAGTCCATTCAGGTTCAGGCTGCTCTATCACAACACTTAGGCTGGGTAATTTGTAAACAACAGAAATTTATTGCTCACAGTTCTGGAGGCTGGGAAGTCAAGATTAAGGCACCAGCAGATTTTGTGTCTGTGAGGACTTGCTCTGCTTCATAGATGACTCTTTCTTGCTGTGTCCTCACATGGCAGAAAGGACACACAAAACTCCTTCAGGCCTTTTTTATAAAGGCACTACTCCCATTCATGAGGGCTCATCTTTTGTGACCTAATTATCTCCTGAAGACCCCACCTCTTAATACTATTGCATTGGCGGTTAGGTTTCAACGTATGAATTTTGGGGGAACCTAACTACTCTGGCCATAGCAGTTGCACATCTGGAGGCCTCATCTTTGGATTTCTTCCCCACATTCCCATTTCACTTTTTTGACCTCAGAAGAGTTTTCCCTGATGTTCTTGCAAGCTCATGGTGTGTTTAAGATGTTTTTATTTGTTTTGGTTTTACTTTATCTAGCATTTTTAGTAATTTTGTAGCAGGATGGTTGTATCTGGCCTGCCATATTTTTCCATCACTTATTGATTATTTATTTTTGGCTTGCATTGTTTAGGACTATCTGTATTTCTGGTTTTAAGTCCATTTAAAATACTTCTGCAAGATGGCATGTATGGAAATAAAAGGCAATGAAAATAACTTACCGGGGAATTTTGACATGTTCCCCAATACCTTCATAAAATGGGGTGAAAACTTGGATGGTCAGGAAATAGAAAGGAGTATTTAATCTGAGCCTGGCCTGCAAAGATGAGTAGAATTTCCTTAGGTCAACACAAGTGAATGAGACCATACGGGATGAAGACCAGAAAATACTTTGAACTGAATTTTAATGAAAACTCAACATATCAAATTATGTAAAATGTAGCTAAAGTAGTGCTAAGCTGGAAAATATTGGAACCCACTGTGTGTATTGTGCTAGAAGGTTTACTTGTTTCGTATTCCCAATTTACAACTAAAGCCAGAGAGATGAAGTAAATTGTCCAGGATTGCTCAACCAGGAGCTGGAATTCAAAGCCAGGTCTGCCTCATTCCAAGCATATGCAGATTATTGTGATGTTTTTACCACCATTTCATCATCTTGAAACCTTTTTTTTTTTTGACAACGTCTTGCTCTGTGTCATCCATGCTGGAGTGCAGTGGCGCAATCACGGCCTACTGCAGCCTTGACCTCCTGGGCTCAAGCAGTCCTCCCGCCTCAACCTCCTGGCTAATTTTTTTTATCTTTTTGTAGAGTGTGCTGGTCTCTCTATGTTGCCCAGGCTGGTCTTGAACTCCTGGCTCAAGCAGTCCCTCTGCCTCGGCCTCCCAAATTGCTGGGATTACAGGTGTGAGCTACTGTGCCTGGCCAACATTCCTATTTTGTTACTTTTTAAGGGGTTAGTGATAGAAACTCATACTGTTTTCCTTCCTAGGAGGAAAAAAGTAAACCAGATGTGAATCTGAAAGATCTCCAGAGTGAAGAAGAGATTGATCATCCACTGATGATTCTAAAAGCAATCTTATTAGAGGTATAGTATGTGTGTGTATGTATTTGTATGTATGGTATGTATTGTGTGTATGTGTGCATGTGTGTATATATGTAAGAATGTATGCGGTTTAATTGCTAGGTGTGATATTATTACCATTCATAGTCTTTCCTTAAGGACATTCTCTGTATCTATATTTTAATGATGTTTGTGGGGATTTTCTGGTTATGAATGAAATACATATTCATGGTAGAAAATTCAAGAAAAAAACAGAAAATATATACAAAAGATAAAAAGTATAAGTAGGCCAGATACTGACAGTTATTGTTAACACTTTGATATATATTCTTTGCATTCTGTTTTCTTTATGTTTATATATGTATATTGGAATTGGGTTATGACTTTTTTGGCTATTATTGTCATTTTAAACCAAATTGAGCTTTACTAAATGCTGTTTTGCAATTTATTGCATTTCCATATTATCCTTTTAATGTCTATGTGACCTGAAAGTGTGTCCCCTTTTTCATTCCTAGCACTCACTGATAATATCTCAAGTAGATGACTTTTAAAGTTTGTTTAATATGCTGTTTTAAAGATGTGAGGTCTTCTTTCATTTATTCATTCATCCTTAATAAATGATTTGTTATAATTCCTGCTAGGGACCTGGGTCGAGTACTTTAATTATATTGATCTATGACTATTGTATGAATTTACTAGGGCTGCCATGACAAAATGCCACAGACTGCATGGCTTAGATGATAGAAATGTATTTTCTGACAGTTTTGAAGGCTGGAAGTCCAAGATTAAGGTGTTGGCAGTTTTGGTTTCTTCTGAGGCCTCTCTCCTTGGCTTGCAGATGGCCGTCTTCTTCCTGTGTCCTCACATGGTGTTTCTTCTGTGTGTGTGCTTCCCTGGTGTCACTTTGTCCAAACTTCGTCTTCTTATGATAATGCCAATCAGATTTACTTAGGGCCTACTCTAAAATGGAAAACAGCCTCGTTTTACCTTAATCACCTCTTTAAAGGTCTAATCTCCAAATGTGGTCACATTCTGAAATATTGTAGGTTAGGAATTCAACATATGAATTTTGGGGAGATACAATTCAGTCTGTCACCGCTACATCTCACCCCCTTTTAGAACTTGTTTATACTTCAAAACATTTAGATAAGACATTAATCATCTTTGTTTTTGTACTTACGTATCTCTTCCAAAATTCTTGTTTAATATCAGTAATTTACACATTTAAATGGAAAATTCCTTTTTAATGTTGGGAATTTACGAAACCTTGAGCTACTTTTGATATTGCTCTTCAAATGGAAGATGGCACATGGAAAATGGCAAAAATCCAAGTTTTCTCAACTGAGGCTTAACCAGTTTTTAAAAAACTTTTTATAATAAAATAATTATGATGGAATCAACTTACGTGTTTGCTGTTCTAGGCATATTTAATTAGGTATAATCCTGTTGGTCTCTTTGAATTTGTTAAGTATGCAATTATTTCTCATCAGATTTTCTTGAGTGACTGTGTTTCTCTCATAAGGAGGAGAATAATCTAATTCCTGTTGATCAGCTGGGCCAGAAACTTTTGAAAAAGATAGGAATATCTTGGAACAAGAAGTACAGAAAACAGCATGGACCACTGCGGAAGGTAATACATGGCATCGTTTTGGGAAGTCCTAGTCCCAAGAAATTTCATTATGATCGCAACAACATGAATTCCTTTGCAGAAGGATATTTAAAATAGGTGAAAATAAAATCACCGTATTTGTATAATGGCTAGAATCCTACTAAGTTACTTATTAAGTATTACTTACTGAGTTATTTATCATAGAAACAAGAAGTAAGCAAAAATAGTGGGGAGTGACTCCTAAAAAATGTCAGAGTTCATCCCCTAAAGCTTATCATTTTACTTAGAGAAATGTCTTCAGGTATTCACCCAGATTTCACTTGATTTTTTACACAAAATTCTAGTAAGGGAATTTGCCTTTTTATCTATGGTATCAAATTTATTGGCATAAACTTGTTCAAAATATCTCATTATCCTTTTAGTGTCTGTAGAACCTGAAGCTATGTTCCATTTTCATTTCTGATATTAATAATTTTTATTTTCTCACCTTTTTTCATCAGTGTTGCTTGGGGGTTATCAAGTTTTTTTTTGGTTTGTTTTTTGTTTTTTTTTTTTTTTTGAGTTGAGGTCCACTCTGTCGCCCAGGCTGGAGTGCAGCGGCACGACCTCAGCTCACTGCAACCTCCACCTCCCAGGCTCCAGTGATTCTCCTGCCTCAGCCTCCTGAGTAGCTGGGACTACAGGCATGTGACACTGCACCTAGCTAATTTTTGTAGAGACAGGGTTTTGCCATGTCACCCAGGCTGGTCTCAAACTCCTGGACTCAAGTGATCTGCCTGGCCATCAAGTTAATTTTTTCCTTTTCAAGAAACCAGCTTTTGCCTTAGATATAATTTGATGCAATGCTATTGATTTTCTCTATTGCTTTTCTATTTTCTATTTCACTGATATCTGTTCTTATTTTAAAGTATTTTCTTCTACTTCTTGGGACTTAATTTGATCATCTTTTTCTAGCTACTTGGGTTGGTAACTCAGTTTTTTTTTTAAACCTTCTAATACTTTTAAAGCTATAAATTTTCTTCCAAGCACTAGTTATATTCAACAAATTATATTGTTGATTATAGTTATATTGTTGAATATAGTCAGTTATATTCAACAAGCTTTCATTTTCATTCAGTTTGAAATATTTTCTAATTTCTCTTATTTTTTCTTTGGCTCTTGAGTTCTTTGGAGGTGTGTTGGTCAATTTCCAAATATTTAGGGGGTTTCTAGTTATCTTTTTGTTATGTCAGTAAATTGATTTCTAATTAATTTCATTGTACTTTGAGAACATACTCTATATGAGTTCAGTTCTTTTGAATTTCTTAGGACTTGTTTTACGGTTCAGAGTGTTGTCTATCCTGCTCAATGTTCTGTGTTCACTAAAGAGGTTGTTTTCTGCAGTTATTGGATGTAGCATTTCACAAGTGACAACTAGGTCAAATTGATTGTGTTCTTTGTTTCTTCTCTATTCTTCTTATTTTTTTTTTTGCCTTTTCTATTAATTACTGAGGAATTTTTAAATCTCCCAACTATAATTGTGGATTTGTCTCATTTTTTTAAAAAAAAGTTTTGACAGTTTTTGCTTCATGTATCTTCTGGAAGCTATATTATTAGGTACATACACATTTAGGATTGTTATTGCCTCCTGGCGTGAAATGCTTGCCTTTTTTTTGAGACAGAGTTTTGCTCTGTCACTCAGACTGAAGCGTAGGAGCACAGTCACAGCCCACTGCAGCCTTGACCTCCTGGGCCCACGTGATCCTCCTAGCTCAACCTCCTGAGTAGTTGCGACCACAGGCACACCTGGCCACACCTGGCTATGTGTTCTTTTTTTTATTTTTCATTTTGTAGAGATGGTGTCTCCGTATGTTGCCCAGGCTGGTCTTGAACTTCTGGGCTCAAGAGATCCTCCCACCTTGGCCTCCCAAAGTGCTGGGATTATAGGCATGAGCCACCACACCAGAAATGCTTGTCTTTATCTCTGCTAATATCCCTTGCCTTGAAATCTACCTTGTCTGGTATTAATGTAGCCATATAAGCTTTCTTATACATGTGTGTCTCAGTATGAAGTTGGATCTTGTTTATTTTGGAAAATTATGGTTTTTAAGGAATTTGTTCATTTATCTGAGGTGTCAAATTTGTTGGCATAAAGTTGTTTAAAATCTCACCTTATTATCCGTTTAGTGACTGTAGAATATGAACTTATGATTCCTTTTTCATTTCTGATATTGATAATTTGTCTTTTTTTAGCTTTCTTTTTCATTGCTGGGGTTTATCAAGTTTATTAAACTTTTCAAGAAAACGACTTTGCCTGTGTTGATTTTCTCTGCTCTTCTGTTTTCTGTCAAATGACAGAGAGTTTGACAGTCTCTTCCTTTTTATTAGAATGTTTAGTTATTTACATTAATATAATTGATATGGCTGTGTTTGAATCTCTCATCTTGCTATTTGTTTTCTATTTCTCCTCTATTCTTTATTTTCTTTTTCCTTTCCTGCCTTCTTTTGGATTAATAAATTTTTAGTGTCCCATTTTTAGCTCTTTTGTTGGCTTTTTAATCTATTTAATTTCATCTAGCGATTACACTATATATAAATTAACATGATAAATTACAAATTAATAGTATACCACTTTATGTATACTGTAAGATGCTTACAATAGTATAATTTCATTTTCCCATTCCCATTTTTCCTACTATTGCCTTCTTATATTTTACCATTACATGTAATGTAAATTACACTATATGTTACTACTTCTGCTTAAACACTTTAGTGACTTTTAAAGAAATTAAGGAAAGAATAGTGTTTCGTATTTATCTTTTCTGGAGTTTACTGCTCGTTATTTATCCAGGTTTGCATTTAATATCATTTCCCTTCAACCTAGAGAGTTTCCTTTAGCATTTCTTGAAGTTCAGAATTGCAGGTGAAAAATGCTTTCAGATTTTGTCTGAAAATATTTATTTTACCTCCATTTTTTAGTGATATTTTTGATAGATACAGAATTATAAGTTAATCATTTTTGTGTTTTTCTCAGTGTTTTAAAGAGGCCCATTGTGTTCTGGCTTCCAGTATGTTGGATGAGAAGCCAACTGTCATTTTTTATTTCATTCTCTTGAATGTAATGTTTCTTTTTCTTGGTCTACTTTTAAGATTTTCTTTTTATCTTTGGTTTTCAGCAGTTTGACAATAATGTATTTAGGTATTGTGTTCCTTGTGTTTATTTACATTCTATTGCTAAGTATTTTTAATATCTGTGGTCCAAAGTCTTTTTTAAAATTTTGGAAAAATTTTGGCCATTATTTCTTCAATTTCTTTTTCTGCCTCATCTCTCTTTCTTTTTCTGGGAGTCTAACTATATCCTTCCATATCTATGGGGGATTGGTTCTAGAATCCCCAGATGACACCCACATCTGCAGATGCTCAAGTCTCTTTCATGAAATGGCATAGTATTTGCATATGGCCTAGTCACATCCTCCTCTATTCTTTAAACTATCACTAGATTACGTATAATACCTAACATAGCCTGGACGTGGTGGCTCACACCTGTAATCCCAGCAAAAGGGAGGTCTAGGCAAGAGGATTGCTTGAGCCCAGGAGTTTAAGACCAGTCCTGGCAACATAGCAAGACCCCATCTGTACAAAAAATTTAAAAATTAGCTGGATGCGGTGGTGCGCACATGTAATCCCAGCTATTTGGGAAGCTGGGGTGGAGGATTGCTTAAGCCCAAGAGTCTGAGGCTGCAGTGAGCTATGATCATGCACTGCACTGCAGACTGGGCAACAGGATGAGACCCTGTCTCCAAAAGAAAAAAAAGGAAACAAAAAAACCTAATACAATATAAATGCTATGTAAATAGTTGTACTGTATTTTTAAGTTTTTATTATTTTTCACTATTATACTGTTGTTTATTTATTTTAATGTTTTTGATTCATGGTTGGTTGAATCTGTGGATTTGGAAACTGCAGATACTGAGGACCAACTGTATGTATTCGACCATTTGATATGTCCTCTCAGGTCTTGGATGTTCTGGGGGCTTTTGTTTTGTTTTGTTTGAGACAGGATCTCACTCTGTTGCCCAGGCTGAAGTGAAGTGGCACAATCTCAGCTCACTGCAATCTCTGCCTCCCAGGCTCAAGCAGTCCTCCAGCCTCAGCCTCCCGAGTAGCTGAGATTACTGGCATGTTTCACCATACCCAGCTAATTCTTTGTATTTTTTTGTAGAGATGAGGGTTTTGCCATGTTGGCCAGACTGGTGTTTTGTTCTTTAATTTTTTTCTTTTCCTACTTCAATTTGGACAATTTCCAGAGATCTGTCCTCAGCTTTGCTAATTTTTTCTTCCACTGAGCCACTCTTCTGTTAAGACCAACAAATGAGCTATACGTTTCAGATATTATACTTTTTAGTTGTAGTCTTTCCACTTAGCTCTTATTTAAAGTGTACATTTCTTTGCTGAAATTCCCCTTCTCTTTACCCATTCTATTCATCTTTTCCTTTAAATTCTTTAACATATTTATAATAGCTGTTTGCTATTATAGTAGCTAGATTAATTCTGAATTTGATTCTGTTGACTCTTTTATTCTCTTTTGAATTGACCATTCCATCTGTTGATTATGAATAACATTGTCCTGTTTCTTTGCATGTCATATAATCTTTTCAATATAAATTTTTATTTTTTAATTACAAATTGATAAATTTTAGTTGTATATATTTATAAGGGTACAGATTGATGTTTTAATTTGCAAATACAATACAGAAAAATCTAATGAACATATCCATCATCTCAAATACTTATTTTTTGTGGTGAAGTTTATTCTCAGCAATTTTGAAATGTACAGTATGTTATTATTTTCTGTATTTACCATACTGTGCAATAGATTTTTTAAGAAAAACAACTTATTCCTACCATTGAATTGAGGCTTTGTATCCTTTGACCATCATCTCCCCATGTCTTGCCCCCCTGCTCCATATAATCTCATATTGTGGATGATGTGTTGTGGAGAGTCTAGATTATGTTATTTTTCTCTGAAGAGCTTTGCATTGCATTCTAACAAGCCCTCAAATTACCTTTGAGTCTTTTAGATTCTGTGGAAGTTAAATTTTGGGCTTTAGGGTGGGTCTGTTACAATTTTGGCTTTAGTTCCAGGGAATAGCTTAGCCCTGGGTCATGGTCCTTCCTCTTACAGTAGGGCTCAGCTAACTATGGCCTGTGGGCAAAATGTGGCCTGCTGCCTGTTCTTATAGTCTTGAGCTAAGAACATGCCTTACATTTTTAAATGGTTACTTTTTAAAAGGTGAAGTGAGTACTAAGTAATGTTCTCAGTTTTGCTTCTAAAATATTTACCATCTGGCTCTTTAAGAAAAAGTTTGCTATCTCTTTCTAATTTGGTAGGACTTGAACTCCTTGTTCTTTCTTCTTGGCATCAGGCAGCCCTGCTCAGATATTGAACCTCCTAACTGATACTCTCTGCTGGGCTCTTTGAGCTGTCCATTCTACCATTTAGGAGTTAGCCAAGGATTTAGGGGGATTTGTTACAGAATTGGGGCTCCTTCGTGGGATCTCGCCTCTCTGGTATTCTCAGATTCTGTCCCCTCATCCCAGTAAGACTCTTGCCTTTTCTTGAAATCTGTTCCATCATGCACTGCTACAAACTGGGTAGTAGGTAGGTGAGTGCAGAACTCACCTGGTTTGCTTCCCTTCTTTGAAGTATTATATCTTCACTTTATGCCTACTTTGGGTTCCTTTCCCAACAGTTGTTTTCCTTTTTTGCCTAGAGTTTATCATTTTTATTAGGAAGATTAGTCTAAGAAAATTTCTTTGTCATTAATGGGACTAGACTGCACTGATGTTTGAGGCTTAAAAGAGTTAATTCTCAACTATCAAACAAAGAAAAACGTGGCTATATAGAAAGTTCATTACTTAAAAACCCAAAGAACAAAAAATGAAAAGAAAGTTCATTACTCAAAGCTTTCAAGTTGTTGATACTTTTTTGTACCTTAAACAAACTAGCTGCAAGGCTGTTTTACCCTCTGTTCTCATACACAATGTTAACAATGTTGTCTTTGGGTTATGCCCTACACTCTTCTGTTTGTTGATAAAATAATACTTTTGATTCTCAGAGAGTTGACATTACCACAAATTACTTTCTTTCCAAGAGAAAAATTAGCAAATCACCTTTCCAGGGTGATTGATGAAGTACCCAAGTGTCAAATTTAACTCCCAAGTAATTTTCTATATAAAGTAAATTAGGCTGAGAGAAAAGAAAGAGACTCAAGGCCAGACAGAGGTTAAAGAGTGAGAGGATAGGGGCGTAGTGGATGGGGAGGTAGAGACAGGCAATGGAGAAAGAAATTTTTTTCTTCTTAATCCTTTAGCAAGAACTTTGGGATTGTGACTTAACCCTTACTATGCTTTGATTTTCTGAGCTTGTCTGCCAGCTTTTAGAACAGACAACATTCACTTTAGTCCAGGTTAAAAGATAATTTAGGTTGATAATTACTACCTTATCCCAACAGAGTCTGTCTGGGTTTTCAAATTATCTTTTATGGTGGTACACTGTGTGATTGCCTTTGTTTTGTGCCTTGTTTAGATTGCTTTTAAATATTTCAAAAGTGTTTGTTCTACCTAATCTGTTCCAGTTAAATACTTTTTTAAACAGCACTAGTGAGGTGTAATCAAAATGCTTTTTAGATTGTGGCATAGCGACCTCCTCCCTGGATGTCACTATCAGACTATTTAACAGAGCACTGTGGTTTTATTAAATGTTTTATGATACCTAGATGGATTTTCCCCCGTAGCTGGCCAGGTCAGAAATAAAGATGAAGTTAAATGATCTAATCACAGAAAGGAAGAAAACATTTTTTAATCACATCTAATTTTTGTTTAAATAATTAACTTAGCATTTTTTTTTTTGTTTCTGTGTAGTTCTTACAGCTCCATTCTCAGATATTTCTACTCAGTTCAGATGAAAGTACAGTTCGTCTCTTGAAGAATAGTTCTCTCCAGGCTGAGTCTGATTTCCAAAGGAATGACCAGCAAATTTTCAAGATGCTTCCTCCAGAATCCCCAGGTTTAAACAATAGCATCTCCTGTCCCCACTGGTTTGATATAAATGATTCTAAAGTCCAGCCAATCAGGGAAAAGGATATTGAACAGCAATTTCAGGGTAAAGAAAGTGCCTACATGTTGTTTTATCGGAAATCCCAGTTGCAGAGACCCCCTGAAGGTATGGAAAGAAAAATGTTCCTATTTGTTTCAGTTAATGGCTTTAGAAGATAAACATGGAATGCTGTTTGAATTTTTATTCTTTTAAAAAAAGGTTTACTCTTGGAACATTTTTAAATATTTTAAAGCTAACAAGAACTATATTATGCCAAATGAAATCTAACAATTTGTCATTTTATAAAGATTATATACTTCTCTTTAATTTTCTACCCTGTAATAATGTAAGATCATCATTACATTTTCAAAATTGGATTTCCTTGGATAGCATAAAACCTTCTTGTGTTGGCAAACTTGAGTGCGATTGCCATATGCTCAGACTTGGCTCTGTCATTCAGCCATATGTTGCCTTTGAATTTTAAGTGGCCCTGGTCTTATTTTTATATCTTCTCCTTTATTTTCCTGATTCTTTTATATCTTCTCCTTTATTTTCTGCTTATTTATATCTTTTATTTCTATTATTTATCCTTTATTTATATCTTTTCATATCTTCTCCTTTATTTTCCTGTTTCTCAATAAGACTTTTTGTTTATTTATTCATTTATTTATTTTTAGAGATGCAGCCTCACTCTCTCGTCCAGGCTGGAGTGCAGTGGCATGATTGTTCACTGCAGCCTCTAATTCCTGGGCTCAAGTGATTCTCTTCCCTTAGTAGCTAGGCCTACAAGTACATGCTGCCACACCTGGCTAATTTTTTCATTTTTTTAGAGACAGGGTCTCGCTGTATTGCCCAGGTTGGTCTTGAACTCCTGGCCTCAGATGATGCTCACACCTCAGCCTCCCAAAATGCTGGTGTCATCGGTAGAGGGTCATGAGTGCAAGTTGTCCAGGTTCTTGGCATTTCGAACAAAGAATTAGACAAAACGCCCAGCAAAGCAAAGAATGAAGCAACAAAAGACCAAAAGCAGAGATGTATGGAAAACAAAAGTACACTCCACAGTGTGGAAGCAGCCTGAGCAGCAGCTCAAGGGCCCAGATACAGAATCTTCTCCGGTCCAAATATCCCCTAGAAGTTTCCCATTGGCCACTTCATGCTCACCTCATGTAAATGAATTGGGAGCCCGCCATCAGTCTGATTGGTTGCAGAAAGCAGCCAACCAGAGGCTGAAGTGAAGTTACAAAGGTCACTATCATGTGCAAACATCTGATTGGTTGCAGAAAGCAACCAATCAGAGGCTAGGTTGAAGTTACAACGTTACACTTATTTGCAAACGAAGACATAGCTGGCAATCAGTCTGATTGGCTGCAGGCAACACCCATTCAGAGGCTGGAGTGAAGTTGCAAAGATGCAAACGAAGACCCTACCAGCAATCAGTCTGATTTGTTGCTCAGTCTTATTTGTTGCCAACAGCAACCATTCAGAGGCTGAAATGGTTACAGAGTTGCAAACGAAGACTCCACCCACTGTCTGATTCGTTGGGGTCAGCCAATTTCCTATGTGTGCGCAGAAAAGGTCAAAGGAAGTAGCCTCTGGTCCTTGTGTTACTTAGGAATGGAAAGTTAGGGTGTTCCTTTCAATTTAGTTCTAGGAAGTCGGTGTGAAACAGCCTTAGGTTCCCTGTCTCCAGACCCTATTCTCCTGCCTCACTGGGATTACAGGCATGAGGCCTAGTAAGATTTTTCGATCACTTCTCAAAGTCCGCTCAAAAGTTAAAAACCCCAGTGAGAAAAGCTTTATAGATTGAGACATATCTATTATTAGAGATGAGAATATTGTTCTTAGAGAATGAGAATAACCATCATTTTTATGAAGAATAAGAATAAAGCAGTTACTAATTTGCATGTGAATCAAAGGAAATTAACTTTCCAGATCTAAAACAGTTACATAACTATGCTGTTAATGAAAAAGGCTTTGTATTTTTCTGGGAGGAAAAAAAGATATGGAAATGGTTCTGGTAAAAATATTGTGTATCAGAATTCACAGTTATAGAAATATATACTATCAGAAAAAGAATATCTTCAAATGGAGTATTAGTCTTTTTCACAGAATTGAATTTTAGTGTGTACGTAATTGGAATATGTAAATGACAGTTTTCTTGTTAGCTTAGGAATTGAACAAAGATCCAACAAAAAATCTAGGTGTACTTTTTTGGGAATGAAGGGATAGAATTTATAAAATGATTCTAAAATTCACCTGGAGAAATAAAGTAATAAAAACTGAAGAAGAGAAGACTGAGGGAGAATTTGCTGTATCAGTAAAAACATATTTATAAAGTTATAGCAATGAAGACAGTGTAGTGGTAATGCAAAAAGGTAGACAGATCATTGAAAAAGAGCAGTAAACCCAGGAGTTGATCTAAGCATATTTGTGTTTTAATCCGTGGTAAGGTAGCTCTTCAGATATTTTGGGGAAGGAAGGGAGTGAATTACTCAATAAATACAACTGGGAAGTTGGTTATTTGCTAGGGAAATAACTAAGCCATTTTTCTTTGTTATACAAATCACTTAAATGAAATTATAGTTCCTTTAATATTTATGTAAAAAAGGAATCGTAAAATGTGTAAAATATAAATATTTGATCTTAAGGTAAAGAAAACCTTTCTAAGCATAAAAGCAAAGAAAGAAAAAACTAGGGCAAAGTGATATAACCCTTAAAACAGAATTAAAAGGCAAATGACAAGCTAATGGAAAACAGTAAAATATATGACAAATTAATTTCCCCTATCTGTAGAGTGCGCTTACATATATTTCATTGTGCTCAGTAGTAAATTGGGGAAATGATATAAATAAGCAATTTACAAAAAGAAGATTCCTGTGTTTCAAAAAATTTTCAATTTAACCTGTAATCAAAAAGAAGAAGAAGAATGGCAATGAGATGAACATTAGTGAGATGCCCCACCAAATCAGATACTATTTCTGTGACTCTTGGGTTTCAACAGGTGACATTTCCTCCAGAGCTGGTAGGTATGGAATACAATCAGTTTGAGTATGTGTATTTAAAAGCCTTGAAACTGTCATACCGTTTAAACCAGTAATTCTACTTTCACAAGTTTGTCTTAAAGTAATCAGAGCTGTATATGAATGTTGATGCTCAAAGATGTTTATTGTTCCTACTATTTTAAAATAGTGATTAATTGGAAATCACCTTAATGTCTAACAGAAAAAGATTGGTTAGGTTAATTATGCTCCTTATAGAATGGACTACTATGTAATCATTTATTTAAGACTTTGGAAAATACAGTGTATGAAATGAAAATAGATTTGTTGAATATTATCCCAGTTTTTAAAATTGTGTGTGTTTGTGTGTGTGCCTGTGTGTGTGTGTGTGTGTGTGTGTCTTGGGAGTGAAATTATGAGCAGTATCTATTTCTTTTACACTTAAAAAAATTCCAGAATTTTTACAGTAGTCATTTATTGTATTTGTAATCAAGATGAAAATCTGAGGCCAGGCGTGGTGGCTTATGCCTTTAATCTCAGCACTTTGGGAGGCTGAGGCGGGCAGATCACTTGAGGCCAGGAGTTCAAAACCAGCCTGGGCAACATGGCGAAACCCTGTCTCTGCTAAAAATACAAAAATTAGCCAGGCGTGGTGGCAGGAGCCTGTAATCCCAGCTACTCAGAGGCTGAGGCACGAGAATTGCTTGAACCTGGGAGGCAGAGTGAGCTAAGATTGCGCCACTGCACTCCAGCCTGGGCGACAAAGTGAGACTCCGTCTCAAAAAAAAAAAGAAAAAGAAAAAGAAAAAAAAAAGATGAAAATCTGGGTGTTCTTTTTAAAAAGTATACTTAAAAGAGTTGAAAAAATGGAATTCTTCTAGCTTGTCTTAAAGAAATGTTTACTTTTCATTTGTTCTAACTTTTTCATTTTTCAGATGGGAAAACTGAGATCCTGAGAAAATTCGTATTCACACAGCTAATTAGTAGCAGCTTTCCTAGCTCCTAGGACAGTCCTTCCTAGTCTTCATGCTACCTCTTCCAGCAACCAGATTTCATTTAGCCAACACAAGTTAATGAAAAATTTTGTTCACAGCTCGAGCTAATCCAAGATATGGGGTTCCATGTCATTTACTGAATGAAATGGATGCAGCTAACATTGAACTGCAAACCAAAAGGTAATTTTAAATTGCTTTTAGAGTTTGACTAGTATTCCGGAGAATAAAGATCTGATTTAGGCCTTAAGCATTCAGTAATGAAAATTAAAAAGAAAAAAAATAGTCAACTTGTTAATGCAAGTGTCTGTTTGGCTGCTGAATTTTTATAGTGAGGGTAACTTTAACTCTGAAATTATCCCTTATGTGTGAGAGTGAATTAAATGGTGACATATAAAACAGCCATTGCTAAGTAGGGATCGAAGCCTAACAAGAGTAGAGAAATCAGTGAGCACATAGTTGGGCTGAATGAATTGTATCCTGGCCTGGCCAGATTATTTCCTTGGGTCCAAAGAGAGCCTGCCATGAAAATCACCCCTCATAGGTAAGTAGTTGTAGCGAACTGGCATGTAGTGAGAGAGGATCAGTGGTGGGCAGATTTTCAAAAGGAGGGAAATATGGATGCTATAACCTATTGAATGCAATGCTGATCTTGGGGGAAAGCCTATGATGGATTCTTACTTAAAGAGATGGTTTGTGAGAACTTTATGATCTCAGCATTCTCTTTTGGGGCCTCACCTTTGACTCTGAACTGCTTCTTTATTTGTGCTCTGTTAGGGTCAATAGGGTATTGGGTTAGGAAAATGGATGTTACCGTGATCTCCTTGTGGACCAAACTGCCTGATTATGTGACAGGGTGTATTTGACATTTTTATCATTGGCTTGGAGCTGGGGGAAAAAAGTACAGTGAATGACACGAGCAAAGAAACAACAAAAACCAAGATACCAAAAAGATTAAAACTTAACAGAGCGAAATATCTTAAGTCTAAAAAATAACCTGCATAAGTGGTCTGGACTAGCAGTTGTTATTTTAAAAAAATAAAAATAAAAAAATAAAAGGCAGAGCCTGAGGGGCTGTCATCAACCCGCACTAAGGTCTTTCGTGTGGTTGTGCTCTCTGACCATGTTCATTGAAGTGTCCTGAAGTACGTGAGTTGCGTGATAAGCCTCATTCCAGCTCCACATTGGTCAGACCCTACCTGTGTTTCGCACTGGCTTCGAGTCAGCCAAGTGGATTCAGAGAAGAGCAGCCAACACCAGGCTGCTGCCAAGGACTTTTAGCCTGGATAATGTGGTCTCGGGAGGTTCATGCTACTGGCTTCAAATATTTCATGGGGCCGGTCGCAGTGGCTCACGTCTGTAATCCCAGCAATTTAGGAGGCTGAGGCAAATGGATCACCTGAGATCAGGAGTTCAAGACCAGCCTGGTCAACATGGTGAAACCCCATCTCTACCAAAAATACAAAAATTAGCCAGGCATGGTGGCACACACATGTAATCCCAGCTACTCAGGAGGCTGAGGCAGAAGAATCGCTTGAACCTAGGAGGTAGAGGTTGTAGTGAGCCAAGATCGCAGCACTGCACTCCAGCCTTGGCGACAGAGTGAGACTCTGTCTCAAAAAAAAAAAAAAAATCATGGGAGAATGTGCAAAATCTAGTGGAAATAAGGATGATAGATGACATGGAAGTAAATCTGCTACTTAACATAATGATGTAAGCAGGTCTCTAGCATTTTGTTCATAACTATAATATAATCTCAGAATTAGAAGATTTCAAGTGTCAGCCTTTGTTCAGAGAAATGGAGTTAACATTGCAGCCTATGTTAAAACAGTTTTCTCTTGGAATTCATGGTGACAGAACTGAATTTTTGCTATTGACTGAAAAATTAAAGTGACTAATTGTGGCACATAGAAGAAAAATTGTTACTTTGGTGGGATGGAGAACTTTATTGTAAGCCAGATATCTTTGGTTTGAGATAAAACACAGTGTCTGTTATAAAAACACAGTATTTATGTATTTTTGTGCCTCTTTAAAGGGCAGAATGTGATTCTGCAAACAATACTTTTGAATTGCATCTTCACCTGGGCCCTCAGTATCATTTCTTCAATGGGGCTCTGCACCCAGTAGTCTCTCAAACAGAAAGCGTGTGGGATTTGACCTTTGATAAAAGAAAAACTTTAGGAGATCTCCGGCAGTCAATATTTCAGGTAATATCGCCTTACTTCCTCTTAATTCAGACATCGAGCACCATCTCCAGCTAGACTCTCCATTTCATTCTGTTTAGGATACAACTTTATTTTTCAAAGCTGCTTAGGAAGATCTGACATCTGCCACTTCATAGAGGGTTGACCCAAATCTTCTCTCCTAAGTCTTTTAGAGAGGCTTTTCTCCACAGCTCCTACCAGCAGCTTTTCAGGTAGACAATCAGGCCTGGTACATTTTATTTGAGGGGAAGAAAGAGTATAAAGTTGTCTCTTTTTTAGAAAATAAATGAAAGCAAATTGCCTTTCAAAGAGAGTGAAAAGATAAAGATGAGCATGTTGTGTAAAACTGAGAACTGCTGAACAAATAAACGCAACTAACTTTATACCCTGTAGTATAGAACAGTATTTATTAATAATATTCTTAAGTGAAGGAAAGTATCTGCTAGTCTAGAGTAAAAACAGTGCTGTAGTCTCCAAGTCATTTTTCTAGGTATGTTTTAATGATGATAGCAACAGCAGTGTTCTTTATTTTACTTACACTGCTTTCATATAAATCATGTGATTTGGTTCTTTAATCTCATGAAGACACATTAGCCCCATTTTGAAGTTGAGGCAGTGTGATTTAAAGAGACTCAATGTCTTGCCTGTGGTCCTAAATCTAGTTGATGGAGCTGGGACTCTGTCCCTCTTCTCCCTACTCTTCATCTAGGGTTTTTTTCTCCTAATCACCCTCCTGCTCCACACTACTTTCTGATCAAGGAAAAGGGAGATAGAAAATGTTAGCTTTTTTGTGTTTTTTCCCAGAAATTAGTTAAATGAATTTTCTGAAAAATCCTATTACCAAAACTATTAGCTTTCTTTCAATTTTCTTCTGCTAAGAAAAGCAAAGCAATTTCCCTTTTAACCTTAGTTGATTTGAAGTTTTTTAAATACTAGATCAGTGTCAGGATTTCTAAAGTTGTCTAATATTTCTGAACTTTTTCATTAGAAATTTATTTCTGAGCCAATTCTGGCACTGTTGATACAGGCAGATGTGGGAATCTGAACCTAGTCTAGGGGGATATTTTAAATGGAAAGGATCTTATTCACTTTGTAAGTGTGAGGTACACTCCAGTCTGTGTGTTTTGGTGTTTTAAGTGTATATGCCTACTAACTATTCTCTTAGAAGGAAGCCACTGACAAGAGGCTAGAAAACTTAATTCACAGCAAACTAATCACTTGTAAATAAGAAGTTTCTTTTTAAGAAAATACCTTATGGTATTGTAGAGAATGACTAGATAGGAATGACTTTTATGGTGATATTATTTTGGTGACCTTGCCACAGTGCTCAGACTCTCAGATCTAGAAACTTAAAGAGCAAAGCCATGGTAATCTATTAAGTAAACTGGTAATGCACCTTTATAAATTTGCAATGGGAGACATTCCTTTCAAGCAGCTAGAAGATGAGTGTGTGCTAGAGTCAGGGCTACATTTCCCTCAACATTGCTAATTCTGCAAATTAGTCTTGCTCTTTTGAGTAAAAATTCCTAGGCTGACATGCTCATCAACTTGCTTTCTGAGAAAAGTGCTCTTCATATATATTAAGCAGAATTGTTTAGATGGTTGTTGTGCCCTTTGTGTAGGCCAGAATTCTTCACTCAGGAATGGAGGAGATTAGCCGTCTTTGGCTTTGACTAATTTAACAAGTGATGCCTTCTTTTCAAGTTTTCGGTGTTGGGTGGGGGTGAGAGTATTCATTTGCTTGCTCTCTGTGTCATCTTCATATGTGAGTTGGCACAGTAACCTGGAAAGGTGATATGTATATGTCACTTTTCAACATTCTCTTTTCCTTCATTAATATTCTTCAGCTGTTAGAATTTTGGGAAGGAGACATGGTTCTTAGTGTTGCAAAGCTTGTACCAGCAGGACTTCACATTTACCAGTCACTTGGCGGTAAGATAAATATGAAAACATAGCAACTCACTCTATATATCTACATTTTTGTCCGGCTCACCTGCGATTTTCTACTCTTTGTCAGTCCTTCCCCACCTACTACTTTCTTAACTAAGTAGATTATCTTCACACTGTAAGTTTTCCAAAAGAAATAAAATATCCACGTTTTAATGTATCCAGTTTATATAATGTGTGAAATTCTTCTAACATGGAAACATTTTATTTTTTCTGAAATTAAGGCTACCTCTACTAAAATTTCTTGAAAAGCTTTAGAATTTTTTATATTGACACATATTGTTGAACAACATAGTTTCAAACCATCTGAATCATATTTATGTGACTTGATTTTCTGCCCAGTTCTCAGCTTCAGATTTTGTAGTAAAACAAGAAATACTTTGAGAGTTTGAAAGCATTTACTTCCTTTAAATAGCAGGAAAACAATGAGAATTAACAGTAGCGGCAGTAACATCTAATTTGGGCCAAAATCTGTAATAGGTGTTTTATGTTAATTATCTCACTTGATTTTCATAAAATTCTTTTATCTCCATTTCATAAATGAGAAAACTGAAGCTGAGAGACTTGAAGCACACAATACAGCTTGTGTTATGGACATATCGGTGGAGTTGGGACCATTCCATGCTTAAGCCTAACTCCTGTTTCCAATGTCATGTGCCTCAAGTACACTTGACCTTTGGATTATCTCTCTTGTCCTGCCACCATGCTCACAAGCTTTTGTCACAACGTTTTAAAGAAAAATTACAATGAAATAATGTCAATAGAATAAAAATAATTACTACTTTTTAAATTTTCCTTAGTGAAAATACTTTTTCAAACAAATATTTGTCTCAGCTCTTTCTTTAGCTCAGTTGTTTCTGATGGTCATGATGAATGGTCTCACTGGTGATCTCTTTCTAGGGGATGAACTGACACTGTGTGAAACTGAAATTGCTGATGGGGAAGACATCTTTGTGTGGAATGGGGTGGAGGTAAAAAAAATTACTGAAGAAATATTCGTGATAATTTTGGATGTTTTAAAAGTCATCGTAATGGCCGGGCATGGTGGCTCATGCCTGTAATCCCAGCACTTTGGGAGGGCGAGGCAGGCAGATCACCTGAGGTCAGGAATTCAAGACCAGCCTGGCCATCATAGTGAAGCCCCATCTCTATTAAAAATACAAAAATTAGCTAGGCATGGTAGCGTATGCCTGTAATCCCAGTGACTTGGGAGGCTGAGGCAGGCGAATCGCTTGAACCCGGAAAGTGGAGGTTGCTGTGAGCTGAGATTACACCACTGCACTCCAGCCTGGGTGACAGGGCAAGACTCCATCTCAAAAAAAAAGTCATTGTAATGAAATTTTATTCAGCCTATGTGAGGGCAATTAGATATTAGAAAACTACTGAAATGCTTGATAAATGTTAGGGACAATCAGTGCTAGTTGTACGCCAAGGAGACATTTCTTGAGCGCCTCCGTTATACCAGGTTGTGCGTCAGATGCTAGATCAAAGGCCAGTCAGTTGATCTGTGTCCTTTTAGGCCCTCGTCGTGTGAAGAACTGCACCATACGTGCTGGAGTAGGGGGTCTGTGCATAGTGCCTGTGGGAATTTAGAAGAGTGAGAATCTATACTGAGTTGGGGAGTGGGGGTGGTTTGGAGGTAGAGAGTGAATTTTCTATCTCTAGAAGGCGGCCAGGAGCACTTCAGCCACTCTGTGAACTGACCTTGGCCAATCTGGCTTCATCACCACCCATGATAACTCATAAATGTCTATCTCCAGTCTATCATAGATTTCTCCTAAAAAAATAAAAGATAAGAAAGTTTCAAAAGAAAAATCTGAAGTTGTTCCTCTGATGCTTAACAGACATTTGTGAAAATTTTATTTTACTTGGAAAAAATGAGGGTTGTTCTCTAAGAGTAATCTTTTACCATGTTATGTTGACGGTGTTGGCAAATATCAGCTGTACTAATGGTTGTCTTGGTATGATTGCAGGTTGGTGGAGTCCACATTCAAACTGGTATTGACTGCGAACCTCTACTTTTAAATGTTCTTCATCTAGACACAAGCAGTGATGGAGAAAAGTGTTGTCAGGTGATAGAATCTCCACATGTCTTTCCAGCTAATGCAGAAGTGGGCACTGTCCTCACAGCCTTAGCAATCCCAGCAGGTGTCATCTTCATCAACAGTGCTGGATGTCCAGGTGGGGAGGGTTGGACGGCCATCCCCAAGGAAGACATGAGGAAGACGTTCAGGGAGCAAGGGCTCAGAAATGGAAGCTCAATTTTAATTCAGGATTCTCATGATGATAACAGGTAACTCGCTAACAAGAGAAAAAGGATTTCTAAAAGTCATTTTAATTACAGTACCACCCAGCAGAACTCTAAAGCTTTATTTTAGTGACAAGAGTTGAATGTTTCTTTATTTCTAGACATTATGTTCTAAATATTGCATACAGGAATGTTTTAGGTTATGTAACTTAGAGAAAAACATGATTTTTTGTAAAGGGACTTTTTGGTAAATGTGGTGAGAAAATAATATAAGTATCCCTGATTTTCTAGACTGTATAGAGTATCAATTAGTTGGCTGTAATGCAAAAGTTATCAAGTGAATTCTGATTAGTGCCAGTTATAAAACCGAAGGAAATTCTCACAGAGAAAACTGAAAATTTTCCTGAAGAAGGTATTAACATTATGGCTAAATTGTTTCTGGATATTTTGTTTCAGGAGACCCATAAGACAACTCATTGTTTCCTTATAATCCGTTCTGTGACTCTTGAGAACCCAGTTGCCCAAATAGAGCAGTTACGTGGCGAATTACCCCCATGAATCCTGTGGTCACATTTAAAGCTGCATCTCTTTGTCATCTATGTCTGTGACAGTACATTGCTGTAGTCAATGTGTCATACACTGTAACTGCAATATTTCCATATATTGAAGACTTCAAGCTCCCTGTTTTCTCAGTGCTACAGATTTACTTAGATTGCAGGATGTCTGTATCATTATTTATAGTGGCTTTGATGCAGAGAAGCAGAGCACTTGTGGACCGTTTCTTTCGTAGTACACTTACCACTATTACTCTTTTGGACAGGGGTTTTGCAGACATTCCCTACCTTGTTTATAAGAACTGTATTTCCTTTATAAAAGGCAGTATGCATTTATTGGGACTGGGGAAATACAAAAGTGAAGACAGAAGGGACCCAAAACAGTATCCGTCTTCTCAGCATGCAGTGTTAATCACTGTTAGCATTTGGGTGCCTTTCTTTTTAAACCTAATAATGATTATTTTGTAGATAAGTAGTTGTATCCTGCTTTCCATTACCCCTGCCCAACCTTGAGATTTGTAGACTCTTTATAAACTGCCTTGAATGGCTACATAGTAATCTATGTGACATTATAGTTTGCCTAACTGTGCTCCTAGGCAAGTCAGTAGGCTGTAGTGGGACCTTGGGCAAGGTATTTCGTCTTTCTCTGCTCAGTCTTCTTGTCTGTCAAATAGGGATAATAACTAGTGCCAACTTCATAGACTTGAGAGGATTGAAAGAGTTGAGTGCTTACAAAGTACACACAGTAAGTGCTAAATGTTTTAGTTAATATATTACGGTCATTGTCATAATTATCATACAGTTTTTCACTATTTTAAAGTAGTCTTCATGGAGCATCTTGTGCTTCATACTTTGTTTTATTTGGGATTGCTAGCTTAAGGTAGGAGCTCAGAATGGAATAACTGCAATAAAGAGTAGAATGATGTTTCAGAGCTCTAATGTACATTCCCAAAGAGGACTTCGGCAAGCCCATTAATGCTTCTGTGTGAATTAGAAAGAAGGCACCTCTTCAGGACCCTTTACTACTATCTGTGGGAAAATGTTAGAACAAGATACTCTACTGCCGGCTGCAATTATAAAACAAAACTCTATGTAGAAATGCAGTATACAATATATATGCCATGTGTGACACTCCTTAGATGTGGCCCTTTTGTGCAGTGTCAGTCTACAGACTGCACATGGCTGCCCTGTTGTTAAATGAAATCTAGATCCAGTGGGGTAGGCTCCTGGCATAGGTGCTCTTTTAAAGCTCCCCTAGTGATTTGCAGGGTGCAGGCAGAAGCCAGCAACTGTTTACTTACAGAAGTTCTCTGTGAAAAATGTGGCAACAAATTATGTAGGTAAATCAAAGAATATTTGGAGTCATGAATATAGACTCTATAGACTACTGCCTAACATTACCCTGCAAAGGTAGCCCACTTATCATAGAGACGACTCAGTAGAACTTGGTCACCTCTAATTAGTCACATTAAGTGACACATGCAGAGTTTTGGAAGTGATGCCTAAGGAAAGGTATTAATTTCTGATCTTTTCTTTTTACCTACAGCTTGTTGACCAAGGAAGAGAAATGGGTCACTAGTATGAATGAGATTGACTGGCTCCACGTTAAAAATTTATGCCAGTTAGAATCTGAAGAGAAGCAAGTTAAAATATCAGCAACTGTTAACACAGTGAGTAGAATATAATTAAAGGTTGGCTGATAGATTTTCAGTTAACAGAATTTTATTTAGAAAACAATACCTTAATCTTTCAGAACAGTTGTCTCAATAGACTTCAGCTCTTAGGAAGTCAGCTTTTTATTTAACATTTGATTATTGCTTGTTTACCTATGTTAGCCCTTAGCATATTTCAAGAAAATACGTGCCTTTTAAAATTTCCTCCAAAGCCTAGAATTAGAATGTGGGAGTTACTCATTTAGTTAGTTCATGGAATTCTCTGGCTCCCACAAAATGAAATTCTTTGGCTTCCTTGAAAATGCTGTTTTCAAGGGTCTTTTCTGTATTTTTTTTAAGCCAAGTATACATATGTTTTGGTTTTGTGTTGTGGACTTCTGTTTTTTAAATTTATCTTAAATTGTTTTACATTATACTCTGTTTTTCTGTAAAGCCAGGTGTTCTTAAAAGGAACTCTTTCAGTTCTCCATTTGAAGACTAGTTTCGTTAAACACCATCTCAGGAAATACCTTTTTATATTTATGTAGTCTCAATTCATTATGGGTTTTTTTTCTATAACAAGTTGAAACTTACTAGAATGTTGTTTTCTTTTATATAAATATTATAATTTCTTAAAGTGTGTTAATATTTACACTGTATGATGAATACACTAAAGTTCAGAAGATCTAGTACCTTGACCCTAAGTGAGAGACTTTGGTGAAGTCCTTTATGACTCACTCTGTTTCTTCTTTTCACAATGTGGGGTGCTGTGGGAGGACAGATTGTCTGACATCGGTTTTACTCCTAAATTTACAAGATTTTGTATCCTAGAGGAAATTAGGTTAAACTGAAAAAGGGAAAGAATCTAAAATAAAGTCATTTAAACAGAAATTTTAAATAGTGCACTCGGGCTGATAGTATACATTTTTATTTATGCTTACTGGCCCCACATTCATCATTCCTGACATAGAGAAATGTGATTGCCTGCAGTTTATTTTGTTTGCTTTCATGAGAAAAGTTACTGGTTTGTCAGCTTATTGCCTTTCAGCTAGTTTCTTTAGTTTCTGTAGTTTTCTACAGTTTCTGTAGTTTTCTGTAGGTGTCCTTTCTGTTCCAATTAACATCAATTTGGTAAAAACTTAACTATGAAGTCCTAAGTTTTTGCTTTTGATCTTATAAAAGGATTTCAGGGATGGAAAAATTTCCAGTGGGCAAAAACTACTAAATGTCAGGTAATTAATATCTCAAATAATTTGTTTATGCACACAGTGACAATCCTCATTTTCATCTCCTCCCATTTTTTACAACTTAGTCATTATTTTATTTCTCTGTTTTAGATGGTGTTTGATATTCGAATTAAAGCCATAAAGGAATTAAAATTAATGAAGGAACTAGGTAATCATTTACATTTTCTTTTCGGTTCTTAGTTTAGCTTAATTTTGGTCTTGAATTGAAGAAAATATAGGAGAATACAAAAAACAGTTTAGGGAGAACTCACATACCTACCACCCAAAATGGACAAATATTAACATTTTGTCATATGTTTGTTTTTGTTTGAAACATTATAAATGAAGTTAAAGTCCCCTGTGTTCTCCTCCTCAGACCTATTCTTTCTCTCCTTCCCCAGATACAATGAGTATATCTGATGTGGGTGTGTATCTAGTCCATGTATTCATGTTGTACTATACTGAATGTATATTCTGCAAACTCACTATTCACTTACCATTAGGCTTTCTGTGACAGCCTTATTAAGATATAATCTACATACCATAAAATTCACTCAGTTTAAGTGTTTAATTCAGTAATCATCAGTAAATGTGTAGAGTTCTATAACCATCACCACAATCCAGTTTTAGAATACTTCCATTACTCCAAAAATATCCCTGTACCCATCTGTATTCCAAGCCCCTGGCAACCACTAATCTGCTTTCTGTCTCTATAGACTTTATTTTCTTAATGTTTAATGTAATTGGAATCATAAAACATATAGTCTTTTGTGTCTGGCTTCTTTCACATAGCATATCATTTTTGAGGTTAGTCCATGATTTAGTACGTATCAATAGCTTGTTCCTTTGCATTGCTGACTAGTCTAGTATTCCATTATATGGATAGTATCACATTTTGTTTATCCTGGACAAACATGAATTGATAGACATTTGGATTGTCTCTACTTTTGTGCTTTTATGAATAATGCCACTATGAACTTTTACACATAAGTCTTGGTGAGGAGATATGTTTTCATTTCTCTTGGGTACATGTACCGGATTGGAATTGCTGGGTCATTTGCAAATTTATGTTTAACTTTATAAGAAACTCTCGCACTATTATCCAAAGTGACTGAACCATTTATACTCCCACTAGCAGTGTGTCAGGGTTGCAGTTTCTACATGTCCTTGTCAATCTGTGATTAATTGTGATTATCTTTTTTTTTTTTTTTTTTTTGAGACAGAGTCTCACTCTGTCAGCCAGGCTGGAGTGCAGTGACACGATCTCCGCTCACTGCAACCTCCGTCTCCCAGGCTCAAGCAATTTTTCTGCCTCAGCCTCCCAAGTAGCTGGGATTACAGGCGTGTGCCACCACGCCCAGCTAATTTTTGTGTTTTTAGTAGAGACAGGGTTTCACCATGTTGGCCAGGCTGGTCTCAAACTCCTGACCTCAGGTAATCTGCCCACCTCGGCCTCCCAAAGTGCTGGGATTACAGGCATGAGACACTGAGCCCAGCCATCTTTTTTTTTTTTTTTTTTTTTTTTTTTTTTAGAATCTGTTACTGGTTTGGTTTTGACTTTTAAAAAAAAAAACATATTTTGAGCACATTTTTTATTGTTATTTTTTCCATAGGTTATTGGGGTACAGGTGGTGTTTGGTTACATGAGTAAATTCTTTAGTGGTGCTTTGTGAGATTTTGGTGCACCTATCACACGAGCAGTATACACTACACCCTATTTGTAGTCTTTTATCCCTCATCCCCCTCCCACCCTTCCCCCCAAGTCCCCAAAGTCCACTATATCATTCTTGTGCCTTTGTGTCCTCATAGCTTAGCTCCCACGTATCAGTGAGAACATACGGTGTTTGGTTTTCCATTCCTGAGTTACTTCACTTATAATAATAGTTTCCAATCTCATCTAGGTCACGGCAAATGCCATTAATTCATTCCTTTTTATGGCTGAGTGGTATTCCATCATACACACACACACACACACACACACACACACACACACACACACACCACAGTTTCTTTATCCACTCATTGATTGATGGGCATTTGGGTTGGTTCCATGATTTTGCAATTGCAAACTGTGCTGCTATAAACATGCATGTGCAGGCCGGGCACAGTGGCTCACGCCTGTAATCCCAGCACTTTGGGAGGCCGAGGCGGGGAGACCACAAGGTCAGGAGATCAAGACCATCCTGGCTAACATGGTGAAACCCTGTCTCTACTGAAAAATACAACAAAAATTAGCCAGGCGTGGTGGTGTGCGCCTGTAGTTCCAGCTACTGGGGAGGCTGAGGCTGGAGAATGGCGTGAACCCGGGAGGCAGAGCTTGTAGTGAGCCGAGATCGCGCCACTGCTCTCCAGCCTGGGTGACAGAGCGAGACTCCGTCTCAAAAAAAAAAAAAAAACAAAAAACCATGCATGTGCAAGTATCTTTTTTGTATAATGACTTCTTTTCTTCTGGGTAGATACCCAGTAGTGGGATTGCTGGATCAAATGGTAGTTCTACTTTTAGTTCTTTAAGGAATCTCCACACTGTTTTCCATAGTGGCTGTACTAGTTTATGTTCCCACCAGCAGTGTTGAAGTGTTCCCTAATCACCATATCCACACCAACATGGCCATTCTACTGAATGTGAATTAGTATCTTAATGCATGTAAATTTAGCAAGAACTCAAAATCATATACAGAAATTCATTGCCTTTTTACCTACCAGCAACAACAACAACAAAATCGACATCAAAATTAAGAAAACATTTATAATAGCATAAAATATTATGGGATACTTAGACATAAATGAACAAAATATGTGCAAGACCTGTACACTAAAAACTAGAAAATACTGCTGTGAGATATTTAAGAAGACCTGAATAAATAAAGCAATATACAACATTCACAAATCAGACAACACAATATTCTTTTTTTTTTTTTTTCAATTCGAGACGGAGTCTTGCTCTGTCCCCAAGGCTGGAGTACAGGGCAGCAATCTTGGCTCACTACAACCTCTGTCTCCTGGGTTCAAGCGATTCTCTTGCCTCAGCCTCCCGAATATCTGGGTTACAGGCACCTGCCACCACGTCCAGCTAATTTTTCTTTTTTTTTTTTTTTGAGATGGAGTCTCGCTCTGTCACCCAGGCTAGAGTGCAGTGGTGCGATCTTGGCCCACTGCAACCTTTGCTTCCCGGGTTCACGCCATTCTCCTGCCTCAGCCTCTCGAGTAGCTGGGACTACAGGTGCCCGCCACCAGGCCCGGCTAATTTTTAGTGGAGACAGGGTTTCACCGTGTTAGCCAGGATGGTCTTGATCTGCTGACCTCGTGATCCGCCCGCCTAGGCCTTCCAAAGTGCTGGGATTACAGGTGTGAGCCACTGCACCTGGCCAGATGATACAGTATTCTTAAGAGGATAATTCTTCCCCATTTGATGTGTAGATTTAATATATTCTTACACAGAATCTTAACATTTTTTAAAGAAATTGACAAGCTGACTCTACAATTTTCATGGAAATACAAATAATTTAAAGTGGCCATAACACTTTTGAAAACAAGAGAACAAAGTTGGAAGAGTTACACTATCTGATTTCAAGGCTTACTCTAGACAGTGTATATTGGCATACAGGTAGACATATAGAGAGGAGGTCAGCAAACTATGGCCTACAACCTGTTTTTTTTCAGCCAGTGGGCAAAGAATGGTTTTCGCACTAGTAAAGGGCTGTTTAAACAAGAAGCATGTGCAACAGAGATCACATGTGGCCCGTGAAGCCTAAAATATTTACAGTGGAACTCAGAGAATCTAGAAATAGGTGCGTAGTCATTGACTTTCAACAAAGGTGCCAAGGTATTTTCATGCAGAGAGATAGCATTTTTTCAACAAATAGTGCTGGGCCATTTAGATATTTGTATGTGCAGAAATGAACCTCAAGCTTTACTTCGCCTGATGCAAAAATTAAATGGATCATACAACTAAAAGTTAAAACCTAAAACTACAAAATTTCTGGGAGAAAACATATGAGGAAATCTTTGTTACTTTATCATAAGGAAAGGTTTTTGTATTAAAGATAGGACTCAAAAAGCACAAACCATGGAAGAAAAGCCTAATTAATTTACATTAAAATTTTAAACTTCTACTCTTCAAAAAGCATTTGAAAAGGCAAGCCACAAACTGGGAGAAAATATTTATGAAACACATATTTGACAATCAACTTACATTCAGAATATTAAAGAAAAAAAAAAACCCTTGTAACCTAACCCAGGTTTAGAATCTTGAACAGACACTTTACAAAAGAAGACGTACCTATGAATGACCAGTAAGTACAGGAAAAAATGCTCAGAATCATTAGCAATCAAATTAAAACCAAATGACACCCTACTGTGCACCCAGTGGAGTAAATAAAACTTAAAATGTTAAGTCAACCAAGTGTTAGCAAGGATGTGGAGCAACTGGAACTCCCATATATTGCTGATGGGAAGGTAAAATGGGTAAGCCACTTTGGAAAAGTTAGCTTATTTCTTATAAATTTAAACATCCACTTACCAATTCTACGTCTAGGTATTTACTGAATAAGAGTTAAAACATATATCCTTATAAAGACATAAATGTTCCTAACCCCAAACTGGAAGCAATCCTAAAGCCCATGAGCAGGCGAATGGATGAACAAATGATGGTGTATTTAAGCAATGGATACTGTTCGTCACTGAAGAGCAAGGCACTGCTAGTTCCACCACATACAACACATGAATGCATCTCAAAGTCATTATGCCAAGAGAAAGAAAGTAGATGCAAAAGAGTACACATTGTGTGGTTCCATACATAGGACACTTTAGACAAATAAAATCTAAGCTGTAGTTACAGAAGGCAGATCAGGATTGGGAGGGAGGAAGAGGGATTGGCTGCAAATTGACAGGGAGTTTTAGGGGGGATGATGCAAACTATACCTCAGTTTGCTGGTGGTTACCAGATGTTTAGGTACTTATCAAACTATTAACTGTACATTTAAACCAGATGTATTTTATTATAAGAAAATTATAACTCAGTAAAGTCCATTAAAAGTCATTGGTTTATTAAATGCATAGTTTGCTGTCATCCCATGAAACTTGTCTCCCTTCTTCCACTCTTGCCCCTCTCCAAACCATTTGATCATCGTCAATACGTGTGAATTAGATCCTGTCACTCCTCCGCACAAAGCCCTTTAGTGCTTTCCATTGCACTTAGGTTAATTCCTTAACCTAGCCTACAAGAACCTGAATAATTTGACCCCTGCTTAACTGTAACCTTGTGATCTGCTTTTCTGCGTACTCACAACTCACTTCCCATGCTGACTTTTCTGCGTTTCTCAGTGCACAAGCTCTCTTTAACCCCCAAGACTTCTTAGTGCTCAGTCTCTCTTTCAAGTCTCTTCCCTTTGCTTTTAACTTCAGCTGTTTATTTGGTCTTATATGAGATGTTCCTTCTCCTTTCATCCCTGACCACACAGTCCCAGTTAATCTTGCTGATGTACTCTCCTAACACCCTGTACTTTTCCTTCATAGCATTTATCACTGTAGCTGCCCTTTTATTTGTGTTTTTAATATCCACCTCCCCCATTAGACAAGGTTCTGTGAGGACTGAGTTTACACTGCTTTGCTTACCACTGTATTTCCAGTTTCTAGCACAGTGCCTGGCACGTAGCCAATACACAGTAAGTACCTGTTCAGTGAAAACCAACAGATTTTAAAGAGACAGTATTTTAAAAGCACTTTTTAAGTTGGGGAACTCTTTAAGTAAATTGTTTCCGTCGACAAGAGATTTATGTGAGAATTGTATGCTAGCCTCATATTACTGTAATACAAGATATTGAACTCAGGAATCTCAGAAAGGGATTCTGCTGTGGTCTAATAAAGTTAGAACTTCTAAGGCTCAGACTATTGTTGTCTATACAGAACACTCAACCTTCCCCCACCCCTCCAATTTATGTCCTACTTTTTAAGAATTCTGTTTGAACTGAAAACTTGGTATGCCCCTTCCAAGCACCAGGGGATCTTGAGGAAATATATTCTTCCAAAGCAAGAATCTGTATCCTCAAACATAGCACATGCTGGCCGATTTAATAAGCATAAAATCACCCAACATATTTTAAATATAGGCAGTCTGCTTGTACTGCTCTGACATGCACGAATTTCATTACTACCATTTAGTTATATAACATCAATCCCCCAGCAAGATGGTTAAAATTTCAGCAACCATGGTATATGGTATATTAACTGTAACTGAATAAAGTACACACTTGACTGCCAGCTCTTCAGGGCACAATTCATCACATAAATAACACATGTGCACCACAAGCAGTAACCATTGACTTCATTTCTTTCAAGTCTGGTGGTTTGTCACTGCATGTACACTTCATTACACAGACAGCAAAGCATGTAGTTGTGTTGTAGTGCTAAACCCACCATGACATTTTACAAGAATACATAATCAAAAGAGGGAATTGACCAACAGAGAAGAAAGTACACAAAGAAACAAAAGTATATGGAGTTATAGAAGCAGCAGCTACCTCTGGGAATGTTGACCCTGCAGTCACTCAAGAGACTCTAGATATTGGAAGCTGATCCAAACTTAGAAAGGAGTATGACAGTTTGCCACAGGACAGGAAAAATGTCACTCTATATTATAAGCTATGCAATGAGAAGAAACCAAGCCCTGCTTAAACGACTCTTTATATGTAATTTACAAAGACAGAAAACATTTTAATTCTCAAAGATTCTAGTATTTTAAATTATAGTATAAATATTGGTTTTACTGTTTTTTCCTTTCCCAATACATGTATAATATTAATAACGAAGAGGGTTTTAAATGTTTCAACAAAAATTTTTAAGTGTCATGGAACGATTGTAATTTTTCCATTGATTATTAATATTGTTTTGCACAGTTTGACCAGGTACTTTTAGTCTTGCACTACTGCACAAAACAAAGACTGCCTGTACTTATTTTGGGGGTTTTTTCTTTGGTTGTTGGGGGGTTTTTGGTTTGTTTTTGTTTTTAGCTTTCTGTAGTTTTCTGCTAATTAACACAATAGAGCATCTCTCTTTTGTTTTCTGTGTTTGATGCTGTAACCAGCTTCCTTTTATTTTGATAATAGGATGAAGGTTATTAATTCCTAGCTCTCTAAGAAAAATAATATTCCTTTTATATATAGCTGACAACAGCTGTTTGAGACCTATTGATAGAAATGGGAAGCTTCTTTGTCCAGGTAAATCTTTTTGATAACTTTCAAAAGGTGGCTTATACTCGTCTGTCTTTCTTGATAAATAGTGGCCTCCAATACCTAATATTTAAAAATTACCTTTTGGAAACTGATTTATAGGACATATTTTCTTCCAGGTATCTTACCTTTATATTGCAGAAATCCTTAACCAGAAACAAACACTTCTGTTTTCTAAATGAAACACCATTCTTTCTGATTATCCGATTCTCATTTTACTCACGGGTTTGATCTAGTTATATTTTTTCCAGCTTTATTTTCAAAATTTTTCCATTTTTTTGTGAATTTTATTGCGATACCAATTATGAAATAAAATCTTCAGTTCTCATCTCTGTATCACCTCTTACCATTAGATTTAATTTAGTCATGGATGAGCCTAATTATTGATGGTAATAACAATCTCAACTTTAAACTTGGAAGAAGCTACTTCTTCATTTATGGATTGATTTGGATTATCTGGCTTTTAATCTATATAAACAACAGCTCTTTGAACAAGTCATTTTTATTAAGTAGGAAACTAGACTTTCATAGCTTCCATTTAGCATTGTTACATAGAAAACAGGAAGACAATATCTTAAGAGTATGGAAATTGAAAATCAAACCTAATCTTAGTGCATGTAATCCTTTTGTCTGAAGTGCAACTCATTTTTCTTCTTTCTTGATATTCTTGATTTTCAAAGAAATACTGATTTCAGCATTTATTTTTCTTAGAGAGCTAGGAATTAATAACCTTCATCATATTATCAAAATTTTTTTAAGTGCCGGACAGCTATACTTTGAAGGAAGCAGAATTGAAGATGGGAAGTTCATTGGGACTGTGTCTTGGAAAAGCACCAAGTTCGTCTCAGGTAAAATAAGGTCACCTGTTTCAAAACAAAATCAACCCTTCCATAACCAGAATTATAACTAGTACCTTAGCTACTCCAGTAATATTGTTTTTCTCTAAAAGTTTTTTCTTAAATCATACATTTTATTTTAGGAATATATCCTTATAGTTCTAGATGTTTAAATATAAAATATTATGCCAAAGCATATTTATGTTTCTTTTTCTGTGAAGATTTTGTGGTTAAAAGGAATCTTTGATGCTGAGTGGCCACCACTTTCAACCACTATATTTCCTAAGTTCTAAGATACACCTTCTTTTTCTCACATTTTTACATCTGTGAGATTAGGTTGCATCTTACAGTCAGGGACGTTCTGCAGTTATAGCTGGCACTGGTACAGAAAATAGTAAGTCTAACACTCAGTAGCATTTTAGGTTGAATGAAACACAGTTTATTAATTTTAGACTTAATTACTCTCTGCACTAATAGTCTCAGAGCAGCCTCCCTTTCCCCTTGTCTTTAACAGTGTCCATTTTCAGTATAAAACACCATCAGGTTTGACCTTTGCCAGAAGCCATACCCAGCTAATCAGCTTATTACAGTGCAGAAATCATAAGGATATTCTTATTGTGAATACCCTGTAGCAGGGTAATCTGGACTCAAATCAGGTTGCCCATGGTTCCCAAATTCACTTCATTACTTTCCCAACCACTTCCCCCTTAACTTGCTTTCCCCTGAACCGTAGCAAATAGTAGTGCATGACAAGCTGATAGGAGGGAAAACATGACAAGTGAGGTTGAGTTAGAAAGGAAAAGCAGGGCTATGAGGAACTGAATAAGAGATCAGATTTGTATTTTTCCTTTGGAGTCTTGAGAATTGTAATATTTGAAACCCTTGGCAGAAAATAAAATCATAACCAAGTGACTCAGAAAAAACATACTAATGCTAACTGTGTGTAGTAATTACAAATTCCTTTTGGGAGTGATCGAGACAGAGATGGAGATCATAGTAGAAGAAATAGTGTATGTTGGCCGGGCGCGGTGGCTCACATCTGTAATCCCAACCCTTTGGGAGGCTGAGGCGGGTGGATCACCTGAAGTCAGGAGTTCAACACCAGCCTGGCCAACATGGTGAAACCCTGCCTCTACTAAAAATACAAAAAATTAGCCAGGCGTAGTGGCATGCACCTGGAATCCCAGCTACATGGGAGGCTGAGGTAGGAGAATCGCTTGAACTTGGGAAGCAGAGGTTGCAGTGAGCCAAGATCGCTCCACTGCACTCCAGCCTGGGCAACAAGAGCAAAACTCCATCTCAAAAAAAAAAAAAAAAAAAAAAAAAAAGAAAGAAAAAGAAGTAGTGTATGTGGGAGACATTTATTAGGAGTAAAAAACATTGATGATGAAGCAATTTATACTTCTGGGTAGGCATAATTATTGCTTAAATTGTAACATTAATCATAGTCGTATTTTCATATAAATTGAGATTTTTTGTTAAAGTTTCATGGGCCCTTGGCTTTACATTTTTGAAAGTAAATAATACATTTATTGGATTTTTAAATTCAGATTAAATTGCATTTACACATCTGTCTTGTTATTAGTTGTTCCTGTTTTTTGCAATGGGGAGTGACGTTCAACCTGGGACAGAAATGGAAATCGTAGTAGAAGAAACAATATCTGTGAGAGATGTAAGTAATTTTACCTTTTGTTTTCAGAGGCTGTGTGTGTTTGTATGTTTGCTGTGAGGAACAGTGGTATCCTGTGTTAAGATTTGGAGGTCCTAAACTAGGCCTGATATGGTGTACTTCAGAGAATTATATGTACTCACTAGAGGAATTATTTTGGGAGCTTGAAAATTGGTGAACCAACTGGATTTTTTTTTTTTTTTTTTTTTTTTTAGAGAGTCTCAACTCTGTCACCCAGGCTGGAGTGCAGTGGCATGATCTCAGCTCACTGCAACCTCTGCCTCCCGGGTTCAAGTGATTCTCCTGCCTCAGCCTCCTGAGTAGCTGGGATTACAGTTACCTACTACCACACCCAGCTAATTTTTGTATTTTTAGTAGAGATGGGGTTTCTCCATGTTAGCCAGGCTGGTCTCAAACTCCTGACCTCGAGTGATCCACCCGCCTCGGCCTCCCAAAGTGCTGGGATTACAGGCATGAGCCATTCCACTCGGCCTCAACTGGAAATTTTAAATAAGATTACAATTTTTTTCTTTCTATCAATAATAGTTTTTTATTATAGAAATGTTGAATGTGCAGAAATTGATTAAAAGAAAAAAATGAAAACCTATCATTATTCTTTATCCTACCAATATTAACATTTTGGCATATTTTTTCTAGTATTTATATACACACACAGTGGTATGAATGTTTGTATATATGTGTGTATGTGATAAAGTAAATAATTATATTGCTGTTATTGAGAACTGAGACCTTTAGTATTGGAAAACAGAGAGACAAATAAAATCAGTGTGGTTTAAAAAAACCTGTTCTCCTGAATTTGAAATAGAAAAATCTGAATGAGCTTCATATATTTTTTCTTAAAAAATTTTTTTTCCAGCTCTGTCCCCTGATACAGGTTGGAAAGAGTGACCAACCTGGTAGCAGCAGAGTACCCCTGGCACCCAGATTATGGCTGCCAAATACCATTTTCTACAAACAGGAACCAGGGCATCTTAGAATAATGGCTGGTTATATATCTAGGTCAGGAAATAAGATGAGCCTGAAACATCTTACCATCACAGAAAGCAGTGAAGCCGCTATCCAAGACCATTGGAATCATCAAAGAGATTGAGGAGCCCACTAGTCAAAGATGAGACAATTTGAACTTGACTGAGAAAAATAATAAAAATTAATTGAAACAAGTACATAAAATCTGTAAATCTGTGAGTTCATAATGATCCTATACAAAAATGTGCAGTTACCTATAATGGATGCTAGGCAATCATAAAGGTAAAAAATAAAGCATTTTTTTTCCTGTTTTTCCCTTGCAAACTATATCCCAGGGTAGCTAAGCAGATAATGATAAGTTTTATTTATAAACATATTCCAACTAATAAATGAAGGCATTTTAGAATTTTACATTTTTTCAACTCCTAATAAATTAATGAACCTAGGCAAGGATCCTCAAAGATTGCTAGCCCCAAAAAAGAGCAACACTCAGACAACATAGAAATTCAGAACAATACCCATGCCCTTATTGCAAAAAACCAAACAACTGGACCTGAATCTGAATAAGCCTCTAGGTCTAATTACCAATTTATAGGAAATACAGGAGGCAGAGGAACAGGTTAAATTCATCACAGGTCTGCAATTAGCCAAATGTAGATCAGAAAACTCTTCTACAAAAGATAAATTGCAGGGGACAAGGACAACCTATAGGTCAAAAGAGGCTTAAAAGACATAGCAACCAGTTGCAATGTATGGACTTCTTTGGACCCTAACTCAAGCCAAAGGAACTTAAGTAATAATTTAAGAGAAAGTAGAGAAATGTGAACATTAGTTGGATATTTGCTGGTATTAAGAAATTCTTAATTTTTTAGCTGTCATAATCATTTTAGGTTTTTAAAAATATCTTTTAGAGATGCATAATAAATATTTACAGATGAAATTATATATCTGGCATTTGCTTCAAAAAATTCTGGGCAAGGGCAGGGAAAGTGGGTTATTGACACATAAAACTGGCCATGGCAATATGAGTTGAGCATCCCTGATCCCAAAATCCAAAATCCAAAATGCTCCAAAATCTGAAACTATTTAAAAAAAATTAAATTGACACGTATTTATGGGGTACATTTTAATATTCTGGTACATATATGTGTTGTATAATGATTAAATCAGGGTATTTAGCATACTCATTACCTCATGCACTTAGCATTTCTTGGTGGTGAGAACATTCAAGAGCTTTTCTAACTATTTTTTAATATACAATCCTTACTGTTAACTATCATCACCCTACTGTACAATAGAACACTAGAGCTTATTCCTTCTATTAGATTGTAACTTTGTACCTGTTGACCACCCTCTCCCATCCTCCCCTTACATCTCCCCCTCAGTCACTAGTAACTGCTGTTTTACTCTCTGCTTCTACGATGTCAACTCTTTTTTTTTTTTTTTAAGATTCCACATATGAGTGAGGTCATATTACCGATCAGCCTTTCTGTGCCTGGCTTCGTTCACTTAACATGATGTCTTCCAGGTTCATCCATGTTGTCACAAATAACAGGATTTTATTCTTTTTTATGGCTGAATAGTACCCTGTTGTGTATATATACCACATTTTCCTTACCTATTCATCCACTGTTGGATGCTTAGGTTGATTTGATATCTTGGCGATTGTAAATAATGCTCCATTAAACATGGGAGTGCAGATATCTCTTTGACACACTGATTTCATACCCTTTGGACACATACCCAGTAATGGGATTGGTGAATCACATGATAGTTCTATGTTTATTTTTGTGAGGAACATCTGTACTGTTTTCTATAATGGCCGTACTAATTTACAGTCTCACCGACAGTGCATAAATGTTCCCTTTTCACCACATTCTTGTAAATACATGTTTTCTCTTGTTTTTTTAATAGTAGCCATTCTAACTGGAGTGAGATGGTACTTCATTGTGGTTTTGATTTACATTTCCTTTATGATTTGTGATGTTGAGCATTTTTTGTGTGCGTACCTGTTGGCCATTTGTATGTCTTTTGAGAAATGTTTACTAAAGTCTTTTGCCAATTTTTATATCAGGTACTTTTTTTTTGCTGTTGAATTGTTTAAGTTCCTTATATAATATATTCCGGATATTAACTCTTTGTTAGATTTTTTTTTTAAGACAGTCTTTCTCTGTCACCCAGGCTGGCATGCAGTGGGGTGATCTCAGCTCACTGCAACCTCCACCCCCAGGGCTCAAGTGATCCTTCCATCTCAGCCTCCGAAGTAGCTGGGATCGCAGGTATATGCTACTATGCCCAGCTATTTTTTTTTTTTTTTTTTTTTTGTATTTTCGGTAGAGGCAGTGTCTCACCATGTTGCCCAGGCTGGTCTTGAACTACTGAACTCAAGTGATCTGCCCATCTCGGCCTCCCAAAGTGCTGGTATTACAGGCGTGAGCAACCCCGCCCAGCTCCCTTTGTTAGATTTATACTTTGCAAACATTTTCTCCCATTCTGTAGGTTGTCTCTTTACTCTGTTGTTTCTTTTGCTGTACAAAAGCTTTTTAGTTTGCTATAATCCCATTTGTCTATGTTCTTTTGTTGCCTGTGCTTTTGAGGCAACCAAAGCTTATTTTAAAAATTCTTGCCTAATCCAGTGTCATAGTGTTCCCCCTATGTTTTCCTTTAGTAGTTTCATTGTTTTGGGTTTTACATTTAAGCATTTAAACCATTTTGAGTTGATTTTTGTATTTAGTGAGAGTTAGGGAATCTAGTCTCATTATTCTGCATGTGGAGATCCAATTTTCCCAGAACCATTTGTTGAAGAGACTATCATTTTCCCAATGTGTGTTCTTGGCACATCTATCAAAAATTAGTTGGCTGTTAAGTTTGTGAATTTATTTCTGGGCTCTTTATTCTGGTGCTTTGGCCTATGTGTCAGACTTTTTGCCAGTACCCTGCTGTTTTGGTTACTTTTGCTTTGTAGTATATTTTGAAGTAAGGCAGTATGGTGCCTCCAGCTCTGTTCTTTTTGCTCACAATTGCTTTGACTATTTGGGTTTTTTTGTGGTTCCTTATGAATTTTTTCATCCTTGGGATGAATACCACTTGATAATTATGAATGGTCTTTTTAACGTGCTTGTTAAATTCAGTTTGCTAATACCTTGTTGACAGTTTTTCATCTATGTTCATCAGGGATATTGGCCTATAGTTTTCTTTTTTTGTTGTTGAATCTACATCTGGTCTTGGAATCAGGATAATGCTGGCCTCATAAAATGAGTTTGGAAATATTCACAACTTTTCAATTTTCTGGAGTAGTTTGAGGAGAATTGATATTCTTTAAATGTTTGGTAGAATTCAGCAGTGAAGCCATTAGGTCCTCAGCTTTTCTTTGATGAAAGACTTTATTACTGAAAGCATTTTCTCACTTGTTGGCCTGTTCAGATTTTCTATTTCTTCATCATTTAATCTTAGTATATTGTATATGTCCAGGAATTTATCCATTTCTTCTATGTTTTTAAATTTATTGGCAAGTAGTTGTTCATAATAGTCTCTTATGATCCTTTGTATGTCTGTGGTATCAATTGTAATGTCTGATTTTCATCTCTGACTTTATTTGAGTCTTCACTCTTTTTTTCTTAGTCTAGCTAAAGGTTTGCCAATTTTATCTATTAAAAGAACCAGTTTTTAATTTTGTTTCTCTTTTGAATTGTTTTGTTAGTTCCTATTTTGTTTATTTCTGCTCTGAGCTTTATTATTCCCTTCTGCTTCTTTTGGGTTTAGTTTGTCCTTATGTTTCTAGTTCCTTGAGGTTCATGGTTAGGTTGTTTAGTAGAAATCTTTCTTCATTTTTGATCTAGGCATCTATTGCTGTGAACTTCCCTCTTAGAACTGTTTTTGCTGTATCCCATGGGTTTTGGTATAATATGTTTCTATTTTAGTCTCAAGGCATTTTAAAATTTCCCTCTTACTTTCTTCATTGACTTATTGGTTCTTTGGAAGCGTGTTTAATTTCCATGTATTTGTAAGGTTTTCAAAGTTTTTCTTTTTGATTTCTAGTTTTATCGTGGTTAGAAAAAATACTTGATATGATCTCTGTCTTGTTAAATGTATTAAGACTTGTTTTGTGGTCTAATGTATGCTCTATCATGGATAATATTCTCTGTGCAGTTGACAAGAATGTGTATCCTGCAGTTGTTGATGGACTGTTCTATAAATATCTGTTAGCTCCGTTTGGTCTATGGTGAAGTTTAAGTTTAATGTTTCTTTGTTGATTTTCTGTCTCGATGATCTTTCCATTATTGAAAGTGAGGTGTTGAAGTCCCTACTATTATTGTATTGCAGTCTTGTTCCCCTAGAGGTCTAATAATATTAGCTTTATATATTTGGGTGTTCTGGTGGTGTTTGCATATATATTTACAATTGTTATATCCTCTCATTGAATCCCTTTATATCATTATAAATGACATAATAATGATATATAGTGATTATATAACAAGTTATTATATAATGACCTTCTTCTACAATGACCATTATCAATTATAATGACCTTTTACAGTTTTTGAGTTAAAGTCTATTTTACCTGACATAAATGTGGCTACTCTTGCTCACTTTTGGTTTCTATTTGCATGGACTATCTTTTTCCATCCCTTCACTTTCAGTCTATGTTTGTCTTTAACAGTGAGGTGAGTCTTTTTTAGGCAACATATAGTTGGGTCTTCTTTTTTTTAACCCATTCAGTCACTTTTATATCTTTTAATTGAAGAATTTAATCAAGGTTATTATTGATAAGTAAGAACTTACTCCTGCCATTTTGTTAATCGTTTTCTGGTTGTTTTGTAGATCTTTTTCTTCCTTTCTGGTTGTTTACTTCTGTGGTTTGATGGTTGTCTATGGTGCTAAGCTTTGTTTCTTTTTCTTATTTGTGTATTTTCTGTCATGTCTTTCTTTGTGGTTACTGTTGCACTAAGATAGAGAGTCTTGTACTTATAATAGACTATTTTAAGCTGTATCCAACTCACCTTTGGTCATATAAAAATAGTCTAGAATTTTTTCCCTTCCCTCTACAATTTATATTTTTGTTGCCTTAATTTACATCTTTATTGTGTCCTTAGCCACTAATAGTAACTGTTGTTGTTTTTGGCTATTTTGACTTTAAACCTTCATGGAAGAGGATTGATAAATTTATATAGCACCATTGCGACACTGGGGTATTCCAAGTATGATTATGAATTTACCTATACTTGTGAGTTTTATACTTTCATGTGTTTTCATGATAGTAATTATCATCCTTTTGTTTCCAGTTGTAGTGCTCCCTTAAGTATTTTCTTGTAAGATTGGTCTAGTGGTGATAAATTCCTTTAGCTTTTTGCTTATCTGAGATTTATATCTCGCCTTTATTTCTGAAGGATAGCTTTGCTGGATATGATATTCTTGGCTGACAGTGTTTTTTTCTTTCCTATATTACCCCCATTTTCTTCTGGCCTGCAAGGTTTCTGCTAAGAAATCCACTGATAGTCTACTGGGGATTTCCTTATATGTGACTTAATGCTTTTATCTTGTAGCTTTCAGAATTCTCTTTTTGTCTTTAACTTTTGAGAGTCTTATTATAAAGTGCCCAAAGAGGATCTTTTTGTGTTGAATCTAATTGGGGAACCTGTGAGCTTTCTGGATCTGGATGTCCATATCTCTCCTGGACTTGGGAATTTTTCACCTATTATTTAATTAAATAGATACGCTGTGTCTTTTGTCATTTATTCTCCCCCTGGCACTTCTACAATGAGAAAACTTGTTCATTTAATGGTGTCTTGTTGGTCCTGTAGGCTTTCTTCATTCTTTTTAAATTGTTAATTCTTTTTATTCTTCTGACTGGGTTATTTCAAAAGACCTGTCTTCAAGTTCAGAAATTCTTTCTCTGATGAATTTCTGATTCAGATTATGAATGAATTTTTCTGATTTTGTTGAATTTTGGATTGTCTGTATTCTCTTGTTTATGAGTTTCCTTAAGATCATTGTTTTGAATTTCTCTTCAGGCATTTCATAAATATACTTTTCTTCGGGGTTTGTTACTGGAGACTTACTGTGTTCCTTTCAGAATATCATCTTTCCTTGGCCCTTCATATTTCTTGTCTTCTTATGTTGATATCTTCACATTTACTTGAACACTTACTTTTTCCAATTTTATGGAGTAGCTATTGTAGGGAGGAGCTTTTTCCTATAGATGGATTCTAGGGTGTCTGTTGGAAATGATGTGTTGTTGGCTTTGGTTCTTGGTGGGCTCAGTAGCATGATCCCTATGCCAGTTCTTCAGCTGTAATCCTCATTAATGATGTGTGCAGTTGCCTCAATTTCCTAGGTTACGGGTGTTTGTGACAGAGGTGACATGGTTTGGTGGAGGAAAGGATGCTGGTTTGTGCTGCTACCAAGCACAACCTGAGCATAGCTGTGTGTTGGTCTCTCTGGGGAGGGGGATACTGCCACACTTGCTATTGGGCTGGGTGCAAACATGTGTGGGTCAGGCAGCTGTGCAGCGCTCTCTCTGGGGAGGCAGGGCCACTGCCAGATTGCAAAATCCAAAACTTTTTGAGCACTTTTTGACCCTTTGACATGACACTCAAAGAAAATATTCATTGGAGCATTTCATATTTAGATTTTTGGATTGAGGTTACTTAGCTGGTAAGTATAATGCAGATATTCCAAAAATTTTTTTTAAATCCAACACTTCCAGTCCTAAGTATTTCAAATAAGGGATACTCAACCTGTAATTGGGACTGGGTGATGGGTATTTGAGGATCATTTTACTATTTTCTGCAGGTATTTTCCCAGTTTTTTACTGGCCTTTTTAACTTTACATTTTTTAATTTCAAGGAAAGAAACCACAAAACTTTTCAAAAGTGATGTATCTTCCTTTCTGTACTCCGTTGAACCCCTTGCAGGCAGACTTGTTCCTTGCTATGTCACTGAAACAGCTTATGTCAGGGTCATTAGTGGCCTCCACATTACTATGTCCAGTGAGCAGTTTTTACTCTTCATGTTACTTGCTCTATCACCAACATTCGATGTACCTGATGACTCTATTCTTTGAAACACTTTTGTCACTGGGCTCCAGAAGACCACAACTCCAGGTTTTCCTTATATCCCACTGGCCTACCCTTCTCAGTTTGCTGTCTCCTCCTCTTCTCTATCTTTGAGCATTCTGCTGCCCAGTTCTTAGATTGGACCTCGGCCCAGAACATCCAGCTGCCACTTGGTTGTCTAACAATCATCCAAACCTAGAACATATTCACAGTAAAGCTCTTCTTATTCTCCCTGAAACATAACCCGCTCATATTTTTCTCTTTTTCAGTTAATGGCAACTCCATTTTTTACTTGCTTAGGCTGAAAGCCTTGAAGTCATCCTTGATTCTTCTCTTTCTTACTTCACATTCAGTTTCACAAGGACATCTTTTGGTTCTACCATCAAAATGCATCTAGGATCTGACCACATCTCATTCTGTTCATTACTACCACCCTGTCAAACCTGTCATCTTTTTCATCTGAAATGAATTTCATCCATCAGCTTCCTAACTGATCTCCTTCCTTATAGCCTTGCACTTCCCAGGGTCTGTTCTTATAAAAAGTTGAGTGATCCTTTAAAATGTAAGAGAGATTAGTCACTCCTATACTCACAACCCTCCTGTGGTTTCCCATTTTACCCAGAGTAAGAGGTGAAGTCTTGAATGTCTGCACAAGGGCCTATGTGATCTGGTTCTCTGGTATCATTTTTGTTATATTTTCAAACCTCCAACCATTTCCCCCTCTTACTCACTGTGCTTCAGCCACACTGGCCTTCTTGCTGTTTCTGAAATAAGGCTTTTATGCTCTCTATTTCCCCTTCCTAAAACACAATTAAGTTGATTGCTCAATTGTTTGATTGTTTTTCTTAAATACAATGTTTAAGGCTTTAAGTTTTCTTAGAATATAAGCTTGCTTTCATTCATCCACCATATTTTAGTATACTGTGTTTTTATCATCATTTTCTAAACAATCTATAATTATATTTTAAAGCCTTATTTTTTGTCATACAAGTAATCATGGATTTCTTCTCACTTTTTAAACTTCTAGGGGATTAACAATCCCCCTTGGTTACCACTCTATTCTAGTCCTTTCTCTAGAAGTCACTGTTGCAATCAGATAACATCATCTTATCCACATCAGCAGAGTATGTGTCCCTCCAGACCTTTGCTGTGCCTATACCAGCATGTGTCTATATACATACATATAGAAATGAAGAGTGTGCTTTGCTTCTGTGATTTCTTTTAAATTATAAATGGGATCACTTTGCATGTATTATACTAGAACTTTGTTTCACTTAAAATATTTTAAAGATCTTTTAAGACCAATATATATGAATCTGTTTTTTTCTTTGAACTGCTTTAAGACATTTCCTACTTTTTAAAAAATCTCCCATTAATGTGTATTTTGGTGGGGTTTTTTTTGCCATTTTTCTTTTATTACAAACAGTACAGCAGTGACTTCCTTATTTTTGCTCTCTTTTGCTCTAGTGTAATAGAAATCAAATTGTATTTGCTCGCTTGTCCAAGATTTAATTAGCAATGTTTTTCCCTCAAGAAATTGTTTTAATTACTATTTTTGTTTTATTTAAACTTTTGTTAATATTGTCTCATTTTTGCATTATGCCATGACATCACAGCTTGCACAATTCTTGTGAGTTTTTATATTTAGGGAAAACGGGGAAATTCAGACAGTCATAAAGAGAAGAGAGAAGGGAGAACTTTCCCCAAATGCTATCAATCTCGCCTTTTATAGGATTCAGAGTTTAATGTCTATGAAATTAACTTGATTAATCATATCTGGCCAAAGACACACAGTTAATCCTTACAGGAAGAAAGTCATGGTTCAAACCTGGGAGTTGGTGGATGAAACTTTGAACTAAGTCCTGCTTGCAAACACCAGAAACTGCTTTTTCCTCTTCCTGAATTGGCCCCATCTAGCCTTTAGAAAGGAAAGCTGACTCGTGTATTATCTTCTTAACTATGTCTATCCTTGCCTATTCAAGAATCATTAAATATAGTCAGACTTAAATAGGCCTAGGGTCCAAAAAGGGTGTTTGTCCTAGAACTGTAACTCAGAAACAGAAAACTAACATTGGACATTGTTTTTCTTTACAGTGTTTAAAGTTAATGCTGAAGAAATCTGGCCTACAAGGTAAGTTACTTACCATGATGACATATTACTTAAAAGCCTAATAAAAATTTTTTTGACTTTTTTTTTCTCCAGGGTTGTAGGAAAAAAAAATTTATAGGGTGTGGAGAAATAAAAAGTAGTTTACACTTCCATATGTACATAATGAATTCTCCTGGTTCTTGTTGGCATGCTGAAAGAAAACTAATGGTATAGCTCTGAGTAGAGAATTTAGATAGGATCCAGCAAAGGTACAAAGTAGGAATGTTTTACAGTGTTGGTGGGAATGTAAATTAGGTCAACCATTGTGGAAGACAGTGTGGCAACTCCTCAAAGACCTAGAACCAGAAATGCCATTGATCCAGCAATCCCATTACTGGGTATATACCCAAAGGAATATAAAGTATTCTATTATAAAGATACATGCACATGTATGTTCATTGCAGCACTGTTCACAATAGCAAAGACATGGAATCAACCCAAATGCCCATCAGTAATAGACTGGATAAAGAAAATATGGTACATATATACCATGGAATACTGTGCAGCCATAGAAAGGAATGAGATCATGTCCTTTGCAGGGTCATGGATGGAGCTGGAAGTCATTATCCTCAGCAAACTAATGCAGGAACAGAAAACTAGACACCACATGTTCTTACTTATAAGTGGGAGCCAAACAATGAGAACACATGGACACAGGGAGGGGAATAACACACATTGGGGCCTGTTGGTGTATGGGGGGGTGGGAGTGGGGGAGGGAGAGCATCAGGAAAAATTGCTAATACATTCTGGGCTTAATACCTAGGTGATGAGTTGATAGGTGCAGCAAACCACCATGGCACACGTTTACCTGTGTAACAGGCCTGCACATCCTGCACATGTACCCCAGAACTTAAAATAAAAAGAACGCTAAGATGTATACCACCTGGAGCCACGCAGGTCTTCCACTGATTCCTTTCAATTTTATTGATTCCAAATTTCAGTGCATTCTGTTTCATGTCAGTATTTTTGTGGTATAGATGACGGAATGTAAAATGAATGAAAAAAATAAATCTAAGATAACTGAAGCAACTTTCCAGGTGAGATCATGTCAGTGAGCTTGATGAGACCTCATTCTGATTTCAGTAGCACACTTTGCTGTTCTCAGACTTCATTAACATGGAGGCCCATAGCTTTATTATCTGGAAAGGAAGTTAAGGTGCTCTGGGTGCAAGACATTCTTCTAGAAGTTACACGCAACGTCTCACCTAACTTTGAATTTTTTTTATCCCAATTTTGACTCCTTTATAGGAGATGCCTGGCATTTACGAAAAATGGATTGGTGCTATGAAGCTGGAGAGCCTTTATGTGAAGAAGTAAGATGATTTCTATACATTGTACTTTCGTATGATTACATTTATGTCATATTTTCGTACAAGGTACCCATTCCACTCATGAGAAAGCTTTAATTACTTTCTATAGGATACAAATATCTATGAATGGGTCTATTTTACTTTTTTCTTACTATAGTTTTTTGATAAAGGGGAAGTCACAGTGCAGTGGGAACATTTCTGACATCTGTGGTAAACCCCCTTGCCATGAGAGTATGCCTCTAGGAGGAGCAGTTCATGAGAAGGCAGAGAACTTCACAGAACAAATGACATTTGAGCTCATGAAGGAATTTTATAGATACACTCTGAAGTTTTGGCCCCTGAATGTTTTGATCTCAGAGTTTCTCTGTAAGGTAATGGTGGCAGAATTTCTTACTAACCATTCCTAAGTTAGGCTTTGGTCCAAACTCTCGATCCAGCCAAACTGTTAGGGTAGCCTTAGGAATAATTTTATCACAGGAGAGTTGGAATCTAGTTGGTCATCTTGTTGGTCCAAATAGCATGATATTTCCCAGTTCAAATGCGTAGCCTTAGAAGAAGACCCAAAATAAAGCTCTGTGGGGAGTCTGAGGGAGCTGTGGTCAGCCGCCCTTTCCCCAGTCTTCACCTGCCTACTTCCTGTTCTTTAAGAAGGGGCACTGAATGCCAGCAGAAGGTTGATTTAGGGAGGTATGCTGGGGCCTTGCCCTGGAATGCTCTTTGCTGTTTAGCAGTCAGTAAGTCAATAGCAAGAGGCCCCTCTTGGGGCCTGGGCAGGAGTTTGACTGCCTGGAGTAAGAAGTGGACCTCAAAGCATCTTTAGGACATAAAATTTGGATGTCAGAAGAATATATTTACCCAAATAGCTTCAGCATTTTCTTCTCTATTAATTCCCAAATTGGCATCAAAGAATTCAGCCAGAAGCCAACTCATTACCCTTGGAACTGGCTTCTCGTTCCAGCCTTGCCAGGTATCTTTCCCATCCTAATCTTCAAGAGTAAAATATCCTCCTTATCTTTCATTCTTCATGTTTCCTCTCAGCCTCCAAACTGTCAGCTTTTCCACCCCTTCCCTGACCATTCCCATGCTTGGCTCCAGGTCCAAGCCTTCGTATGCCTCTCACCTAAATTATTATGGCTTTCCTGGGCCCAGGCGTTCCCTGCTTCAATGTCATGCATATTGCAGCCAGATTGATCTGGAAAATCTCCTCAGAAATCTTGTGTGGCTCCTTTATTTCTATTCCATGTCCTGTGGTTAGTGCCTGCCCTTCCAGTCCGGTGTGACCTCCTGGTACTTTCCACTCGAATCAGTGTGGCTTTAGCGCTTTACCAAAACAAGCCATATTTACTATCAACCTTAACTTAGCCCTTGTCCTTTTTTTCGTGAGAAATTCCTTCTGTTATTTTCTCTAGCTTTCCAAATCCAACCCATCTTTTTAGGATTAATTAAAATTTCATCTTCTGTAAATCAGTTTCTCATTTCTCATCTCATCTAACTCCCTTGCCTCAGTTCTTCTGTCAGACTTACAGCTTATGCCCCACAATTTAACAAATAATGCTGTACTGATTTTATAGTCTTAGCTTATTTCCTGTGTCTTCCATATCTGCTTTATTATTCATTTAATTTTTGAAAAGATAATAGAGGCATGGGGTTTTAAAAAGATCAATGATCTGCTCCTTTCAGAAGTCATAAGTGACAAAAAAGCATTTTTGTCTTCCCAGGATGCAACACTGAAAGAACTTCTGATATGTTCTGGAGATACTTTGCTTTTAATTGAAGGACAACTTCCTCCTCTGGTAAGATTTTACTTCTGAATAGACAACTCTTAAGTAATAATTGTTATCTGATTACAGAGATGATACAGCCTCATTTAGGGAAAATGGGGAAATTCAGACAGTCATAAAGAGAAGGGAGAACTTTCCCCAAATGCTATCAATCAGATATGTTTCCTAACTTGTAAATATTCTCACACAAAATTAAAATCAATTATATGTAACATTTTTATTTCCTACTTTTTATATTTGACATTTTAACCTTCTCATAAAATCCAAAAATAATCATCATATCCAAGGTAATGTTTTACTAATTTAATTGATCTATATCCTCATTGTTGGAAACTTACCGTGTTTTTAACATTTTGTTTTTATAAATAGTACTGAAATAAGTCCTTCAGAAAATAGTTCTAAATGTGGAATTCCTAAGTCCAAAGGTGTGACCTCTTGAAAGCCTTGATGTTCTATGCAGTAGCATATGAGAGGGCTCATTTCACTGCCCTTTCGTAAGCATCGCATAGCACTACTTTCTAAAACCAGTATCGTTTCTTTTAAACTGAGGATGCACGTAAAAGTGAACCCAAAAGAGAAACAAATGGCCCCAAACTCCAAGACTCAGATAACTGTTTGCTTATGATTAGAAAAGTCAGACAGTACAGAAAGCTTGAAATGAAAAGCAGAAATCACTCCTACACCTTTTCTCTGCAGAGAGAGCCACAGTTAGCTGATTTTTCCTCCTGTATCCTTCTAAGAAAAACATTACACATATTTGTTTGCTGAAGGCAAATATGTGCATATCCTTTTTAATGTATTCGCTACATTGTTTTACACTTGTTTTGTTTGCTTTTATTCACTTACTGTATCTTGCGGAGCTCCTCATATCAGCACATACACACCTACCTTATTCATTTTCGTAACTTTGTAGAATTCTATTATATTTTGTACAATGATCTTTAAAGTTAATTTTTGAATAGGCAATACTCATAATACAAAATTCCAGGTGTTATGAAAAGCTGGGCCAGGAAAAGCAAGTGTCCCTACTGTCTCTGGGTCCAGCCACCCAGTGTCCTCTCCCCGACAGGCAGCTGCTTTTCTCTGCATCCTTCCAAAGGCCTTTGCTTTTTAATATACACACACACTTGCACACACTGAAGTGTGCTAGCTTTTCCCACCTCATTTTTTGTTACTGAAGAATTTTAATAGGTTTATTAAGAGATAAAAGGTAGGCTAGGCACGGTGCCTGATGCCTGTAATTCCAGTACTTTAGGAGGCCAATGCAGGCAAATCGCTTGAGCTCAGGAATTCAAGACCAGCCTTGGCAACATGGTGAAACCCTGTCTCTTTTCAATAAAAATTTAAAAAGTAAAAAAAAAAACAAGAAGAGAGATAAAAGATGTTACTGTTACAACACTTAATTTCAAACAATAGACAATGACAATGTGAAGACTAACCATGTAAAATATTTTAAATACATAGTTCAATGTGTATATACATAGCATATATATCCACACATACACAGATTTATTCCTTTTTATTTGCACAAAAGATTATTTGCTAGGCAACCTATTCTGTACCTAGATTTTTTTCATTAATATTTTATCTCCTAGTGTATGCTGTGAAGCTATCTCATTCAATTTAGTAGCTTCATAATACTCCATTGTTTGGAGGACTATAATTTATTTAACCAGTCTCTTTTTGAAGAATATTTAGGTCATTTCCAGTCTTTTGTTGATACAAGTAACAATGTAAAAAATATATTTATTTTATATATTTATTTATTTATTTATTTTTTATGTGTGTGTATATATATATATATATATATATAAATATATATATATATATATATATATATATATATATATATATGCCATTTTGCTTGTATATGAGTATATCTACAGGATAAATTCCTAGAACTGAAATTGCACAGTTTTTTTTTTGGTTTTTTTTTTTTTTTTTTAGAAAGGATCTGACTCTTGTCACCCGGGCTGAAGTACAGTGGCATGATCATAGCTCACTGCAAGCTCGATCTCCTGGGCTGGGACTACAGGCACACTGTGCCTGGCTAATTTTTAAACATTTTTTTATTTTTGTCTTGCTTTGTTGCCCACACTGATCTTGAACTCCTGGGCTTAATCGATCCTCCCACCTCAGCCTCCCCAAAGTACTGGGATTACAGCTGTGAGCCACCAAGCCCAGCCAAAAATCTTTTAAAGAGGGTCCTTGAAGTTGGTTCATGGTTTTTGGTCCCATAAACAATTTGTAAGAATATTCTTGCATATGTGGCTTTCTATGCATGCACTAGTATATCAGAATGTAAATTCCTAAACGTGGAATGGCTGGGTCAAAGGACTTGCACATTTTAAAATATGACAGGTACAGGCAAATTATTCTACAGAAACTTCTCAGCAGTTTATATTCCTGCTACCAACTTACAAATGTTCAAGTTTACCCATATTTTCACCAACATAATTTTCTGGTTTTTGACAGTCTGCTAGGTGAAAAAAAAAAATGGAATTTTGTTGTTCTGATTTACATTTATTTAATCGAATGAAGGTCAAATATTTGTTAATCTTCACTAATCTGATAAACAGAAAAATATTCTAATGCACATTTCTTGAACTATCTATTTAAAATGTTTTAGGTGGTTAATTTTTATTCTCATCTTCTATTGTTGGAAATTAAGTGCTGCAACAATAGCACCTTTTATCTCTTAATAAACCTGTTAAAATTCTTCACTAACAAAAAATGAGGTGGGAAGAACTAGCTAAATAAGTAAAACTGAAATTACAGGGTATGTATAAGACAATGGGTTTATTTCCTTTAGTTTGTATCAGAAACCCATTAGATCAATGGGCTCTTGCATCTGTGTGATAAACTGCACTGCTGGGACTGGTATCCTGGGCCAGCAGTGCTTGGACAGCGCCTGGAAACGCTGGTATAGTGTGTTCAAGCAAATGCATTGTTCTTGTTTATGCTTCTCATTTATATTATCTACTAAGATACCTTTAAGCAAGGGATATTTAGTCCAGTCACCCCAAAGTCTGATTTTTATGATTTTAAATTTTTGATTGTAAAAACAAGTATAATTTATGACAGTTAATAAATCTAAAAGGAAAAATGATAAGTTCAAGAACATCTTAGGTCATCAAGGTGTTTCTTTCTATGGAAGTAAAAGTAGAGTTTCACTTAATCTTTGTAATCACAGCAGTTAAACATGCTCCATTCTTCAGGGTTTCCTGAAGGTGCCCATCTGGTGGTACCAGCTTCAGGGTCCCTCAGGACACTGGGAGAGTCATCAGGACCAGACCAACTGTACTTCGTCTTGGGGCAGAGTTTGGAGAGCCACTTCCAGCCAAGGTGAGAACAGAATGGGATTTCAGCAGCCAGTGCATCATAAAGAGAAGTAAATTGACTGCCTGTGCTCTGAGAGTCAATTGATATATTTATTTTTAAAACGTAAGATCTTGAAAATCAAGACCTATTAATTTCATAAGTCATTCCAGACATCACATAATAATAACACTGTGCCATTTCTGTACGTGCTCTGTAACCTCTGTAAAGCACTATATATCTTGTTGTTTATTATTATATCAATATATTACACTTTCCAAAGACTTTTATGTATCATCTCTCAAGATCCTCAGGGCAACAGGGGCCCCATTTATCACCACGTACCAGAATATTGAGACTTCATCCAATTCTAATGATGTCATTTTAGCCCACAGGGGCAGAGACCAGGAGTCCACATCCTACATGTCTTCCAATCTTTCTGCCTCAAAACCCTCAGGAACTGCTTCTAGGGCATTTGATATCATCTCACTGACTTCTGAGAAGGAACATAGACAAGTACAAGCATGTTGTCTTACTCAGCACTCAGCCGCACACATCACGATGGGCAGAAGTCACTATCAGTGAGTTCTGTTGCCCTTGTACAAAGAGGAGTTCCACTTCATTATAAAGAAATGGAGCGAGTATATTTTTAATAGGCCCAACTCTTTAGCTATGTTTTTCTTTTTATCAGGCTTTACTTATTTAGTTTTTCTAGTGCCTTGAAGTATATTACTTATATTTCTTTTTAATCTTTTCAGCCTCAGTAATAAAATTAATATAAATGAGTCAAATTCTTATCTCCTTATTCTTTGAAGTTAGGATTATATAGAGAGAGTAATGTTGAATGAGCTATAAAATTGGCATAAAGTTACTTTTTAGTTGGGTTACAGTAGTTCATGTTAACTAATGCTAAAAATGCCTTGGTGATAGAATTCTAGTTACATATAGAATTGGATATAGATTGTAAAAGCATGTTTAATCAGTATGTTTCTACGTGAAAAGTAAATAAAAGGTTCTTTTTTTGGTAATACATCTGTACACAACACATGGGAAATGCACTCATGTGTCACTTAACAACATGAATATGTTTTGAGAAATGCATCGTCAGATGATTTCATCATTATGTGAACACGGTAGAGTGATTTACACAAACCTAGATGGTAGAGCCTCCTACACACCTAGGCTATGTGGTGTAGCCTCTTGCTCATAGGCTACAGACCTGTACAGCAGCTTACTGTATTGAATACTGAAGGCGAATCATAACACAGTGGCAGGTGTTTGTGTATCTAAACAGAAAAAGGTACAGTGAAAATACAGTATTATAATCTTATAGGATCACATCACATGTGTGGTCTTTGACCAAATCATTATGTAGCAGGTGATTATATATTTCATTCTTTAGAATTTCCTAAAATTATCTTTCCGGTAGTGTCAGCCTGTAATTTCCTTAAGACACAAGAGGAACTTCTCATGCACTTAGTTGACTTCTAATCTCTCTGTAATTTCTTGCTATGCATTAGTGGCATGCTCAGCAGTAAAGACAGTTAAGGCAAAAATAAGTGAAGACAGTCTAAATTTAGTTGCCAGCTTTTATATTGTTTTTGATGAGAAAGCATTGTGTTTTTCCCTTTTTTTAAACAAACTTGGAAAGGCCTTCTTATTGTCAAGATTTCCTTATAAATAAACATTTATTGGGCATTTACTATGTGGCACCCATTGTACCAGGAACTGGGGAGACAAGATAGATGGCCTGCCTCCTCTTGAAAATTCTGTTGTTTTGAGGAGGCAGATTAAACGCCTGCACACAGACAGACAGACACACACACACACACACACACACACACACACGAGGAACAGGTTGGGATGAGTGTTATGATGAGGAAACAGGAAGCTAACATACAGAATGCAGCCAGCATATCCTACCCAAAAAGTCCTCTTTGAGGAAGGAGAGAATGTGGAAAAGTACATTCAAGGTAGGGGCATAAGTGTCACAGACCTCTTGGGAGTCTGCCGACAACATGTCCCTGCCTGCTTACCTGCCAGACAGGGCCTCCTCATAAGACTTGGATGCAGAGGCTCTTGAGTGGAATTTTAATAACCTATTTACAATATCAAAACATGGCAATGTATTTCAGAAACACAAAATAAGTTTCAAGTTCCTTGTAAACATCCCGCTCTGTCCTTTGGAAGGTGCTTCTGGGAACGAGCCTGCGCAAGTTTCTCTCCTCTACTTGGGAGACATAGAGATCTCAGAAGATGCCACGCTGGCGGAGCTGAAGTCTCAGGTCAGACTTCTTCCTGCACCATAACTTAGTGGTAATGTGGCTTCTTCCAGTGAGATATTAATATATTCTTCTATCTCCTTTTCCCTCAATTACAGTCTGTTCTGATATGGCATTTGTCATATGCCATGTTCAGTGGTAAGTACCCGCAGGCAATACACGCCCATGGTGCAGACGGCTCCTCGTGGCCTCACTGGTCCCTCCTCTGACAGGCATGCTGTGCTTTTGTTTCAATCTATCCTCAGTGACTTGCGGCTTTTGTTCATTTTTATTTTTTTAGGGAAACATGGTTTCTTGGAACATTTGTAAAGCATTCACTTTATCCCTTTATTTACATTGTTTGTGTACCATTGTGACCCATATGTTAAATGTTGTTATGAAAAGCTGTGTTACCAGTTTTCCAGGAGGTTAGAACTCCAGCTTTTATGTTAGGATGCTAAACTAGATATTCTAGGTATTGTGTTGTTTCTTATGCATTAACGTTCACAGAGAAGGAGGGTTTTATCCAAATGGAAGGGCTGGATTAAGCACAATGCAGTGTTGAAGCAGCATCCGCCTACTGTTGGACTGAAATGAGCATTCCTTTCTTCTCTTAGAGGAGAAAATGTGGGGCCTATATATGACTAGTGGTTGTTGATGTTTGGCTTTTGTGCGCCCTCAGTATATGAAATACCCTTCCTCAAGAAAAAGCATATGTTGGCTGGGTGTGGTGGCTCATGCCTATAATCCCAGCACTTTAGGAGTCTGAGGCAGGCGGATCACTTGAGGTCAGGAGTTTGGGACCAACCTGGCCAACATGGTAAAACCCTGTCTCTGCTAAAAGTACAAAAAAAAAAAAAATTCACCTGGCACGGTGGCAGGCACCTGTAATCCCAGCTACTCGGAGGCTGAGGCAGGAGAATCACTTGAACCCAGGACAGGGAGGTTGCAATGAGCTGAGATTGCGCCACTGCACTTCAGGCTGGGTGACAGAGTGAGACTCCGTCTCAAAAAAAAAAAAAAAAAAAAAGGAGAAAAGAAAAAGCAGACAGCCTTATTCTCATGAGAACAAATGGGAAAATACTTTTTTTTTCTCATATTAAGTTGAAAGATATAAAATTGCTGTTTTTAGGTCAAAAAATGGATGAATATTGGTAATTTTAGAGGCTCCAACCTAAGTATATCAGTAGGGGCTTAAAGTGATCCCTTCAGAATTAGAACAAGCAGTTTGGGCCTACTGATTGCAGCCAAAGATTTTGAAATACTTCAGAATCAAAAGCTGATTCATCGGCAGAGCAGACACTGGTGGAGGATTGCGCGGGCACGGAAGAAGGCTGCTGTTGTGTCCCTTGTTGTACTGTTAGAGCGGGCTCTGCCCTGGTGAATTCTACTCCCATGGAAGTTAATTCCAAAGTTTCATTTTTTAAACATGATGATTAAAAAGAAGCTTTTGACTCAGATTTAGAGAGAGGGAACTCACTTCTTTCTCAAGGTGATTTCAGTGCAGAGGAATATGAAGACCGCTCAGGGTTAGTGTTATTTAAGAGAGAGAGAGATTCCTGTGACTTTTAAAATGATGTTATCATTACTTGAGATACTCTTTCCTTGAGATGCCACTGTGTAGTGCTTCATTTTTTTTTTCTAAAACAGTATGTTTTGAAGAGTGCTTTTTAAAACCGTTGGAGAAATGTCTGTTTCTTTTTCTAGGCCATGACCTTGCCTCCTTTCCTGGAGTTCGGTGTCCCGTCCCCAGCCCACCTCAGAGCCTGGACGGTGGAGAGGAAGCGCCCAGGCAGGCTTTTACGAACTGACCGGCAGCCACTCAGGTAGGTTCCTTGCTGGACGCAACACTGTCCCTCTCTGCTGCTGACGCACTGGCTGGTGTGAGGGATGGAGGAGGAATCAGTCTTCTGAGCTGAGTGACAACAAAGCCCATTCCTGGTCATGCCACGCTTGTGACTTGGGTGACACTTTTCATCATAAACTCCAGCAGGCCTTCAGTTTTCCATGTTAAGTATAAATGTAGTGTTGTATATTTTTTCTGTGCTCCAGTGACTGTGACATTATATAACTTAAAAGCATTTGGAGTGAGATGGAAAGTAGGAGTGGCTGTTTCTCACTCAGAAATGTTGGATTCAGCTGATCCTCCTCCTGAAACTTTGAACTTAAAGAGCAGGTTTGGGTCATTTCCTTTGCAAAAAGCAGCCTTGAGGCTTTTTGTTTCTTTCTTTCTCGTTTCTTTCTTTTCTTTCTTTCCTTTCTTTCCTTTTCTTTCTTTTCTTAATAGACAGGGTCTGGCTCTGTCGCCCAGGCTGGAGTGCAGTGGCGTGATCATGGCTCAACTACAGCCTCAACCTCCTGGGCTCAAGTGATCCTCCCACCTCAGCCTCCTGTGTAGCTGGGACCTCAGGCATGTGCCACGACACCAGGCTAATTTTTTGTTTTGACGAGGTCTCCCTATGTTGCCCAGTCTGGTCGCGAACTCCTAGCCTCAAGCAATCCTTCCACCTTGGCCTCCCAAAGTGCTGGGTTACTGGCGTGAGCCACTGTGCCTGGCCAAGGCTGCTTTTAATCGGTTCTGATTACCACCCCAAAGTGACTGGCATGAGAATCTTAACCCCGGCTGAACAGAGGGAAATTTCTTTGGCAGTTTGGCCATCTTCCCAGAGCCAGACCTACATGTTTAGTAAGAAATGACTCAAGTATCTAAATAATCACCGCAGCAAGGATTCTCATTTTTTCCCCTTTTCCAAAAGTTTGGGTGTTCTTATAAGTACTCAGAAAACAATTCTTTGCTTAAGAAAAAAGCTTAAAATTGGGGGAAAAAAAATTCAAGAAAATTAAATGTTATGTCACTCAATATTATCTTGTTTCACTTATTATCAGGGAATATAAACTAGGACGGAGAATTGAGATCTGCTTAGAGCCCCTTCAGAAAGGCGAAAACTTGGGGTAAGAAATTCTCCTGTGCATCTGAAGTGACACACACGTATCTTAACCTCGTTTGCCTTTTGAAGCTTTAACAACTTCATAGTGTAGCATTTTTTTCACTGCTTCTAAGTAGCCTAGCAACTTGAAACAGAGTGTGTGCTAGAAATATGTTTGTATGTCTGGGCATCTAAAACTTGGGACTTATTCTCCCATAAAAACAGTAAGGGAGAATTAATTTTTCAGTAATCACCAGGTGCATATTGACCCCATGATGGCCCTGAAGTGTCAGCAAGAGGCCCACCCGCAGCTGTTGTCAGTGTGTTCGGACAGTCTGCCATCCAACGGATTCATCATTGCTCCCGTCGCTCTGCCCCCTTATTCTACTTTCTTCATCCTAGTATCACCTGACATATCTGTACTTACTGATTTATTTGTTAGTATCTGTCTCCCACTACTAGAATATAAGTACTTGGTTTATTCATTGCTATATCCTTAATACCTAGAATAGTAATTGTGCCCATGTCATAGTCAATAATTATTTATTAAATAAAGATACACCCAAAATTGTCTACAATCAAACCATCTTGTTCTTTTTTCGCTGTAGGAAAATATTTTACAAGTCCTTTTGTAAATATCATGAACTATTAAGATTTGCTCTACCTATTATGATATGAGTATCCTTCTTGTGGTCTGCTTGTTATATGAGAAAGTTATCTTTCAACCATGTCTAACATGTATTTAATTTTAGTGTTTTTATAAAAACACATTCTTAATACAAGTTGTACAACCAGAAATAGTTTCCTGGAGGGGAATTCCAGGATCAAATGGTGTGGACATTTTAAACCTCTTAAAATAGTTAAATATTTCTTCAGGCAAGTTGTTCCAGAATATGAGTATTTATTTTACCTCACCCACAAACCAGCATTGACTATTTCATCGTCTAGGTATTTCCTAAATTGATAAATGAAAGATGATTATCTTGTTCTCATATTCTCCAGTGCTTTGATGACTAATAAGTTCAGGCATTTTTGCAAACTGTATTTTGTGAGTGCATGATTGAGTTATTTCGTGTATTTTGACTGCTTCTGTAATGAAGTCTAAAGGAAAAGCTCTCTTGGAATTTGTGTGAGCTCTTTATGATTTTGACCCTTTGTCACAATGGTTGTAAGCTGTGTCAGGTTTTGATAGGCACAGTGCCTTTTGCCCTTTTGAAGAGCAGCTGTGTGCCTCCTCAGGCCCCTTCCATGGGCTTTTCTGTCCTTGACCAACTTCCAGGGCACTCCTGCTCTCAAGGAGGCCTCTAGTCCCTCCTGTTTCTCTCCAGCAGCCTCTGTCCCCTCCTTGGCAACTTCAGCATCTGTGCCGATGCCCTTTCTGTCCTCTGGCCGCACTGTGCTGGGCTCCAGGCCTTGGCCTCACTCCCTGGCCAGCAGCCCCCTCCCCCATGGGGACATGGGGCTGTGCAGCCTCTGCTCTTGCACTCTGCACTCCCCTGATTCCATGGGCCCACATCTTCCCGTGAACTCTCTTTCTTCCAGTCATTTCATTTCTCATTGCGTGACCTCTTTTGATGGTAAAAACACTTAATAGAAGTACATCTAAAAATCATTCATTGTCTCAGCATCCTAAGAACCAGTCTTCATTTCCCCTTGCTGCCTTCCAGTTCTTATCTATAGCTTTTCCTCCATGGCCTGTGCTGACCTCTGCACGTCCCTGTTCCTCCTGCCTTGCTGAGTGTTGTTCTTTCTGCTCCTCCTGCTAAGGTTTCCCATCTCCCACAGCTGCAGCCTTGTGTCTCACCCGCCCTGTGTCTCTCTTCCCAATTCCAACCCTCAGGTTCTTCTCCCTGGCTACCTCATGGCAGCTCACATTTACAGCCCCCAGAGTCAAGGGCATAACTGCCTACCTCGAGCCCGCTCTCCTCCTGCCAGCTGCCGGGCTATCAAGCCAGGCCTCTCTCACCCTGTCCCTCTCTGCCACATCGTACCTGCTCAGGCCGCCACCTCTTTCCTTTTCTCCCGCACTGAGGAAGTTCCCTACCACGTCTGGGGGGGCTCTGCTGTGTACCGAGAATGGGATCTTCACTTCCGCTCTTCATTCCAAGATTAAAGGAAATTGAAATGCGGAATAAGAGTTTGCCACTAGCATCCAGCATTTAGGGAAAAATCTCTCCTTATAAAAACCAGAAAAGCTGGAGGAGAAGCTTTGCCCATTATGCCTCAAGTTACCACGTGGTTTTGTTTGTTTGTTTGGATCTGGCGCTTGACGGTTTTCTGGTACAGCCCCCAGGACGTGCTGCTGAGGACACAGGTGCGCATCCCTGGTGAGAGGACCTATGCCCCTGCCCTGGACCTGGTGTGGAACGCGGCCCAGGGTGGGACTGCCGGCTCCCTGAGGCAGAGAGTTGCCGATTTCTATCGTCTTCCCGTGGAGAAGATTGAAATTGCCAAATACTTTCCCGAAAAGTTCGAGTGGCTTCCGATATCTAGCTGGGTAAAGTTGTGGGGCTGTCTCAGAGAAATTGGGGCTTACCGGCATAGCAATGAGGTTATGCAATTTTTCACAGTGATAGAGAAGTTAGTGAGAACTTGAGGTTGAGTTTTGCTTATTTAAGATGTTTGATTTTCCCATAGAACCAACAAATAACCAAGAGGAAAAAGAAAAAAAAACAAGATTATTTGCAAGGGGCACCGTATTACTTGAAAGACGGAGATACTATTGGTGTTAAGGTAAGTTGTTTAACAGCAAATTTACCACTTTGAGAAGACACGAGGGTCACATGATTTTATAGAGACGTTTTATTGAATCTTCAAGACACAGATTATCCCATTTTATACAAATTGTTTCAGAGAATGGATAAAAAAGAGGGAAAACTGGACAACTGACTTTACAAGGCCACTGAAACCTCAGTATCCAAACTGCCAAGGACACTAAAATAAAATACAGACCAGTTTCACTTCTGACCATACATGGAAAATTCTAAGTAAAATACTAGCAAGTTCAGCCCAGCAAGTATGTTTTTAAAAACACTACTGTGTGACATGACGTCACAGTAGGTTATCCAAGGAATGTGAGGAGGGCAGCGTGAAGAATAGATTATGTAAGAAATAATCCTGCCAGACTCAAGAGATGCAGAAAAAGCATAAAATAAAACTTATTATTAAAAACCCAGTGTTCATGACTTTAAAAAAGAACTTAGAGCAAACTAGGAATAGAAGGAAACGCCTTAACCTGATGCACATATACCCAAAACCTCTAGCAGCAACACTGTGCCAGCTTCAAAAGCTTCCATTTTCATTAAAGTGGGACCCAAAGTAAGGATTCCCCTAACCGCCCCTTCTGTTTAACACTGTACTAAACAACACGGGCAATGAATTCCCTCCCTCACTGCCAAAAGAAAAGTAAATAAAAATTGAAAGAGCAGTAAAAGAAATTTGAAAAGGAAAATATAAAACCGTTCTTACAAAGGAGATTCAAGGCTGGGCACGGTGGCTCATGCCTGTAATGCCAACACTTTGGGAGGCTGAGATGGGTGGATCACTTGAGCCCAGGAGTTCGAGACCAGCCTGGACAACATAGTGAAACCTGGTCTCTACAAAAAAATACAAAAATTAGCCGGGTGTGGTAGCACACACCTGTAGTCCCAGCTACTCAGGAGGCTGAGGTAGGAGGATCGCTAGGGATGAGCTAGGGAGGTGGATGTTGCAGTGAGCCAAGATCGTGCCACTGCACTGCAGCCCAGGCAACAGAGATCCTGTCTCCAAAAAAAAAGAAAAAAAAAAAAAGGAGATTCAAAAGACTACACAGATAAATGATTAGATCTGATAGAGGAGTTCGAAAGGGTCCAAGATCAGTATAAAACCTTCTGGAGAATATACAAAAACATACTTAGCAGTGTTAAAGAAAGCTTCTGTTAGAGCCACGTCATGTTCTTGGAAGGCAAACCTCACAATAGTAAAGGTATCAGTTCTTCCCAAGTCTGTAAATTCAGTGAAATTCCAATGAAAATCCATATAGATTAGATTAAATAAAATTAATAGCATAAATTCGTACACTAGAGCAAAGGGCCAAAGAGCTAAGATTTTCTTTTGTTGTTGTTGTTGAGACAGTATCTCGCTCTGTTGCCCAGGCTGGAGTGCAGTGGTACGATCTTGGCTCACTGCGAGAAGAAAAAGGACAGGGTCCTTGCCTCACCAAGTGTTGACTGATCACAGCTGTGGCGACAGTGCAGCATGGAGGCACGGGTAGACAAACAGGCTCATGGACAGGGTGGAAAGCCCAGAAACAGAATCACACACGTGAGGAAATGTGACAGATACTTGAGGCAACATTAAAAAATGGGTTATTCAATGAATGGTGCTGGAAAATTAGTTATCTATGTAGGAAAATCATATTCATTAATTTTCATAACCCTAAAATTAATTTTATACAAGTTGAGTATCTATGATTCAAGATGCTTGGGACCAGAACTGTCTCAGATTTCAGGTTTTTTCGGGTTTTGGAATATTTGCATTATACTTAACGGTCGAGCCTCCCTAATCCAAAAATTTGAAATCTGAAATGCTCCATTGAGTTTCGGATTTCTGGATTAGGTATGCTTGACTTGAGTCAGCGTCAGGCCCCATAAAACCTGTACTTACCTCTGCTCACACCATAGTCAACAGGCAATCCAGTTGAAGACTTAAATGTGAAAACCACTCATTTTCAATCTTTAGAAGACATAAGAAAATCTTTGACTTCAAGTTAAGGATTTCTTTTTTTTATTTTTTGAGATGGGGTCTCACTCCGTCACCCAGGTTGGAGTGCAGCAGCATGATTTCCACTCACTGTAACCTCTGCCTCACGGGCTCAAGCGATCCTCCCACGTTAGCCTCCCAAGTAGCTGGGACCACAGGCACGTGCCATTATGCCCGGCTAATTTTTTGTATTTTTGGTAGAGACGGGGTTATGCCGTGTTGCCCAGGCTGGTCTTGAACAGGAGAGTTCAGGCAGTTCACCTGCCTCAGCCTCCCAAAGAGCTGGGATTACAGGCGTGAGCCACCATGCCTGGCAAGAAGGATTTCTTAAACAGAAAGTGCAAACCATGAAAGAATCAGTAAATTTCATTACATTAGAAGTGAGAACTTTTGTTCGTCAAAGGAAATCATAAAAAACAGTGAAAAGGGAAGTCACAAACAGGGGAGCGACATACGCAGTAACACAGCAGAGGGTTATTCTCCAGCATAGACAGCAGATCTTCTGCAAATCTGTTATCAAAAAATAACCCAATAGAGAAGTGGGCCAAGGTTATCACTGGCAGTTCACAGAGGAGAAGAGAATGGCCAGGAAACACATGAAAAGAGAATCAGCTTGCCAATTGCAGGGAGCTGCAGAATCCAGCAGGAAGCTGCCCTTGCTAGTGAGACCGTGGGAACTCCCACACACATGGCCAGGCGCAGTGGCTCACGCCTGTAATCCCAACGCTCTGGGAGGCCAAGGCAGGCAGATCACTTGCACTCGGGAGTTTGAGACCAGCCAGGGCAACATGGCAAAACCCAGCTTCTTGGGTGGCTAAGGCAGGAGGATCACTTGACCCCAGGAGGTGGAGGTTGTAGTGAGCTGAGATCATGCCACTGCACTCCAGCCAGGGTGGCAGAGTCAGACCGTGTGTCAAAAAAAAAAAAACAAAAAAAAAAAACTCCAGTGGGAACACAAGTTGGTACAGCTACTCTGGAGAGCAGTTTGGTGTTAGTTTAGTACACAGATGCCCGTCGATACAACCAAGGAGTCCCACTCCTAGCTGTATTCCCTAGAATAACTCGCCCATAGGTGTGTGGAGACACATGGATATGCTCACTGAAGCATTACAGGTAATAGAATGAAGTGGAAAGAAATTGACAGATTTTTTTTTTTTTTTGAGACAGAGTCTCACTCTGTCACCCAGGCTGGAGTACAGTGGCGCAATCTTGACTCACTGGAACCTCCACCTCCCGAGTTCAAGTGACTCTTCTGCCTCAGTCTCCCATTCCCCAGCCTCAGCCTCCCCACAATTTTTAAAACTTGTGTCATGTGCAATTTACTGGAACAGAAATTATAATATTGGCTTATCATATGAGTGTATTAGAATAGAGATTATAATACTTGACACGACATGTTCCTAGCAGAGGCGGGGCACTGAGAAGTAGCCAGACCCTCCTGCAGAGCCTGGTTAATCTCTCAGTCATTGAAGAGTTTAACTGTGATGTCTAGCCAGAGCCAGCTCCCCACCTCCACACCTGAGAATGCAGCCAGCGACCTGGGCAACCCCCAGCACGAACCCCGCAGACCCTGCGCTGTGTCTTTCCTGACACGCACTTCCCTTCCTGGGTGCGCCCCTGAGGCGTCCTCCCTGTGGACAGCATTTACGGAAATAACATGCGTGTGGAAAACAACCTGCGAGTCCTGGGAAAGGGAGGAGGCTTGCCCAGTCACGGGAATGCAGGGAGCAGCCTGTGTTTGTGAAACCCTGCAGTTAAGGCTTGCAGGAGATGCCAAGGAAGTAAAGCCAAGTTCATGCCTCTCAGAAGCTGGGGCTGGCTATAGAAATACAGAGGCGAGAACAGACTGACGGTGTCTATAAAGTAAACAGCTGTGCTTCTGGCGCGGCGATGAGAGATCCGTGTGCTGATGTGGATGATCTCTGTCTTCATGTTGCCTGGTAGCCCTTTAAAGTCCCCCTGTTTGGCCACTCGCAGTGGAAGCTTCTGGAGCTGAAGGGAAAGGTCAGATGGCTGGAAATTAATTTCCCTTGTGGAGCTCTTCTTGCCACCCCCGAGTTTGTTTTCATCGAGCAAGAGGATTTTTTTTAATCAGTTATTCACCTAGTTTATGTAAATTTGAATCTGTTCTTTTGTCAATATAGGTAGTTTTTTAGACATGCCTCTTTTAAATGTAGGCTAAAAAGATGTCAGAAAACACTGCTCATTACTTCTTTTGAAATGTAGAATCTCCTGATTGACGACGATGATGATTTCAGTACAATCAGAGATGACACTGGAAAAGAAAAGCAGAAACAACGGGCCCTGGGGAGAAGGAAAAGGTAATTGCTGGGGTCTGCACAGATGTGCAGCTGACAGAGCCCTCTCTGACTCTCTCTTATTCCTGCTTGGAAACTGAGAGGGACCGGAAACTCTTGTTGATTCAGAGTGCACACAAAGCACACCAGTGTGGCGGGTCCTTCTCCGCCCCCTGCGTTCTTTCCTCTCCTTGAGTGCCTCCTCCTGGAGCTTTCTGTGGAACAGGTGAAGTCCACGTGAACTGCAGAGGCACGATGAGGAGCCCGCAGATCCATGGCCCCCCGGTCCCCCTCCTTCCTCCTCACCCGCAGCCTCACCCTCTGCCTGGCTCTTGGCTTTCCCTTCAGGTTCCCACACCCTCAGGTCTCCAGAACCACCCCGTCTTGCTGCCACCTCAGCCCTGCTGCGGGCTCCCTGTCCTTCTCCCGCTCTCTCCAAGGTTCCCGAGAGCCTGGCCACTCCAGGGGACGCTGCTGTGGCTTCAGGGCTGCTACCCCACTTCCTCCAGGACACTGCCTGACCCCTGGCCGCCAGGACTCCGCTGCCACAGGCCATCTTCTACCTCTGCTCAGGACTCCTTGCCTCTCTCCCTCCTCCCAGCTCTGGCGCCGCCTGCCGTTGTCTGGCTCTGCACTTACTGCCACTGGAGGAAGCAGGTGCTGCTTGCAGTCAGGCCAAGCCACAGGCTCTGTGCCCAGCCGGCTGTCTTCAGGCCTCCAGGCCACACACCCGGAACTGGGGCGTGAGGCTCAGTTCGCACTGCTCAGCTCACCACCACCACAAGTCCCAGGACCTGCCCGTGGCATCAGCTCCATGCAGGCCTCACCAGAGGCCCCCAGGCGTCCTCATCCTCCCCCACTCCCCGACTCACGGACTCTGGGTCTCTCCTAAATCTGCCTTTTGTCCTATTCTGACTGCTTCTGCCCTGGTGGATTTCATCTTTCCCTGCCCAAATGACTGTAGGAGCCTGATCTGGCCCCGCTCACCCTAATCCCCTTCTTCTGCCCCTCAGTATCTTGGCTGCCCGTGTGCCAGGGACTGCATGCCCTCTGCCACTGGGGGCGTCTGGGGAAGAGAGGTCCCAGGTGGAGGTGGCAGGGCAGGTGAGCGTGACCTCGTGACCATGGCAGAAGTGGGGGTTCGAGCGTGGTTAGAGGCTGCTGGAGGGTGTGAAGGGGGACGCGTTGACATGATCACTGGCTGCTTTGTGGTGAGTGGATTCTAGGAGGTAGAAGTAGAATCAGGGAGCCGAGCGAGGAGACTCCCTGAGTGAAGATGGAGGTGGGTAGGGACTGTGTGAGCTCCGCAAGCAGCACGGCCCCTGGGCCAGGGCCCCTTCCTCTCTGCTCTCCGGGGTCTGGGCTGCTTTCCGGACAGCACTGTCCCGTGGCCTTTGCTGACTCCCTAAGGGCCCCGGGAGCCCCAGGATAGCAAAGGACCTGTGCCTGGCCTCACCCCCATTCGCAGCTCTGCAGCCCTCAGGTCCTGGTGCCCTCAGAGACCTGGGATATGGGAGAGGGGCTGCAGCGCTGGCTGCTTCGGGGGTTTTCCTGTTTAAAGGTCAGACACACACACACACACACACACACACACACACGTAAAATTCTATACGTGTCTAATACATAGACACTAAAATACTGTTTTCCAAATTTTTTTTTTTTTTTGCGACGGAGTCCCACCTTGTCGCCAGGCTGGAGTGCAGTGGCACGATCTCAACCCACTTCAACCTCCGCCTCCCGGGTTCAAGCGATTCTCCTGCCTCAGTCTCCCAAGTAGCTGGTACTACAGGCGTGCACCACTATGCCCAGCTAATTTTTGTATTTTTAGTAGAGACGAGGTTTCACCATGTTGGCCAGGATGGTCTCAATCTCTTGACCTTGTGATCAGCCCGCCTTGGCCTCCCAAAGTACTGGGATTACAGGCGTGAGCCACCGCGCCTGGCTCTGTTTCCACATTTAAATGTGATGCCACTGACTTCATCAGACTTCTCCAAGCATCCTCTCTGTCAAAGCCTTAGTTGTCACCAGGGCTGTTATTTGGAGACATCCAATAGTTCCCCAGGCCCTGGGAGCTCCATTGTCATCTGTGCTGTTTGAGATAGCACATTTTAAAAATTCATGGTGCTGTCACTGAAAACCTCATCTTAAGCCTCACACGTGCTGTTTGCACAACAGTAGACCACTGGTGTCTTCTGAACACCGTGATGTAACCACTTACTATATTGTTTTTCATTTTTTTTTGGAGTTAATAGTGTCACGTGCTTTCAAAAGCCACCAAAGAGGTTCACTGAGAAATCTCTGCACCTCCCTCCCCAGGTACACAGCCTCTCCTAGATGGGCCAGCGTGACCGTCACCTGCATGTCCTTTCAGAGACCTGTGTATAGGGGCAGAGAAGCTTTCCTTTCTCTTTTGACCAGAACTTTCTTGGTAACCTTGCTGTTTTCATGTACCAGTGTGTACTCAGCTGCCCCGTCTCATGGTGGGAGCGTGGTGTCCTGATGCATGGGTAGACCACAGCTTAGGTGACTTATGCCCACCTCACACACTTCCAGGCTGTCGCCAATCTGTCACCATCACAGTGAATAACCTTGTATATTCACCATTTTGCAGTACAGATGTGGATATATCTGTAGGACAGATTTCTGCAATGGAATTGCTAGGTCAGAGGGTATGGCTGTAAACATTATCTGCAAATAAGAAAAAGACAACCAATCCAATAAAAATGTAGGTAAAGGGTATGAACAGTTCATAGAAAAGGAACTGCAAATCGCTTGCCAGCATATAAAAATATGCTCAGCCATTCACTCATGATAAAAGAGGTGTAAATTCAAGCTACTCCGAGACAGTGCCACATGCCTATTGGCAACACTAAAGTGGGAAAGACTCGTGTGTTGAGGACGCAGAGTCACTGGGGCTCTCATCCCCTGTGTGTGGGTGTGGAATTGGCACAGACACTTTGGAACTCAGGACAGTACCTCCTGCTGCATCTGCTGGGCACTTCCCGGTACCCAGCCTTCTACTCCTCAAAAACATGGACGCGTGCCTACCAGGATATCCCCAAAATTACAAGGCAGCTTCATTCACCATGGCCAGATTCTGGCCGTATTGAAGGAAAGGCTGCTCAGCAGTGGGATGGCGGGTGGGCCGCGGAGGCTTTCTGTCGGGGACTGTGCAGCGTGGGTGGGCCACACACATCAGGCTGGGCCAAAGCACCCGGCCGCAGAGCACCTGCCGCACGGTGCCATGGGCCGGGGGGGTCACAGCGAAAGCCAGTCTCTTGAGTGGGATGCCAAGTGGCCTGTCTCTCCGGGCAAGACTGAAGGGGCAGAGGCAGCCTCTGCATCATGTCACACAGGTGTGCGTGATTGTGACGAGTCGTGCAGCGGTGTGTGTGCACTCCGGATGTTATTCTTCCGTTTAAAAAGTACGGAAAGGAAGGTTTCTCAGCTGTGAGGCATTTTCACTGAGCAGATTGAGAAAGCCCCAGAGCCTGAACCATGCCGTGCTGCCAGTGCAAAGCAGGGGAAGGCAGCTGGCCTGGCACAGGGCTGGTGGCAGGGCAAAATGGGGCCCTCTGGCAGGTGGCTGAGATCTGTCTGTGCAATTGCAAATGCACGTCCTTGTGGCCTATAAAATTGGAGTGTATTTTGGGGTCTTCGTGAACCCCTCACCCTGACACCCACTGCATCCATGAGTCAATGACAGTGTCTGTGTCTCTGCAGCCAAGAAGCCCTCCATGAGCAGAGCAGCTACATCCTCTCCAGTGCAGAGACGCCTGCCCGGCCCCGAGCCCCGGAAACTTCTCTCTCCATCCACGTGGGGAGCTTCAGATAACCGCGCCGCTGCACGGCTCTACTCCCGATGAACTCTCCGGCTGATGCCACAAACGTGGGTTTCCTGGGCATGGGGACTGGCTGCCTGGCGCCTCCAATCCCAAATCCTCTGCTTCCTTTGAGCACAGGGACGGCTCCTCTGAGGCCTGGCCAGTGCATGTAGTCACTTAGCTCTGCAACACGTGGCAGCCACGGGGGCTGGTGCAGCTCTGGATGTCGCCCACCCAGCTGCCAGTAGGTGCTGGGCTCTCTCACACAGCACCCGGCCCCAGCTGCCTTTTTTTTTCTTTTAACCAGAAAATGCACAACGTGTGCGTGAACCGCAGGTATGGAGGCAGCGGCATGCCGTTGCTCCGCTGTGGGAGGTGTGTGGGGTCAGGCCAGCCACTTTCCTCCGTGTTCAGATGACTCTCGTTCGCCCTGACCGGCTTCTCACAGTGTCTCAGGCCACTGCGCCACCGCGCTGGTGCTGAGCAGAAGCGGGCAGAAGTGGGGTCTGCTTTCAGGACTTCATTTCCCCCACTCGTTCCGGCCCCGCATGCTCCACGTCTGCCCTTTGGTCTGAGTTAAAACTGCGATGCTGAAAAGTGCGAGCTCTTTCCACGAGGAGGAGCCACACAGGGTGGCCTCCGAGGGTGAGTCGCTCTGCTAAGCAAGGGCAGCCGCTGCACGTCAGCCCGCAGGCCAAGGGTCCAGCTTATCCTGGGTGCTCTGTGATCAGAAGGTCCTTGGATCCCGAGGACTGCAGCTGCTGCCGTCCACAGCGCCTCAGCCTCTCTTCCTGTGTGGAAGCGGGGCAGGCAGGGCTGTGGCAGACAGGCCTGGCATAGCCCAGGTTCCAGGTGTCCTGGGCAGCCTGACCGGTTTCCTGAGTAGCCTCAATGAAAACACCTGAGAAAAAGAAAATGTAAACTAAGGAAGGGTTTTCCCACTTAATCCAACCCAGATTTCTATTCAACTTAAAGGATTTAATTGGCATTTGTGAGAAATAATAGTACCTGTGTCACTGAGTTGATTGATTTGGGACATAGACGGTTGACTTTCCCAGACAGCAGCTTAGCGGAAAGCAGCATCCCGAAGACGGTGTCGCATGTCCTGAGCCTGCTTGTCACCTGGGCCTCACGGTTTCTCGTCAGCCCCGTCACTGATGGGAAGCAGCACTGAAGTGTGAGGGCAGAAAGGACACCGCTGGAGTCAGGCGCTCCCCTGCCTGTGACCCTTTTCCAACAAGCTGATGCTGAGCCAGCGGCCTGCTTTGTCCCTCATACTCCTCCCAACAGTCCAAACCCCTACCAGACAGAAGCCACGTCGCTTCTGCACACGTGTCTGAGAGCGTCTGCCATAGACGTCTGTGCGTTTCCGTGAAGCACTGCGCCCTAAGGACCCAACTCTGACTAGCAGCTGCCTCCCACTCCCAAACACTAACCCCGCTCAGGAGACTCGCACTGGGTGTAGACTGCGTCTTTGCAGAGGGAGATGATAGAGGCTTCTGATGACGCCAGAGCTGTAAGTGTCGTGACGAGCTGGGCGCCCAGCCCTTCTTAAGCTGTTCTGTTTCTGTGGCTTTAACTGACATATTTCTGTAGCATCTGCCTTCATCTCATCTCAGCGTAATGAAATATTAATGAAATCGCTGAAAAGCTTTGCCTTCGAGAGGCCAGAAGCCTCGCGGAATGTCTGCAAGTCCAAAGACGCGTGTGGGTTGTGCCCTGAAGTGCCGTCCAGCAGGCGCGTGCGGCCGGGCCGGCCTGTGCGTGTGGCCTTTGCCTTCTTCCCTTTCTTCCTGTTTTCTGTTTTTTTAATTTGGGGATTGAGAAAGCTGTACGATTTTGTTAAAGAAAAAAATAAACCATTTTTTAAAGTTGTAGCCCTTAGCTGCTTTTGGTTGCCGGCTACTTCGTGCCCAGCTTGCTTAAGAGAGGAACTTTTGGCCGGGCGCGGTGGCTCACGCCTGTAATCCCAGCACTTTGGGAGGCCAAGGCGGGTGGATCATTTGAGGTCAGGAGTGTAAAACCAGCCTGGCTGACATGGTGAAACCCTGTCTCTCCTAAAAGTACAAAAAATTATCTGGGCATGGTGGCGGGCGCCTGTAGTCCCAGCCACTCGGGAGGCTGAGGCAGGAGAATCGTCTGAACCCAGGAAGCAGAGGTTGCAGTGCGCCAAGATCGTGCCACTGCACTCCAGCCTGGGTGACAGAGCGAGACTCCGTCTCAAAAAAAATACATAAATAAAATAAGGAACGTTTGTGGCCCTTTTTCCCAAGCCTGCTTCAGATGCTAAATAAACAGTTTATATTTAGAAATACTGCAGCAGTGCTGCTTTAGAAATAACAAGTTTGCTTTGGTTTTAAAAAGTTCAGACTCATGGGAAAAATGCACTGGAAGAAACTGGATGTAATCAATCTGGTTTTATTTTCCTTCTATGGAAATACGTAATGGTGGTGTCGTCACAGAAAACATACTTATTCAACAGTGACTTTTTCTAGCCAAAAAAGGGAGGGGCAAGAATTCCCTTGCAAATCATTTTGGCGCCATCGATGTGAGTTTAACCTGCAGAACAGACTTAACAGTGAGGGACCAACTTACAACAGCCCCTTCACCCTACAGGTCCATCATTCTGTTCTGTTCTGGATAACGCACCCACCCAAAGCATGGCCATACCAGGGTTCAATAAAATCCATAACAAACGCATTCTGGGTGAAGCGGTGACCTCAGTATCCAAGTAAAGAGAGACTGCTTCCAGCTCCCTCTGGCCGCTGCCCTCCCCCACTCCCACCACACACGCCCACGTGCTGCCATGCGTCCAGGTCCCTGTGGCAATGGCTGCAGAGTGTGGCAGACAGGGCCCTTCATCTGCAGGTCCTTGCCCCGACTTGGGGTGGCAGGAGCAGACACGGCAATCTCCCGGCTCAGGAAACAAGAGACCACCAATGAGCTCACACCAGGCTGGGGCGGGGCCAGACGAGTGCTCAGGGGACAGTGGTGCCTCTGCCACGCCCCAGTGTGCTGCTCTGAGGTGGTTCTGTCTCCGCAGGCACCTCCCCAGGTGCCGAGACGCCACCAGCAGCTCCATCACACGAGGCAGCCACCAAGTGCCTCTTTCTACAAACCAGTGAAAGCCCTGGGCCCTAAGTGGGTGATGTCCGTGGGCTCCATGGAATGACAGTCGGGGGAGAGGGGAAGGTGCATTGCCCAGAGCTTCCAGGTGCCCATGTCCTTCACACGCATGTGCTTCAAAGATGGCAGCACCCTCGTGTTGGTGTGGCTGTTGCACCTCCCTCCCAGCCACACCGCCCCCACCCCAGAGGGGCGACTCCGAGTTGCACCCACTCCTAGCCCAGGTCTAAGAGCTCTGGGTGGGGTCCAGTAACCTACAGCCAAGGAACGCGCGTGAGCCCACCTGGAGCCAGGGCACAAAGGGGTGGGGGGACCACAGCAAAACTCTTCTGGCAAACAACAGAGGCCACAAATCCAGGGTTCAGTTAACATTACTGGACCAAGCACCCAGTTTGTTTTTCTAAGTGGTTGGGGAATTCTGAAGAGGATCAGTTTAAAAACAGTATAGACCCTGCTGCATTTTCTCCACTCAACTCTACTGTCCCGTCTCGCGATCATGCTACACTTGCAGCCCCGTCCACTCTAGATCGCTGCCCGGCCTCCCCACGCTGTCAGATGCTGTCTCTGTGAGAAGCCCCCTCCTCACTGCTTTCCCACACAATGGAGCCATGCCCCGTGTGAGATGAGCCACGCGGGCACAGGAGTGAGGCTGGCAAAGCGCACACCAGCCTCCCCCCAGGTCTGCCCCTGCCCGGGCATCTGGTGCCCCCAGCACGTGAGGCGCCCCGGCTGCTGTGCTGGAAAGCATGCCTGTCACTTGGGCCCAATTTCCTCACCTGTCTTGTGGGCTGGGCTTGCTATGAGGCTTGGGACACGGGAGAGCACGGCTGTCGAAAAGATATGCCCTCTGCCTCCCATGTCAGCCACGCGCTGGCTGTGCCTCATGGGGCAAGTTGTGTCGCCTCTCTGAGCCTGTCCCTCGCCTGTAAAATGCAGATAACCCACCATGTAAGGCTGTGAGGGGAATTAGAGGAGTTCGTACATTCAAGGTACTTAGACCAACACCTGGCACAAATTATAAAGTGTCAGCCGTCAGCATCCCGATCACCGTAATAGCTCGTACCCTTCGCACTGATTGGTTTAGTCATGAGTGCGTGAGGCAGTTCTAGCCAAGACATTAGAGGAGGTCGGCTGAAGCCAGAGCTTCGGAAAGGGCTCCCTTTATCTTAAAAAGAGACACACATAGGATCGCTTAACGCCAGGAGTTCAAAACCAGCCTAGGAAGCAAGCGAGACCCAGTCTCTACAAAAAATTTTACAAACTAGCTGGGTATGTTGTCATGCACCTGTACTCTCCGCTACAAGGGAGGCTGAGGTGGGAGGATCACTTGAGTCCAGGATTTGGAGGCTGCAGTGATCTACGATTATGCCACAGTACTCCAGACCAGAAGACAGAGCAAGACCTCATCTTCAACAACAACAACAAAAAGAGCAGGTGACACATAAAAGAGGCAGCCATTTGTCCCCAAACACCTTACACTGGTGTGATGCCTGGAGCTGTGGTGGCCATCTTGCAACCATGAGGCCTGAAGTCCTGAATGGCCAGAGAGGAGAATATACACCAGAAAAAAAAAAACGGGGGGGTTTGTTACCATGGAAGGAGTGAGGAAGAGCTGCTAGGGAGGCAGCCAACACTCCCGGAGCACATGCAGCCCTTCTGTACCCGACCAGCCTGATGGTGTCTTCCATGAATGCAGTCCCCATCCCTCACTCCAGGAAACTGGGGAAGACAATTCAAGTGGCCTTGATCGTAGACAGTTCCCTTGGAAATAAAAGTACCAAGACAAAGCAGAGAAGTCGGAGAGCTTCAGGTTTGCAGTTTTATAGAAAAGATTTAAGAGGGTTAAAATATTCGTTAAAATGGCCCTCATTCTCCCGGGCCAAGGCTGTGTGGTCACACCTGAGAGCCTCAGCACTGCCCAGTACCCTCTCTCTCCTTGCGGAATTTTTAGTCCAACTGATCACAGAACCCACACCCTAAAAAATACAACAGCATTCTAATGGCATTCTAACGGCATTCTGATGGCATGCTAATGGCATTCTGTTTTGCTTTTTAGCCACCAACAACTCAACCTATTTTCAGAGCAGGTGAAAAACAATTCTGAATCCAGTTTGGAAAGATTCCGGCAACCAACACTTTATGTCAAAGCACAAGGAATGATGACAAAGACTCTGGCGATGGAAGATCAAAAACAGGCTTGTTTTATTTATACACAGAACAACTTATGTACAGCACTCAGGTATGGACTATGTACATGACAATACAAGAGGCGTTTGTTTCCACGGTGGTCACTATATAAATTAAGATTATAAATACGAGGGGGTAAGCCCCACCTGAGGGCACAGAACCTTTTCTCCAAGACTCTTCAGGGATCCTTCCTGCCTCTCTCTGCACAGCAGACCATGAGGCCCGTCTGGCAACACCACAAGGGGACCTGGGCCGGGGCAGCAGAGCAGCCCCCAGACAGCGAGGACACCCCAGTGCGGGACGCCAGCCCAGCACCAAAGGGCAGGTTCCTAAACACTCATGTTCATTCCTTCCTCACATTCTAACTTGTTAGAATTAGAAAAATGGTTTTTATGTAAACAGTGTTGTTCTAATCACTGACAACATATTAATTTTAAACACTTTTGATCCAAACCCAACTCCTTGCCAGGAGTAGGACACTGAGGACTTGGGGTGGCCCTGATGTCCTTGAAGCCACAGTCAGCTGTTTATCCTCCTCATGTCCCCTCCCCACCCAAGTTCCAGCTTGCCTGGGGCTTGTTCTGGGACCCTAAGAACCCCAGGATGCCCACATCGCCAGGCCAGCAGGGCCAATGGTCATGCAGGGACTGCGGGACAGGTTCCCATCATCTCCTGTGTTAGCCCATTCCACCTGGGAAACCAAGCGACTGCCGTGGCTGGCTTATTTCTCCCTCTGCCAACCCCCATCTACAATGTTCTGGGGAAAACAATGAGAGGTGGAAAAGGTAACATACAACCACCTTCCACCCACATCACTTCCAGTGAGGCAGCTAAGTCCACCAACAGAGCGTGGGAGAGTCTTTCATCCAAAAATCCCAACACGTCGCATGCAGCGACAGGAGGCTGTGCTGGGGAAACCCAAGGCCTGGCTCAGCCTCCATACTCTAAGGGCCTCGGGCCAGAACGACCACGAGAGGGGAGCACCCAAAGGCACGCAGAGGGGCCCACCTGGGTGCACTGCAGAGGGGACAGAGGGGCTGTGAGTGGGAGGTGGGCCAGTGCTGTTCACTGCCGCCTGCTCAGGACCAGGGGCTGCTGCAGACCCAGCCCGGTCTATGCCCACCCCCGCAGGTGCAGCCCAGCTTCTGCACATCAGATGGAGTGACGCTGACTAAAGGACCTGGACAGCGCCGGCAGATACTCCCAACACTGTCCTTCTCTTTGGGAGCCAAAGAGAAGCCACGGCAGATACTCCCAACACTGTCCTTCTCTTTGGGAGCCAAAGAGAAGCCACGGCCAGGCAGCCAGGCCAGAGCCATTTCCTCCTCACACCAGGGCAGGGGTTACAGAAACCTCTTCCCAAGACATTTACAAGCACCTCTGAGCCATGACTATCAACGGGAAAAAAGGGCAAAGTCAGTGCCCTGGAGGACCAGGGGCATCCTTCACCTGGGCACTGTCCCTACGGGGCACAGCCCTCTCCCCAGGCGAGCTCCCTGCCCTCTGGCACCATCATCTACTAGTTCAGAGCCAGGACAGAGGCAGGGCAGGGGCAGCGCGGACCACCAAATCAGAGTCCCTGCCAGCACCTCCAGCGACATCACGCCCAGCAGCAGGCGACAAGAAGCCACTGCAGGGGCAGACACTCAGGAGAGCCTCCGGCCTCCAGGCCACCGGACGGGCTGAAGAGGTCAAACCACCCCTGGCCCACCAGGGCCACGCTCCCTGGGAACCACAGAATGGGCAGAAAAAGTTTCCCAGAGCCAGGAAGCATTTCCCACACAGAAACACTCATGTGGACACACATCCTCTGTCTGCAGGGATGCAGCTGGCAAGCTGTCTCACTCACACCCCAAGCTGAACTCGCCTAGAGCGTCCGGAGACAGAAGGGCAGGCGTCCCCAGCCCACAGTGGGGGGAGGGAGGAGCGGGAGGAGAGAGGATGGAGGAGGGAGGAGCACAGGCCCTGTGACACCCAGGGAGGGGCTCCCCGCCTGGGAAACAGCACCCGCTGCCTTGGCTCACGCAGGAGGAATTTTTTTTTCTCTTCACGTCAAATTACAATCAACAAGACTGGAAACATCCATGCTACTTTCAAACCAGGAAAGAGCACGATTTTTGTTCAACAAAAGCTGCATCAACAAACAGGGGCCCTTGCAGGCTGCTGTGCTGGGCCCCAGCCACGTTTCTGAGAACTGGCTGGGGGCCAGGAGGCGGAGCCACACGGTGCGGCCACAGAAGGACACACGGAGAGGAGCCCCCGGGACAATCCAAGCACGAGGCCAGGCAAGCAGTGCCCAGGAGGCCAGACGCCGCTGGATTCCCTGGCCCACAGCACAGGCGGGCGAGAGCTGAGTGGCCGTGACACATGTGCCCCAGGTGACTCTGAGCTGGAGAAAGTGTTGTTTCAAAGGTAGCTGTGTTGTTATGTTCGAGACCCCAGAGCTCTGGTGGACGGTGTCACGGAGGCTTTCTGTAGCTGACAGAGGAAGTAGCACCATGAGAAGGGGGCGGGCTGCAGCATCTGCCCAGGGCCTCAGTGGCAGGAGGCGCAGAGGCCACAGGCTGAGAGGGCGGAGGCTAGGCCTCGGCGGCGGGGATGTGGAGGCCACAGGCTGAGAGGACAGAGGCTAGGCCTCGACGGCGGGGGCGCTGCGGCTCAGCTCCTTGATGCCACACAGGATCCTCTTCATGTGGCCCACCTTGGTCACGCCCAGGTCCTGCAACAGAGAAGACACCGCCATGGATGCCGAGAAGACAGCCAGGGCCAGAGGGCTCCACAGCAGGCCTGCCACAACGGCCCTTCCCATTCGGCTTGTGAACACAAATGAGAGCCAAAATGACAAAAACGGTAAAACAAGATGGAAACAGCTTAAAAGTAACAACCATACAGATGCCTGGCCCATTGTTCCTGCATTCTAGTCACTACCATCAGCAAGGACAAATCCAAGACAAAGACAAAACACAGGCCTAAAAGCAAGTGGATGACAAGTGACCTCATGAGAGCCACTGTCCAGGACACCCACAGTGGCCTTTTGCCCTCTCGGGACTCAGCCAGTGATTCAACACCCAGGGGTTGGCCCGTTGAGGCCAACCTGGGCAGGGGCATGGGCCTGCAAGATGTGGCGTGAGGCCTGGCATAGACCGAGGCCTGGCACCCAACCACCCCTCCCAATGCTCCCTGCAGACGAGTGGCAGCACCCGCCCAGGAGCAGCATGGGGACAGTCGTGTGTGACTGTGCTTCAGGGTCTGTGTCCCCTCATAGTGTTTTTAACACGAAGACAGTCCTTGTCTGAGTAGCCTAAGATAACCAAGGCTCTGCCCCCCATTATGTCTGCTCCTGGCTTCCTCTGGTTGTGGTGGGTGGAGCCATCACTGCCTAGATGAGGGCCACAGCCGCCCCCACCTGAGGTATACACGAAAGCCTGAGAAGAATCGTGATGCTGGGACATGGCCAGGTCGGGGGAGAGGATGGAAGAGAAGGGAGCTGCGTGCAAGCCCAAGTGCAGGTTCCAGGGAGACGCCTATGGAAGTACCTTGAGGTCCCTCCGCTCCAGGTGCAGGAGCTCAGAGCCCCGGATGTCGTGCCGTGTGAAGATGTCCTTATACTCACAGAGACTGAGGTGCTCCAGCCAGGCAGCAACCTCCTCTGTCCCCCAGAGGTGAACTGTCGGAGATGGAAAAGCACGAGTGCAGTGAGTGCCCAGAGCCCAGTGCAAGGTAGGCAGCAGCTGGCACCCAGCACCCGAGAGCCCAGTGCCAGGACAGGAGACGTCCCAACAGCCAGCACCCGAGACAGCCCAGCAGCAGCCAGCGCCTGAGATAGCCCAGCAGCCGGCACCCGAGATAGCCCAGCAGCCAGTGCCTGAGATAGCCCAGCAGCTGGCACCTGAGCCATCTCTGGCAGCCGGTATCCATCACCCAGCCAACAGCACCACCCACCAGCAGTGCAGAAAGAGGCACAGAGCCACCCGCTCAAGGGGCGATGGCTGCAGCAGAGCTGGCATCTGTTCCTGCCAGGTGGGCCGCCAGCCTCTGGTCATTTCCCCGTGTCCCAGGAGGGATTTACCACCACCAAATATGAGGGAAATGTCCTCATGATTGTGGCCAAAGCCAGCTTTTCCTCCAGCTTCTAGAAGGGTTAAATTTCACTTCTGGACCATAGCAGGAAAGGAAACGAGCAGAGATTTCAATTCACATAGTCAGAGCCACCATTATTAACAGAAACCCCATTTCTGGACAAACATGCAAAGAAGAAAAACCCACAGGAGCTGCCCTGACTGGCGGCAAACACCAGTCCCAATATCCAGGCTTGGAGGCCTCTCCAGCCCCTGACAGCACTGGATATGGCCTGGGTATTCAGGGCTGATCCTTCAGACAGAGAGTTTAGCTCCAATTTACTGACCCAAAGGAACAATGTCCTTCAGGACCATATTCGATTGATTTCATCACCCACAATCTCTGGTGGCCTGGGCTTCCCAGCACAGGAACCTCGACCAATGCATCAATTTATCAGGAACCAGCAGCCCAGGAGGGAGCAGGCAGGGCATGCCCCAGCACGGCCTGAGTCCAGAGCTTTGTGTCTCCAAGTTTGTCTTGTCACCACTCTACTGCTGTCTTCCTCCCCACCTCGAATCCCCCAACTCAGGGCAGGCAGAAAGCCAGAGAGCACGTCAGGGCCGGGTGTGACAACGGTCAGAGGGGAAGCAGGCAGGGTGGAGGGCTGCAGCTACCAACAGACAAGTGTGGTCGCAGGACCGGGGGTTACAGCACAGGGACCAAGAGGGAGGAGCTGCAAGGCCAAGGGAGAAAGCAGAGACCAGGGGAACGGGGCCGATCCAGCAGGCGTGGACGGCCAGAAACACACGCGGGAGAGAGGCAGGTACCCGGGGCTCCCAGGCTACTGTGAGCTTCTTTGTTCTTGTTGTTTTTCTCCTTTTTAAACTTGGTCACGAGGCGGAATTTACCACTGCGACTGCGCTTGGCAAGATCCAGCATCACACTCTGTTGGGGAGAATGAGGAATACTGAGAATCAGGCTGCAACTGATCACGGCCTCATGCCCATCTCCACCAGAGAGGCTGGGAGGGCAGGCAGGGCTGAGATGAGCGGGAGCTGGGAAAGACCTCTTGTGCCTGAAAGGGCTTCTCTCCCTTATTGATTCTTGTATTTAGTGTTGATTTTAGTGAGTGTTAAAGTGGTTTCAAAGTGATCATAGTGTCTATTTTTATCATATTCTACTTCCTTCACTTTACATGTGCGTTTCTCATGAGATTTAAAAACTTTTTGAAAATATCATAAATATCAGTATCTAAACAAAAATTATTAAAATAACCTCTTTAGCCAATCTTCTAGTGTTGGATTGCTGGGCTTTGATTCTTAGTATTACGAGTATCTGTCTAATGAAAACTCTCCTGCACTTTGCATTCTTTCCTTGCGATCCACTCCCTGAGGCAGAAGAGCAGAGGAAGGGTGAAGAGCGGAGCCACACAGAGGCTCGGCCTCTGCTCTTGACAGCCATCGGCGGCGGCAGCCTCTCCACACAGCACTCCCTGAGATGCACGGAGGTAACACTGCCTCACTCTGTGATGCACTCTTTATAAGAGACACTCCAAATAAAGCTTGAAAGTAAAACTATGAAAAAATATAGCAAGCAAGTAGACTTGAAGATAAAAAGAATTACTAAAGATAAAAGGATCATTATATAATGATAAAACCTATGGGTACCCAATAACATAGCCTCAAAATACATGAAGCAAAAATACACATAACCACAAAGATAAACTGAGACATCTACAATTATGGTATTAGAGTTAACTGATCTATCAAGAAGACAAAAAAAATTTCAGTAGGAACTTAATGATGTAAACACAACTGCATACAAGATACATTTACAAAAACCACCTATTGGGCAAGTCTCACCTCAGTACATTTCAAAGGACTAGTAACATACAGACCATTGCTTGGAGCACAGTAAAATGAAGTTAGGGAATAAAAAACATAGTCTTGAACAGCTAATTTAGATGCTTATTATTTGGCACAGTTTCGTGACTATTATAACTGTCATAAGTTGATGACTATACATAACAATTATTGTATTTTACCAATGTAAAGTGATCCTCTTTTTATCATTTATTGTCTTACATATGCAATTTTATTTTTATATTGTTACTTTGGATTTTTTATGGTGTTTTAATTATTATTAATCTTTCTGTATCATAAATTTTTATTAGGAGTATGAGAAAAAAAAACAGGGCTCTTGTGAGCAATATATGGTTAGGTTTCTTTTAAAACACAACCTAAGAATTTACTTTTAAGAGAAAGCCATGTCATTTTTCTGTTATCTTATTTTCATGCTGTTAGCGATACCCTTGCTGGTCCTTTACTTTCTTTTACAATATAAATTGTATTTTATTTTTGTCCTTGGTGGCAATTTGGAAGATATAAATCTTTTCAGCTCTATTAGAAATTACCTTTAAGTTTAAAAAAAAATTTTTTTTTAATAGAGACAGGGTCTCACTATGTTGCCGAGCCTGGTCTTGAACTCCTCGGCTAACGTGATCCTCCCACCTTGGCCTTCCAAAGTGCTGGGATTACAGGTGCGAGCCACCACTCTTGACCCTAAAAACATTATTGACTCTGTATTTCTCCAAGTATGAAAGTCAAGAATGTTGTTTGTAACGTTCTTCCACTGTAAGAGGAGGAATTTAACATGCTTTCCTCCCCCCGTCCATGTCCTCTTCCCAGCCTCTCACCTCACTGCCCACTTTACTGGCCTTAATTTAATCTGGTATTATAGGGCTATGTCACTGTGACATCTGTTGAATCATTGTATATTATTATTTTTGTAATTTTGGGTAAAATTTCTTAATCACCTTTACAATGAATTATTTAATGGATTTTGAGGAGCTTGCCCTGTCCTTTTATACCCAAGTGCCCTCACTGAGAAGCTGCTGAGTTTCATCCATCGGCTGGAGTGCCTGAGTCAGTTTCCCATGAAAGGATTGCATGCGTCAAAAAACGCCCCAGGGCCCCGGAAAGAGGGTGCTGTTGTGCAGCTGCCCACCTCTGTCCCCTCGCCTTACTGCTGCCCACAGGTCTCACAAACCCCACTGGGCAGGGGTGCCCAGGTTTGGCGTCTTGCAGTTATTTGCCTTCTGCAACTGTACTGCCCAAGATGAGCTTTCCTCAGGGCCCCTCTGTGTTCTATCTCTGAAGCAGGGAAGCCAAGAGACAGGCTGGGGTTTGTCCTTGTCCAGACACGGCCCTCTCCAGGGCTCCTTCAGCCAGCACTCCCTGCAGAAGAATGTGACTCCACCCCAGGGTCCGCTATGCCCTGCGTCCTCGGGTCCCTCCCAGACCTGCGACGAGCTGGAGTCTTTCTGTTCACACAGGAAGAGAGTGTGAGTGGGGAGTGGCGCACACCAACTGCGCCCTGTCCACAGCGGGATCCCAAAAGGCTGCCATTTATCCCATGATACATCTCCACCCTCGGGGGAGGCTGTGGGGCTGGGCTCAGCCTTCCTTCTACCCACTGTCCAGGAAGCCCTGCAGTTCTGTTTCAGAGGACAACAGGTCCCTGGTCCTCAAGGGGCACTCTTAATCCCAGCCCAGAACTCCTTCCTACCTGCTGTCCCTCCCTGCCTTAAAGAGCATTTTAATAGCGAAGTCTGGAGAAGGCCCCTCAGGGGCTGCCGGAGCGACACGATCTTGATCCCAGAGCCACACGGGTCACAAGGAACACAGGCACTTCAGGCGAGAGCCACCATGTCCGGGAGACCCAGGCACAGCCCTATGAGCCACATACCTCTTCGTCGCCGGGCTCTGCGGACTGGCAGAGCCACGGGGTGTCTGCCAGCCTCCTGAGCTGTCGGTCCATCTCGGCAAGAGCACTCCCCAGCTGCTCCTTCTGAGGCGGATCCAGCTGCTGCTCCAGGCGGAGGGAGGGAGAGAGAAATGGAGAGTGTGCACTGCTGATCAGCGCGAGGCCCAGGGGGGTGAGGTCCGCTCCAGGGCTCTGCTCTGCTCTGATCAGGGAGCTCACTTTCCAGAAACGAAGTCCCAGAGCACCAGAAAAGGAACCAAACCCAGAACCTCACTTTCTAAGTAGTGCTGGTGAGAGAATAAAACTGTCCATCAGTCAACGATGAATTCACATAGAGCAAGGCTGACAACTGACCTGCTTGTGTCCCTCTGTCAGAAATGGGGTCGGAGCCATTCACCTGTGTCAAGCAGTGGAAATGCTGTGGGAAGCAAAGTCAGCAGTCGAACCTTGCAGGAGGCAGCAGGAGGTGTGCAGTGAGGACACGCGTGTGACCACGGGACGTGGGACGAGGGGAGGCATGGGATAAGGAGATGCGTAGAGTGAGGATTTCTGTGGAGTGAGGTGATGCGTGGAGTGAGGTGATGCGTGGAGTGAGGAGATGCGTGCAGTGAGGACATGCGTGGAGTGAGGAGATGCGTGGAGTGAGGAGATGCGTGGAGTGAGGAGATGCGTGGAGTGAGGAGATGCGTGGAGTGAGGAGATGCGTGGAGTGAGGAGATGCGTGGAGTGAGGAGATGCGTGGAGTGAGGACATGCGTGCAGTGAGGACATGCGTGCAGTGAGGACATGCGTGCAGTGAGGACATGCGTGGAGTGAGGAGATGCGTGGAGTGAGGAGATGCGTGGAGTGAGGAGATGCGTGGAGTGAGGAGATGTGTGGAGTGAGGAGATGTGTGGAGTGAGGTGATGTGTGGAGTGAGATGCGTGCAGTGAGGAGATGTGTGGAGTGAGGTGATGTGTGGAGTGAGGTGATGCGTGCAGTGAGGAGACGCGTGCAGTGAGGAGGTGAGTGGCGTGCGGAGTGGAGGGCTGGGAAACCACACCTGGGGCGGTTCTCCAGTTGCCCAATCTTTATCAAGCCCCTTCCTCCTCATCTTTAAAACCAGAAGGCTGGCCAGTCAGTCTCTCAGGCCTCTCCCTGTTCTAGCCCCTGTGATTCAGTAACAGCCCCACAGCTGCCATATCAGCCGGTTTTGCAGGGCTGAGCATGGAAGGTGCCTGAGAGTGTGGCCAGCTCTCGGCAGGAGCAGGACTCTGCACTACAGGCTTCTAAGGCAGAAAAGCATCTTCTGTCCACGACGACAAGGGTGTTTCCGCTGCAAGCGCTTCTCGCATGCTTGAGACAACCTGACTGAGGGGTTGCCAGCAGGGGTGGGCACCAGCCGCACAACAAACCAAATGACCTCTGCGGCCCATTCCTTAAGACCGGGAACTCTGGACTAAAGTGTGCTGCCCTGTGTGCCCAGCAACCTGGCGACAGCAGTCGTTTCACACACAGCCCGAGCCCTGCTGTCCCTGGGGCACCAGCTTACCAGGGCCATCTTCCCAGACAGCAGCAGCTCCGTCTCACTGCGCAGAGCTCTGAAGTTATTCACCATTTCCAGGACGAAGCTGCAGTTGAGCCCCTAGAAGAAACCAGGCAAATATGCATGGGGGCGGGGGGCCGAACATGCACGGTTAGGGGCAGGGAACAAGCACTGGGAGGGCCGAACATGCACCGGGGAGGCGGGGGAATGAACACGCACGGGGAGGGCCGAGGGCGGCAGACACTGAGAAGAAGCCAGGACTGAAAAGGCCAGAATAGCTACCTCTGTGGTTCTGGGCTTGCCATACACACGGTCCATGGACTTGGAGCTGGCATTGACGGCGTGGGCCAGTTCCTGCTCCATGTCCCGGTGAGACTGAGCTATTTCTCGGATACTAGAGAGGAAGAGAAGCACGGGCAGATGTCAGGCCAAATGGAAGGGCAGCCTTTCACAATACGCATCTGAACACGGCCCAGGTACCACCTGGAGGGCTGATGTGGAGGGCAGGCCCAGCAGGACGACAGGGATCGTGGCTCAGCCCAGCGACCGTTCAGTCACAAGCTTGGGCACAGGATGACCCACAGCAAATGGGAGGGCTTCCACGAGAAATCTGACGTCAAAATCCAAGATTTTCCAGGGAGAGAAATGTACAAAATGAGGCTTACAACCTGTAAAACGGCCAGTGGGCAAGTGACAGTGTGCACAGGCCCACTGCAGAGACTGCTGCAGTAAGGCACAATCCCCACAGCCTTGCTGGAACCTGTAACTGGCCGGTCTGTCCCTGGGGACAAAAGGACCCTCATCTGAACAGGACAATCCTGGTGCAGTGATGGGCTCTGAGCCAGACCCCAGATAGCAGCCCTCATAGGGAAGACGGTGAGAGCACAAGTCACACCAGGTCCCAGGGAGGCTGAGATGTGGCTCAGGCAGGTGAGATCGGGGGACAGAGACTATAGGAGCAGTGCAAGCAAAGGCAGCGGGGCCAGCCTGTCCTGACCCTGTGGAAACAGGCCGCTGCCAGCAGCTTCCTGCAGTGCTGTGCAAGTGCACCTTCCAGGCAGGCCAGAGGGGCCACCATGGGCTTTGAGGGGACAGGGTAATGGCTTTCCAGGGGAGGCCACCAGAAGCCCACTGCACGGCAAGGAATTAGCTGAACTGAAGTCCTCCAGCCCCATCACTGATCTGGGTGGGGTGGGGGAGAGACGAGGACAGGGGCCGCAGTGGCACCAACTCCTGGGGCAGAGAATGCAGCGCCAGGAAGGACTGCAGCCGGTATGGAAGTGCAGAGCGAGGAACGCCGGTGATGACTGGGACAGCGACCACCTGCTCGACAAGAGCCGAAGGCTGGCACAGACGATCCATCTGCACGCCAGGGCTGGGCAGGCTGCCTGGAAGGGCACACGGCATGCCGGGCACAAAACCGACGGGTGCACCTGTCCACAGCCAGGAGAAGAAGGAGCCCAGGGGAAACAAGAAAGGGACACCAGGGCACCAGCCAGCGTGCGGCCACGGGGGGAGAATGCAGGCAGGCCCCGCACCGGCGGAGCAGCACAGCTGCCGGCTGGGAGGGACTCACAGGCGGAACCCGCACCTGGCGGGCGAGGAGCAGGAATGGCAGACAATGCTGACCACCAGCCACGAGGGACACAGTGGCTCCAGGGGTGTTTCTAGAAGGCAGGTGAGAGGAAATGCCCCAGCAGTTGTCTTTTTTTTTTTTTTTTTTAAAGTAAACTTGAGAACAAAGAGCAAGCCTGTTCTCAGGGTAAAACGAGGGCAAAGTGAAGGCGGCTGTCAGCGGGCTGCCCTCGGGAGCCAGGGCAGGGTTTTTTTGTTTTGTTTTGTTTGTTTTTGAGGCAGAGTCTTGCTCTGTCGCCCAGGTTGGAGTGCAGTGGCGCTATCTCGGCTCACTGCAACCTCCGCCTCTGGGGTTCGACTGATTCTGCTGCTTCAGCCTCCAGAGTAGCTGGGACTACAGGCGCCCGCCACCACACCCAGCTAAATTTTTTTGTATTTTTAGTAGAGACGGGGTTTCACCATGTTAGCCAGAATGGTCTCAATCTCTTGACCTTGTGATCTGCCCACCTTGGCCTCCCAAAGTGCTGGGATTACAGGCGTGAGCCACCGCGCCCGGCTGAGCCCGGGCAGGTTTTAAACGAGTGGTCCTGAAAATCACAGTGGGCTTTAGGTTCCAGCCATGTAAACTCCAGGCGAGTTCTGAAAGACCACTGGGGAAATGAGCCAGAGCTGAGGGCACATAAACAGGCTCGGCCCTCATGGGTAATGCAGACCCCACAAAAGTCAGGAGCAGCAGCTCCACGCCCCAGGGGCCTTGGAAGAGTGCAGTCCCAGGGACCCTGGGGGAGGCTCATGCGCAACGCAGAGGGGTAGGAGCCCACCTGTGAATGAGGACCCCTGCTGCCTGCCCAAACTGGTCCATCTGGGTGGCCTCCTCCTCGGACAGCATCTCCGGGTGCAGGGAACAGGATGGAGGGCGGGGCAGCTCGCACTTCTGCTTGTCTTCCCAGGACTTCAGGGTGCTCTCAAATGCCTATGGACCCGAAAGCCCAATTACACCTGCTGCTCTGAAGCATGCATCTGACTGCGACAGACACTATGGGGATGCCAACGAGATCACAACTAGAAAGAGACAAATAGGACTTTTTTTTTTTTTTAACATTAGGGGAAGGAGATGGTCCTAGAAATTACTGCCCTATTAGCTTAATCATTGTGTCTTAAAAAAAAAAAAAATCCTAGAACAAAACACAAAAAGCTCCAGCTCTTAACAGTGCACACAAGAGCCCACAGGTGAGCCCTGTACCCCACCCAGGTACCGCGGGCAGCCGCTCTTACCCTGTCTCTGGTCAGTGTCTGTGCCCGGTTCTTGTGGACAATCCGAATGTACCCTGGCGGCTGGACCCAGGCCTCTCCGTCCACCTGCACAGGCACGCCCTCATCCCCAAGGATGGAGATCTTCACCGTGCGACACTGAGCAGACATCATAGCCATTACTCATGCTGAGCCAAAACCCCCAGGGGTTTAAAAGTGCTATCAGCACCACCATGACCTTCCTGCTCCACACACCCGTCCCTGCCTTGCAGGACACCCCACCTCTGCCTCTGGGATGGCGCTCCGCCTGCAGCTAGCCTTCTGCTGTTGTGTCACTCAACCGAGGGTCTGTTCTCCCACTGTCCCGCCCCATCCCGCCCCATCCCCTCACTGAGCAGTCAGTGCAGGAGACCTTGGTGCTGAGACAACAGGTGTCAGAACCCAGGGGCAGGGGTGTTGTAGCTCCCAGAAGCCACTGGGCCCCTGCCACGTGAAAACACCCCTAGAAAAGAGCAGATGGCACAGTGGATGACGATGAGCCATCCATCATCATCCCGTTCCTCCTTTTCAACAACAAACATTGCCAAAGAGTGAAAATTGTGAACTTCAAGCAGCCTACAGCTAAGGGTAGACAGAGTGCTGGAAGACACCAGACAGTCGCAGGGTGGGGTTCAGCCAGTGGGTGTCATCAGCACCCTCCCCCGCCCCAGTGCCTGTGCCTGGGTACAGAGTCCTGCCCCATCCTCACAGAAAGACTGCCCTCAGCCCATCGCTGCTGTCAGAAATAAGCCATGGGGGCACCCCCAGCCCTTCACCACTCGGCCTCAGAACCATGATCGAGGGCCCCAGCTGGAAATCCTCCCACACCCCACATCAGAGCCATGGGCTCCGTCCCCACTGCGGCTTTGACAGCTGCAGACACGGGCAGAGTCCAGCCTGGGTCTGCTCTATCTCATCCCACCTCAGAGGGGACAGGCAAGGCTGTGGTTCAAGCAGGATACACATTTTGAAAGAGTTATCTTGGCCGGGTGCAGTGGCTCACACCTGTAATCCCAACACTTTGGGAGGCCAAGGTGGGTGGATCATTTGAGGTCAGGAGTTCGAGACCAGCCTGGCCAACATGGTGAAGTACAAAAATTAGCTGGGAATGGTGGTGGGCACTTGTAGTCCCAGCTACTCGGAAGGCTGAGGCGGGAGAATCACTTGAACCAGGGAGGTGGAGGTTGCAGCAAGCCGAGATTGCACCACTGCACTCCAGCCTGGGCAACAGAGCAAGACTCTGTCTCAAAAAAAAAAAAAAAAATTAAAAAGAGTTATCTTGAGAATTTAACTGTCAAGCATAGCACAAGGAAAGGGCTCTGGCCCAGGAAGTGGGGCCACGAGCTGTCCAGGACAGGACATGAGGCAGCCACATGGCCCTGGAAAGCGCCCACCCTCCCAGGCTCCATGCACTGCCCCAGAATTTAGCACACTCCGGGCTGGGGACTCGGCCAGACACCCCAGGACCATGGCCACTACCTGGGCGATCCGATGATGCTGTAGCCTGATGACTCGAGAGACGGCCATCTGCATGCTGCCGAACACGGCGACCACCTCCAGAATCTTGTCATCGAATGATGGAGCTGCGAAAGTCTGCAAGGGACACGTTAGAGCTGACCACCACTCCACACATCCCCGAGCACAGGCCGCCCCTACCCTCACTCCCTCCCTCTGGGGGTCAGCCCCTCCTAGCTGGCGAGAAGTTACCAGGTAACTGCACTCCTGACGGGCTTCATGTTGCAGGCCCTGAAACCAGCTGCCTGGGACCAAATCCCAGCTCTCATCTCGGCAAAGTTACTGAATCTCTCTCTCCCCCATTTCCTCATGCGTAAAATGGGGAAACTAACGGCACGCTCCTCCAGGGCCATCAGTAGGGCCAAGTGAGTTAACGCTGCAGAGTGCCAGGACTGGGGCCAGCACACACCACGTGTGCAGGAAGCGCTGAATACTTCTATTCGCTATTACGTACAAAGGAAGGTTTAAACCAGGTTTAAACCTATCAACACCTTCCCACAGTTCTTAACACAAATTCCAAACTTCTTCCCCAGCTCACACAGCCCAGTGTGACCCAGGCCCTGCAGCCCTCTCCTGTCTCTCCACGCCCCTGCTGCCCACTGCAGTCGGGGCACCTCTCTCCCATCCTCCATGTGCCTGCCCTGTCTTGACTCTGAGCCTTCATCTGTGCAATTCTCTCTGCCTGGAACAGCCTCCCCCTCTCCTCTGCCCACCTAACTTAGCCAACTCCAACTCATCCTTCAGGTCTTGGCCTCCCAGACACCTTCCCTGACCCTCCTTCCACGTCACACCCGCTGACCACATCTGCTGACCACAGACCCTCACTGACCACCTTCACTGACACAACTGCTCTGCTCAGCCCTCTAGACGATGAGCTGGGTGGGGGACCCTGTCTATCTTGTTCTCCACGGCAACCCCACTGCTGGCACAACAGAAGAGCTGGATCCACCCCAGCCACAGCAGAACACCCCCCTGCTCTCAGACAGCTCTTCCCCACTGAGCTCAGGCCCACCCGCTCACACCCCATACATACATCATCTTCCTTGGTACCCCCCCAGAAGTTGGTTCCTCCGGCATAGCTGGGAATGTTAAGGACAGCAATTCCCTGAAGACTGGGGAGTGGGATGGGTCGCCCGTCACACTGAGCAGCAGAGACACAGAACAAAAGAAAAGAGAAAGGTATGAGTCAGCCCCTCCTTCTCTACCAGCTTCCCACCGCCAGGGGCTCAGGAGCACAGCCGTGGCCAGGGCATCCCCAGGCAAGTCCCTGTGCATGGAGGAAATGGTCAACAGGAGAAGCAATAGGCCTGGCAGTCTGCTGATGGATGGAGGCCAGCCTGCAGGTGACAAGGACCCTCCCACTCACCTCCAGCAAGACCTTTTGCTCCAGGTTCTTGTAGGTTCTGTGCAGCAACTCTTTGGTTCCAAGAACTCCATACCACATCATGTTCTTGGTTCGGCTCCTAGAAACAGAAGCAAAGACTTGCCATAGGTCTGGGCTTTCTTCGTATAGTTAACCAGAGTCATTTCTGTGAAAGCTGGGAACAGCATCTGACCCACAAATCAGCTACATTTAGCAATTATTTACAGCAGTAACATCTGAAGGACACATTTTTGTTTTTGCAGATATGCATAAAAAGATACGTTTACCAATAGGAAATTTTGCTCAATAGTAACATTTTGCCAAGAAAGTAATCATACCCTGAAAGGTAAATACATAAAGTTAAAACATTATAGAACCCTATAAAAAAACTTCTACACATCCTGATTTTTTCTGGCTAAAAAATTATGCTTACCATAGAAAAACTGGAAAATATAGAAAAGCACCAAGGAGAAGACACTCCTCATAATCCTCCATGCATAATCCAGCACCTGTAGGCACCCTCCACACGTGCTAATGACAAATGCCAAGTGCTGCTATGTATTTCCTCAGTCTTCTTTGCATATTAATTTCCAGTTGCAGTAACTTGTTTACAGTTTCACGACCTACTTGGTCCACTTTACCCTGCGCCGGCAATGCTTCCTTCTGTGGCCACACGCTCTCTGCAGATGTGGCCATCCTCAGCCGGGCACTGCTCTACCACAGCTTATCGAACCAATCCCCTTGATTACACTCCTCCGCCCCATGCCTGAGCTCTGGAAATGACACGCTAGGAGTCCCTTCGTACCTACGTCAACCAACATTTCCAATGACTTCTGCAGAAATTTCCAATGACATTTGTACAAGTGGAATTTTTCTCAGGAGAACTTTTCAAAGCTCTCAATACAAACTCAAGAGAGGTTTGACCAGGGTTCCAAAGCTCTAGAAATGTATTATGCATGCCCCTGTTCCTCAACTACTTATTTTACCCTGCTAAAGTATGTGTATTTTAATACTTTTCCCAGTGATTTTTGGACTAACAGGGATTTTTAAATGATCTGACGTTACCATCCTGTGCTGTACAGGGATATGTCCCTGGGGCCCCTGAGCCATTTTCTCCTGCATGGAAGAGCCTCAGAGTCAAAAGTTCTTTCAGTTCTGATGCTTTTGTTTTCCTAGAAATTTTCAACTACATGTAACCTGAGCAATGACTAAAGCTGGACCCTCAGGTGTCAGCATGGCTCCCCGCAAGGTGGCAGTGACGCCATGAGGAGGGCGAGGCCACAGGGGGCCACGTGGCTTGGTTCATTCAAGCCCATCCTGACTCAGCGGACGAAGACTCCAGCAAGGGTCTCCCAGCTTCTGGGTCAAGGGCTGTTCTCTGCACAAACACCGTCAACCCCCACACTCATTTCTCCCTCTCTGTAGTTCTAATCATGTCAAAGCTGAATGGCCTCTCTGATTATTACTGTGGGGTGGGGAGGGAGACATTTCTCCCTCACTTCTTGTGTTTCACAGACAAGAGAGAATTCTACATCAGCCCAGGAAGAAAAGCTTGAGAAGAGGGACCCTTCTCATTTTTCTCCATCCTCTCTTCAGGCCAGGACTGAGTATCCAGTAATTTTAGAGGAAAAAAACTGAAACCCCCAGTGATGCCCCTTGGGGCTCCCACGCTCCCGTCTTCCTGCAGAGGTTGGACTCAAGGGCCTTGTGGGCAGGCTCGGGTGTGATGGGGGAGGGCCAGCTAGGGTGGTGATGAACACACAGACCCTCCCACAAACAATGCTGGGCACTTACGCAATAGGTGCAATAGCTTCTTGGCACACCTGCCGCTTTTCTGTAGTATCACGGACTTGGGGCTCTCATTAAGAGATGCCGCCATTCCAATGACCACCATCACTGGTTTTCCGATGTTGAATTTCCCTTGACCTGGCCAGCCCGAGAGGTGCTTCCCTTCCATCTCTGAAAGCACCCGTGCTTCTGACAAGGCGATCTGGGCTCCATTTCTGCCCCCCGCCTTAGCATTCTGCACGTTCTTTAACCTGCTGACTCCAGAAATCTGCTACTGTCTGGAAGGAGAAGCCACAAAGACGCAAAAGACAGACGTGCTCCTGAGCCTGTTACCTACCTGCACTTCTCTGGGTGCTCATCGCGCTTGTTGTTAAAGTCCAGGGATATCTTCGCATCCAGGCCAATGCCAAAATAGTTGTTCATGACACATTTCTCCGTGTAATACTCTCTGCAAAGGTGAGTTTTAAATCAATTACAACAGCCCTGCTGAGCAGTCTTATTTCAGACTCCCAACCTCTCAGCATTTCTCTTCCTTGGGGAAAACTGGTAACTTTTTCTTTTTTGTCTGCTAAGAGATTTATTAAGATATACACTAGATAATTTACCAATTTAAAATGTACAATTCAATTATTTTTAGTATATTCAGAGTCATTTAACCATCACTAGATAATCGATTTTAGAGCATTTCATCCCCCTAAAGAGAAAGCCTGTACTCCTGCCATCAGCAACTAACTCTCCATCCTCACCATCCCTGGCGCCTCTCGTCTACTTTCCACCTCCACGGAGGCGCCTCTTCTAGGCAGTTCACAGGAATGGGATCATGCGGTCGTGGGCTCTGTGTCTGGCTCCTTTCTCTTCCTCAGGACGATGTTTTCAAAGTTCATCCATGTTATAACATGTGTTAGCGCTTCATTTTTATTACCAAATAATACTCCACTGCGTGGCTAACCTGCATCTATTGACCTGCTCATCAGCAGACGGACACTGGGATGTTCCACGTTTTGGTTATCATTTAGGAACATTTGCATACAGCTTCTAGCGTGGACATGTTTTCAGTTCAATCCCACATGGCCCGGCAGTTCTGCGCCTGCTGGTCACACAGCAGCTCTGGGCTGAACCTCCGGCAGAGCTGCTGGACTATTCCCCACAGCAGCTGCCCATCTTACACTCCACCAGCAGCACCAAACCTGAAGATATGTTTATGGCACAGAAACTCACACATTTCAACTCTGGATCTCAAAACATTTCTCAAACATCCCTAGTTACAAGCAAAGCTGTTGCCAAATTAAAAAGGAAAATGACTTGAAAACATCCATCCCAGCCCCACAGCACAAGGCTTCCTTTTCCCCGTGTGCGACAGACGAGAAGAGACTCATTCAAGTTTCTTCTCCCCACCCAGCTGGAAGTCCTGCTCCTGCAGCTCCCCCAGCTGCTGGGAAAGCCCAGCCTGGCCTTCACCCTCCCCAACCCCAGGGTCACACTGGGGTTTCCCCCCGAGGGCAAGTGGATGAAGGGAGGAACCCCTGTTCCTCCACCCAGAGGCTGCAGCCAGGAGAAGAGGATGTTCTGGAAGTTCCCAAAGAAACTCAATGGGTGGATGGGCTTGGGAACATTGCTCGGGCCAGAATTCTGACACACTTTAGCTTACTGAGCCAGTGCCGCCAGATCTGAGAACAACCAGCATGTGTCAGTGTATTTATGATCCATCTAATTCAAGTGCCCGACAGCTGAGCCAGAGCAAAGCTCTGGGACAAAACTGTTTACCAGGGGGAAGACCAAGTGCCTGGCCAGCATGTATAGGTCCTGGGAAAAGAGAGAGATCCAACGGAGAGAAACAGGACAAAGAGATGAGGGAAGGCAGCAGAGACTGGGCTCAGGGGCCTGGAGCAGGAGGGGCGGCAGTGGCTGGGGCAGTGGGAGAGGACAGGGTACCAGGGGCTGCTCAGGCCCAGCTACAATGGGGCCCACACAATACGGCCCAGGCACACACCACAGCAGGAAGGCAGCAAAGCACAGCTTTGTCTCCCCAGGTGAAAAGAAGAGATGAGACCACCCAGCTGAGCAACAGAAGTGGAAGTTCCAGTCTCAGATGAAGGAGACAAAGGAGATATCCAGTTCAGGGGCCTCTAGGGACAGTGCTCACTATAGGACTACAGCTCTGGCCTCCCCAAGGAAAAAAGCCTCAGGAGGGCTGAGAACTGGAGCCCCACGCAGCCCCAGGGGAGGAGTAGACCAGGCCAGGAACAGGGACACTGAAGTGCTGTACCAGGCCAGCACCTGGAATCTAGGGGTCCACTTTCCCAAACCCAGAGCCTCTGTGAACCGCACATTTCTTCCTGTCACTGTCCGTCACCACTCCAGAAAAATGGCTGGCCACATTTAACCAACTGCCACCAGCTGCCCAGAACCTGCAATCAGCCAGCATAAAGATGAGTGCAGAAAAACAGGTTTTCAAAACACCACTTGTCTCCAAAATGGACTCCAATACCTAGGAAGACTGCATTAAACTGCTATATACATGTCCTCACTGCCTTACAGGCCAGCAGAGGAAGAAGGCCTTGTCCCCCAAGGAGTAGCAGTATCAGCACGCAGGCACGCAGCAGCCCTTATAAGCCTCAGCACAGGCTAGTGTCTCCCTAAGGTGCTCGGAGACACAAGGGAGACACACAGAGGACCCTCCAGCTCAGAGTCTGTGGTTCTGCATCACCAACAAGGAGAGCAGGTGTTAGAGGAAAGCAGAGGGAAGGGATGGCAAGAGGAAGATGGCAGGCTGTAAGCAGAAGTCAGTGAGGTCCAGCCAAGATCATGGGAGAGTGACCACGAAGAGCAGCACAAGGGCAGCTCCTGGCAGGAGTAGCTGAGCCTGTGAAAAGCCTCAGAAGGGCATGCAGGCTCAGGGGACGTCAAGCAAGCACCGTGGGACCTTGGGAAGGAGATGGGAGGCGTGCGCTTTGCCTCTGCAGCAGATGTGCAGTAGTGGTTTCCAGCTCCACTCCTTAAGTGGAATCTCCACGACTTCTCAGCCTTCCTTATCAGCTACCACCAGCTGGGCAACTGCTCACTAATTTCTCTAGTTAATCCTGAGATCTGTTTTCTATGCACTAGCAGCCATGTAACAATATGCCCACTCGGTTTATCCCTCATACTCACAGGGTTTCTGGTTCAGAGTTGAAGGGATCAGCATTAATTAACAGGCGACTGATGACTGAGCCACCGGGTAAGGAACCAGACATTCCAGCCCGGACATCTGTAAAGGAGATACAAGAAAGAGGTGGTGCTGGTCAGGAGCTACAGCCTTAGGAGAAGCTCGTGTCTCTGAAGCTGGTGGACCGGTATTCTGCAGAACGTTATTATAATTAAATGTTTCTAAAATTATGTATAACCATGTCCAAATTTTGCCAATAGTCTTAGGTCAAAAATCACTGGAACAAAGAAACCATACTGGGTGGCAGAAACCAACACCTACAAAACACACAAAAAAATGGCTTCTAAGGTGTGTGCCTGTGGTCCCAGATATTTGGGAGGCTGAGTGGGGAGGATCACTTGAGTCCAGGAGGTCAAGCTGCAGTGTGCCATGACCACATCACTGCACTCCAGCCTGGGCAATAGAGAGAGACCCTCTTTTAAAAAAAAAAAAAAAGGCTTATAGAGTCAGTTTTCATGTTCTCATTAAATGTAAGCCACTCCACCAAAATGATCTCTGAGAGTTGAGGCTTAAGGCTTTATAAGGCTGCCTTCCTAAGGAATGAATATCAAGGAATGCTCCAGGCGGCCAGGACCTCACCCTCCCTGCGCCTCCTGCGACCACGCTAGAAGCACGGGATGGTCCCTCGGGTTCCCTCATCAGGCCGGCCACCTCCCTTTTCCACTCAGATAATTCCTTAATTCTTCCAACCCCGACTCGAGCATCACCTCCTCAATGGCGCCTCCTGGGCTCCTTGGGTGGTTATTTGGGTACTATCTGGCTTTTGTTTTTTGTTTTTTGTTTTTAAAAAAAAAAAAAAAGCACTTTTCATACAGTCGTGTAAATTTTTCAATTCCACCTATCTTTCTCAGGGGCCTGTAAACTCTCCGAGGGCAGCGAGCCCATCTCTTTCAGTTTGACGGGACCAGTGTTGTGCTAGGGCCCCCACCAGTCCCTCCTGCTGGCCGCCACTCACTTGGGTACAGGATCTTGGTGTTGAGCGCAGGCAGGCCGTCCCGGCTTCCCGGCTGGGGCGGAAGGGAAGCAGAACTGCCTAGGGACAGACTCCCTTTGCTGATCAGCTTTTCACACGGAGATTTCGACACTGTAACAACACAGCAGAAAACCTTACAGCTGTGTGGAATAGAGACTGTGAAATCCTGGGGGGTCCTTAGCGACACGAGCAGGTGGGAGGGCTGAGGAGGGAGGGCTGCAAACCACAGGCAGTTGCGTGAAGTGTGTGGGACAAAGAAGGGGGCGGAGGACCGAGTGGGTGCACATGTTTGGGGGGCTGGGCTCATGGAGAGGTTAACACAGGCCACAGGTGGCAGCGCTGGAGGGAGGGGTGAGCCCAGTCAGTCCGGGCTGTGGGAGGCGGAGCACACACACAGCAGAGCTCTCAGTGGTGGCCATGCAGTGGCCATGGGTCAGTTCTGAGCATGGGCCTCCCAGCAGCCTGCACAGGCTGGGGGTGCCCTCCACCAGGGCCTGCGCTGTGGGCTGTTCCAGGAGGGGCAAGGACAAAGAAGGCCCACGCTCACCCACCCGCCTTCCCTCTGCCAGACACAGCCCCTTCTGAGCAGTTCTGGGGCCCAGTGTGGTTCCAAGGAAGCAGTGAGGGCAGGACGCAAGTGCTCCTCAGGGAGGCAGTCCTCGCCCTGATGGAGGGGGTCTCGCGGGTTCTACTGCTGTCCACCAAGACAGACCGCACACACCCACCTCAAGGGCGCGCACAGGAGATGCACAGAAACAGGCCTTGGGCGCTCAATTTTTATGTAACCAAGTGGCCAAAGCAACTATGAGAAAGTGCCCTAAAACCTCCCCTGGCAAGCCCGCTACGTCTCACCAAAACCAAGCACACGACGGTGCGCAGAGGGAGGTGGAGGCACAAGTACCTTTGCGCTGGCTCCTCCCCTTGGGGACCCCGAAGCTCTCGCTGTGGGACAGTGGTGGGCACACTCTGTGGTCCATCTTCTCCTCTGACTCAGAGAGGCCCAGGACGAAGCCCTCCTGCTCCTGGGTCTGGGCATTCTGCTCATCGACAGCTGTGCAAGGAGAGTGTGTGCGGCTGAGCACGCGGGTGCAAAGCCAAGGGCGCTGTCAGGCTGGGTGGAGGGCCCCTCATCCTCACCCCACGGCCTGATCTTCCTCAAACAACCTCTGGCTAAAGGCTTGGACTCCGAAACCCCACCCCCACCCATCTTCCCCCTGGTCCTGGCACTGGGGCAGGGCGTCCCTGCTAACAGGCTGGGAGGTCTGGAACCCTTGCAGGGGAAGGCAAGGGATGCAGAGGAGCCTGGCGCAGGCTGGAGGGCTGCAAGCGGGAGGAGCGGCTGCATGGACACGCAGGTGTGCGGGTGTGAGGCCGTGACCTCAAGGCTCTCACGGGAGTGAGACGCTTATAGTGAAGTCAATGAGGGCCAGGAAAGAGGTCGAGGGGAGGCAGCATGAAGGGGTCTGAGGGTGTGAGAGGAGGGGTGGAAGGAGGGCAAGCGAACTCGTTGGGGGTCTGGTGCCTGGACATGGGTGGAGAGGGCCGCAGTGGAGGTTTTCTCAACATGCACCCTTCTGTCATCTCCGTGTTCAGGGGACGCTGGGCATGCCCAGTGCTGGCCTGAGGAAAGCCCCTCCTCATCACAAGGCCAGTTACCTTTTTCTGTGTGTTCTATGATCTGACGAATTGCTTTCTTCAGGCTGTTGGCTCTCAGCATGAGCTGTTCTCGAGGCCGGAATATCTGCGGCCGGGCCGGGCAAGCTGATGCCACCAAGCGGTCTCCGGTGGAACCGCAGATGCTGCCCGACCCATCTCCATCTTCAGCCTCCTCGGCAATGGTGGGGGGCGGGTTGGGCAGAGAGGACGAGGCCTGGGACTCATCGTCCAAGGTCTTGAGAAGGGAATCCAGCTTCTCTTTCAGGACAGAGCACTGAACAAGGAAAGGAAATGGCATGCAGAGCTGAGGCAGGAGAACAGGGTCTGCAGGCAGGGAACCTCAGGCCATTTCACCCAGACTTCCTAGAACTCGATCAAAAGGAAAATCCTAACTCTCCACGCCTAAGTAACAAAAAGACCAGAGGCTACTCCCTTTGCAAATCCCCACCTTTCCCGCCCTGGCAGGTGGGAAATTGGGGAAATTGGCTGTCCACAACCAACCATACTGATTGCGAGCTGAGTCTTAGTCTGCATAGAAATGCAACTTTGTAACTTCACCTTAGCCTCTGATTGGTTGCTTTTTGCAACCAATCAGATGTTTGCACAGGAGTGTGACCTTTGTAACCACTTCAGCCTCTGGTTGGCTGCTTTCTGCCACCAATCAGACTGAATGCAAGCTACCACTTCATTTACATGAGGTGAGCATGAAGTGGCCAATGGGATACTTCTAGGGGGTATTTGGACCCAAGAAGATTCTGTGTCTGGACCCTTGAGCCGCTGCTCGGGCAGCTCCCACAGTGTGGAGTGTACTTTCATTTTCAATAAATCCCTGCCTTCGTTCTTTGTTGCTTCATTCTTGTCTTCCTTTACTGTGCGTTTTGTCTAATTCTTTGTTCAAATCACCAAGAACCTGGACAACCTGCAGTCACGGCCCTCTGCTGGTGACAGAGCAAGCTTCTCGCTGCCTCAATGCCCCTCCCACCCAGGGCACGGGAACAGACCTTCTTGGCCATGACCTCTGACTCCTCCGAGCTCTCGGTCGTCTTCTCATAGGCCTTCCCCACCCGTGCCACGAAGTCCTTCACCGTCTCACAGAGCACTCTGTGGGGAGAAAAACAGAAAGACCCTTCTAGAGAGGCAGCTCCAGGCTGGGGGCCAGGGCACCATGCCCTCCCCAGGGCCACCAGGCACTCACTTGGCCGAGGAGATGACCACCGAGTGCTGGTCCGAGGTGAGGATTTTAGAAAGGTGGGCTGCAACCGAGTCTTCATAGAAGAGAATCTGCTGTACCTGCAATCACCCCAAATGGCCAGGACTGTTGGTCTCTGTGACAGCAAGCTCCATGACAGTCCCAGTGACTCTGTCAGCCACTTCCTTGCCAGCACAAGCTGGGAAAGATGAGTCTCTCCTAACAGACACTGTCTGACCCAGCCAAGCCTCAACTCACTTCTAACGCTAATCTGGGACTCACCTAGTGCTAGGTGAGAGATTTTAAAAGCTTCGTCAAGCTGCAGGCAAACTGCAAATGAATCTCCTTCAGTCTGCGATCCCAGCACGGCCTGTGCTAGGAGCTTCCGTCCTGACCCCTACTCATCCTGACAGCGGCATGCTGGCGGGTCGGCTCCAGGTTTGGGTCCGTTTGCAGCAGAGGCTGTTTCCACCTGGCTGTGAGCCCCATCTGGACACACACTCCTGCCCCCACCATCTGTTCTGGCTGTCAGAAGGGCAGCCCTATCCCTGTGGGATCCCTGCTGTCCTTAGGACCCAGCCCCAGGGTCGCAAACTTCACTACTGGCCAGACAGCGAATATTCTGGGCTTCCCCCACACACTCTTCCTCTCAAAAAAAAAATTTTTTTTTAAAAAAAGGAAAAATAAAAAATGTACAAACCAGTCTTCGCTTGCAAGGCCGTGGGCCCAGGCACATCTGGCCTGCAGGCCTTGTTTGCTGACCGTTGCCCTAGCCCCTGACAAAAGCTCACCTCTTTGTACTACCCCACCCAGCACTGCACCAGCACAAAATAGAAACTAAAGACAAAGTCTGTTCTCTGAGGGAAACTGTAGGAGCGTTAAACACAACAGTAACAATCACCAAATGAAAAGAACCACCAGCTGGACTAGAGGAGCCTGAGCGAAGGGCAGCTGCAGACGCCACAGAGAGGTGGGACGGGGCAGGAGCCGGGGGGCTAGGGGAGAGCCGCGGCAGAGCCGGCTAGAGCATTCCAGGCACGTGGGCACCGCGGCGGGGGAGGGAACGGGCGCGCACCGTTTGGGGCTCACTGCGCAGCTGAGGAGATGCACGGACAGGGTGGAAAGGCCATTAGGAGGACCACCCCACCACCCGGCAGGGCCTATGACAACCCCAGGAAGCCCCTAGAGGGTCACAAAGCCCAAAAGGCCCCTGCCAAGGGGAGTGAGAATCCTCTCAGCCATGGGTTCACCCTGCGCCTCCGCAGGCCTGACTGTGACACCCCAACACCAAAGGGGAGGCGTCTCTGCAAGGGAGGTGATGCAAACCGCTGACAGGACAGTTCTGATCACATCAGCATGCGAGCAGGGTGTGAAGAACAGGCCAGCAATACCTCGGAATCCTCGCTGAAGTCTTCGGTGACGGTAGAGGAGGAGGCCTGCCGGGGGAGCTTGGCCTCGTATGCCATGACGCTCCACCTGCACACACAAGGTCAGCTGCACAGGCGGCAAGACGTGCAGGCCCACAAGGGTGAACCCTGCGCCGTCCGCTTTCACGGCTGGCAGCCTTGATCTTTACACCGTTTCTGACTTCATTTTTAGGCCCTTGGTCTTGACTCTGTCCCATAACTTGGCTGAGAACAAATGTCTGCACTCCACAACTAACGGCAGTACAGCTCCATAAAGAGAGGAAGGTCTCCCATAAATGGCTACCTTGAGATAAGATGCTGCTTCTGGGAGAAATGGATTTACCCTCCTCAAGAGAGCTGCAAATGGCTCAGCCAGCTGGCCCAGTGAGATGAGCATTTCACAGGCCCCAAGGCACACAGAGGAGGCCTGAAATGGTGGGGGCATTGCAAAACCACAACTGTGCTCAGAACTCCAGGCTTCTGGGAGCAACTAGGAAGGCTAGGAGGCATCTCATCAGCACCCCATGTGCCACAGGCATGTGGTCAGTGAGTGCCAAGTGTGTCACTCGGGACAACAGTACCTTACTCAGGGAAGGTGTCACAGTGGCTTTAGGCACTAGAGGATAATTTCCCAAAACTTCTTCTGGGAACAGAATATGAGAAAATGAAACTGTTCAAGTAAACGACAAGGAGCATTCTTCCGATGGGTATTAGATCTCGGGCTGAAGCAGCCAAAGATGGCACAGCTGCCTTCTCCACGGCCCTGACACACTCAGGCTTGGCCTTCTGGGAAGACTGGATCATCCTAGGGCATGGCTGGTTCTTAACCTGTTTTGTTTTTATCCTTGTCATAATCTGACCAAATATCAAAGACTATCCGAATATATACTCAGGTCAAATCTTTACAAATAATTTCAGAGGGCCCATGTTTTCCACAGACCCCAGGTTAAGAACACCTGGTCAAAGGGACCTGTCTCTCAAAGTCTCCTCATACGGCACCGGAGCACATCCCCACTCACCTGTCCAGCATCTTGGTGCTGGCTCTCTCCAACTTCTCCAAGATCTGGGGGAGCTGGGTGTCGTCATCGCAGGCTGAGCCCCAGCCCAGTACTCGGGCCAAGTCGTTCCCTGTGCCGAGCGGCAGCACTCCCAGCTGACACTAAGGAAACATGGGGGACGATGCGCAGGCAAACACCTGGGGGCAGGGGCCACTTCCCAGCCCGCAGCCCTCCTTGTCCCCCACCGTGAGGGTTACGTTAGCAATGTGGGGACGTGACCTAAAACCACGCAGCTTACACATTACAGGCAGAGCCCACTGGAGGGGACAGATGGCATTTTCCTTGGCAATGAGACAGAAACATGACTGCCCTTGAGATAAGATGCTGCTTCTGGGAGAAATGGATGAGCCACAGGTCCATCTCTCAGCTGTCATCACATCTTGATGGTCAGCCCCTCACACCCTCTCTGATCTGTCTCCCAAATCCCTCTGCTTCCCATTTTCACCACCGTGACCACAGCCCCAAGGAATCACTCTGATGCCTCGCCACCCGTCCCTCCATCCACTACAGCATCTCACTCACTAATGCCAAATTCTTCTTCCAAAAACATCACTAGTATCACTTCTCTCCTCTAAATCCTATCCAAAAAAGGTGCCAGGACCATCCTCAGTCTGGAGGCTACCCTGGAGCCTTGCCAGAGCTCAGCCTCTGCCCGCCTGCCTGCTGTTCCAGGAAGAGACCTCATGCATTACTCAGGCCTCACCCTCCACCTGGATTCCCATTTCAGAGCTCCAATGAGATCCCACTACACCATTCCATTGCTTAGGAGGCCTCTTAAAATGCCCACTGCCCAGAGCTCACCAGCCTTTGACTCTGACAACAGAGTGACCAGGGCCATGAAGGCTGCGGTGGAGTGTGTGGGGAGGCGTTACTGTCCTTGAGGCAGGAAACCTGCCGTGGTCCAGCCTACAGCACCGTACAGCCCTCTGCCCACCAGGTGGAGGTGACCATGCTTGAGGCCCTGCCGCCTGTGGGGACAGCAAACACCAGGGAAGGTCCTGCCTCACCAAGGGGACATTTGGCAGTAGGGGAGGCAGGAGCGAGCAGGCCAGGACACCGGAGCCGACACACTAGATGGAGAGAACCCAGTGCTGAAGGGTGCCCAGAGGGTCTGAGGACTCCGCGAGGGCTTCCTGGAGCCTTAAAGGAAAAGGAGAGCAGCGCACAGCAGGCATGGATGGTGCTCCAGGCAGGGAGACACCACTGGGAGGGGGCAAGGCAGAGCTCAGTGAAGAGGAGGACAGCGAGGAAACAGGAGGCAGACAGGCAGAGAAGCAAGCAGGAGGCAAAGCTGGGACTCTTAAAGGTCTGGACTTTTCCCAGAAGCATCGTGCTTGGGGGGTGCACAGGCAGAAATGCCCCGGGAAAGGTCGCCTGGGTGAGCTGCAGATGGACAGAGGCCAGGGTACTGTGGGTGGCAGGACTGAGGACACAATTAGTGAGAAACAGGCAGGAGGAAGAGACGGACGAACCAAGAACAACTGTCCGATTTCCTGGCTCAGACATCTAGATGGATGATGTTTTCAGACTCGAAGGAAAGGAACGCAGGGTGGGGGCTGAACGTGGTGTAGTGTTGGAAACTCGAGGCACTAGGAGACATCCAGAGAGGCCCAAGGCTCAGCTATCAATTGAGGCGCCCCCAGGAGAGAGACGACAGCAGAAGCCCTGCAAGTCGCTGAGCGTTCAAAAGCGAAGGAGGAGAGGCCCCAGCAAGGCTCTGAGGACACAGCGTTAAGGGAAGGGTAAGGAGGGAGAGGCCACCATGGAGCAGTAGCAGCCAGGAAGACAAGAAACCCCGAGGCGGCAGGGGCCCAGCGAAGGCATGGCCACCACATCAGGTGTCAAAGAGACGCAGGGGAGAGAAATGTGTGCTGACCTTGGCTGAACGTATGAAAATCAGCCACAAGGTTCCACTGTCTTCCTAACTAGTGACAGTGAACTTGCAAGTAATACACAAAATCAAAAATTAGAGTAGTCTATGCTAATCCACCAGCAGGCGGCACCACTTCTCCTCCTGAGCCACTGGCCTCACGGCCCGAGCTGTCAAATCCACCCACCTGGAAATACTACCAAGTGAGCAGAGCTGGGTAGGCACCACAGAATCACTGAAAAATACATCCACGTCACACAGAAGACTGAATTTTTTAAAAATGGGGCCATAATAAACATAAGAAAATACAGATGCAAATCTTAATCTTGGGGTGTAGGCAGCTGCAAATATGACAGACGTTGACAAAAATCATGAAAGAAAAGACCACCCCCCAAAAAGGATGTTGAACTGACAAACGACAAACCGGGAAAAAAATATCTGCAGTGACAGATAAGAAGTTAATGTAACAATAATCCTCACACACCCATTTTTAAAGGAAAAAAAGGTGAATACTCAAAGAGAAAATGAGGCAAAAAAAAATATGAACAGGTGATTTATTTAAAACTTCATAACCAACTGAGGAGGCGTTCAACTTCACCAGGAATTAAAGAAGTAAAGGTCAGACATTTTTTGGTCTACTTAGCTGGACAAAAACTAAAGAGATGAACAGCTTGGATGGTGCACGGGGAAAGACAGCTTTAAAGGCATCAGGCATGGAAGCTGGCACAGCCCTGAGGAAAGGCAGTTTGTCAGCACATTTCAATACTTAAGCTTGGGTGCGCTCAGAGAGGAGACCACTGGGAAGTGATCTCCGTGCTCACACATGGAGGTGAGCTGGCCCTGGGCTCCCGGGTGTGTCCAGTGGAAAACGACACACAGATGCCTACTTACAGACACAGGCACAAGGTGTCTGCAACATCTTAATTAGTGGTTTTTTAAAAGCAGTAACAGGCCGGGCGCGGTGGCTCATGCCTGTAATCCCAGCACTTTGGGAGGCCAAGGTGGGCGGATCATGAGGTCAAGAGATCGAGACCATCCTGGCCAACATGGAGAAACCCTGTCTCTACTAAAAATACAAAAATTAGCTGGGCGTGGTAGCGTGCGCCTGTAATCCCAGCTATTTAGGAGGCTGAGGCAGGAGAATCACTTGAACCGGGGAGGCAGAGGTTGTAGTGAGCCGAGATCGCACCACTGCACTCCAGCCCAGCAACAGAGCAAGACTCCACCTCAAAAAAACAAAAACAAAAACAACAACAACAAAAGCAGTAACAGAATAGCCCGTTTAAATTACAAGTGCACTGTGCATTGTATGTACTGTGATCAAGAGAGGTCAGAGACAGCAAAATGTTGGCACTGGCTGATCACCTGGGGAGGCCGTGGCTTGGTGTGGAAATTAAATGACTATATGAACATTTTTATACACAATCAGGAAAATCTATTTTTATTTTAATACAAAAAACTAAGTCCAATGAACCATGACTCTGACTTGAGAAACTCAAGTATACTGCCGTCCCCTTCTCACAAGCAAGAGGCCTCAAGACAAAAATTACCCAGTAAAGCAACAGCCCCACCCAGCCCTGCTCCCCATGTGGGTCCTTTGTGGGCAATTCTTTTCGTAGCTCCCTTCAGGTCCCCCTCATACATCATGGCCAGAGCCCCCGGGCCTCCACAATGCCAGGGGGTGGCCCAGGCTCTCCCCTCTCTGCCCTGGCCACCAAACTGCACACTCCCCAAAACCACCAATGGTTTCTGGCCTGAGAACAGGTGCTCCGAGATGAACAGGAGCTGAGACTGCATGATTTCCCTCTAACCTCCGCACCCTCTCTGCTCCTGGCTGGGCTCCCTCCTGTCCTGGTACCTGTTTATGAAGGTTGAGGCTGTCGATTTCGGAGAGGACCCAGCCAACACTTCCATCCCCGCCACAAACCAGAATCCGGAATGTGTCAAACTTCTGGAATAACCGTAAGCTGCAGAGAAAAGAGAAAGGCCGTGAAATGACATCCATTCCACAGGACAAATGACAGGCTTGTCAGTACGGGGCTGAGGGGCCACCTGTGCTCCTCATGGCTGACCTGCACCAGAGGCAGAGCACGCACAGGCCCTGCCACGTGACACCAGCCGCCTCCACTCAGGGTCCACTTTGTCAAAGGGACGACAGCAGCACTGGGGTCCAGCCAACTGCTCCCACCAGCCACGCCCCACCCAGCGACAAGACCACTCAGCTTGGTGAGCCACTGCACGCTCTGCAGACATCACAGGCAAAGTGGTGGGCCAAAACTGCATCCCCTGCCAGGCTCACGGGCACAGCCTGCCGTGGCCCCTAACCATGTGAGCCCACCCTGCGTCACTGTCCCTGCCCCATCCACATGTGGCCCCTGCCAGCCTTCCCAGCATGCCCTCTGGGCTGCCTGCATCACCCTGCACCCTCAGTCTTGGCACTCCCCGGCCCTGGGCCACAGTCTGGCTTCCGCCCTGGCCCTTGTTCTGGTCACCCTGGAGCCCCAGGCTGCCTGACCTGCTGCGGGCTGCGTGTCCCCACTGCAGCACATATGCCTGGGCCCACTCAGTCCTCCGGTGATGTGACCCACGCCTCCTACCCTCCTAACTCCTCGGTTTCCTTCCTTCCTGGGCTCCCCCTGCCCCTGCCCAGCAGCGTCCCCACTCAGGAGACCAGTGCCGCTTCTGCTCACTCCTCATCCTCTTCCTGTGTGACCACATCCAGTTTCAAGGACCACACAGGTGACTCTGGATCAACAGCCCCCAGGCCACTCCTGAAAGCCAACACTTGCACCTGTCCTCCAGAACACACCACTCTGGTATCCCAGGGCACATCCAACAGGACACATCCCTACTCGGAGAATGGTAGCTCGACCACCAACCCAGTCCAGAGGCCAGACCCACCTCCTCTCAGCCTGCAGCCGACCCAGCCCCTCCTGGCAGCCTCTCCTCCACACCCAACCCAGCCACCCGCTCAGGTCACCACCGTGCTCTCGCAGAGTCCCACAGGAGCCTCAGTCACCTTGACACCCTTCCTGAAAGCTCCCCATGAGTTCCAGGAAGACCTTTCTAAAACACGAGCCTGGCCACGGGCCTTGCTTTATGAGGCTGCCCCTCATTTGCAGGAAGGAGTCGAACCTCTTGGCCAGCACCCGCAGCCCTCCCTGACGGCAGGTGCCACCTTTCTGCTGCTGCCTGGCCTGGCCCCACTGCATTCCCTCTTGCCTCGCCTCTGCACAAGCGGTGCCCTCAGCCCAGAAGCCTCCCGCCTCCCTGCAGCCTTCAGAACACTAGAGCTCCTCGGATGCCAGCTCGGGGAGACGTGGAAGGACGCCCAGTTTGACTTGCGACCCTGCCCCCACCGGGTTCCCAGAGAAGCTGTGTCACCCCCACTGAAGTGCCGGGGGACCCTGCGTGTGCTCCTACCCATTCCCTGCATCTGCACTCCCCGCCTGGCTCACCTGCGCACCCTGCCTCGAGCTCAGTGTCTGACCCAGAATGAGTGCTCAGAAGACAGACAGGCATAGGTGATGCGGCACCAAGCCCAGGCTCCACACAGAACACTGACACCTGTAAGGCCCCCTGCTCTCGGGAGAAGAGGTGACAGGTCAAGGCCAGGAACTGGAACATGAAGCAGTAGCTCCAGATTCTGCTGTGAGCTGTGTGAGATGAGCTGCTTCCAGAAATGGTAAATGACGACTCAACTCCCCTTACGCCGCTGTGGGGGCTTCCTAAATCATCCCATCTCATACTTAACTCCCACTACGAAACATGGGGTTTTGCTTGCACACCAAAATGAATATTTCGTTATTCTCGAGTTCAGCTGTGTAACCTGCCCTGCCCACAGCCATTTCACAGCATTCCTCCAACACCCCTGGTACCATGTTTAATAACAACCTCAGCCTGCTTGGTGCATTGTGATAACAGACGTATTATATCTCCACTTTCCCCACTTTTTAACTAAAATTATTTCTTTGCCAGGCAGTGTAATCCAACACTCTTGAGAGGCTGAGGCAAGAGGATCATTTGGCTCCAGGAGTTTGAAACCAACCTGGACAACACAGTGAGACCACTCTACAAAACATTTTAAAAGTTTTGTGAGGCTCAACAAAACATAAAAAAAAAAAATTAGCTGGGCATAGTGGTACACACCTGTAGTCCCAGCTACTCAGGAGGCTAAGGCAGGAGGGTGGTTTGAGCCCAGGAGGTTGAGGCTGCTGTGAGCCAGGATTGCACCAGTGTACTCAGCCTGGGTAACCTAGCAAGACTCTTGTCTCAAAAAACAGTAAAATTAAAATTAAAATATCTTGATCAGCCTACTAGTGAATGCAATCCTCCACCATTCAGATAAGAAGTCTTTCTACAGAAAATGTGGGAGTACTGCCTTTGCGGAAGCAGGCTGGAATGCTGCCATCTGTGACTGCTCTCCGACTGCGCCTGGCTGTGAGTGGGGATGAGCAACACAGAAGACACCCACAGGACCAACGACGAGCAGCATGTTCCTCTTACCCTGGCATGTACGCCAAGGACACGCAGGGAGCTGGCCGAGGTTCACATCAGAGTAGCCCCTGGCTCCTAATACACAGACCCCACTGACTCCTCCCAGAGAAATACAGGCCAGACCACAGGCTCTGCAGGCACTTCCCACTACGGGTATCCTGGACATCTCCGGCAGTGCCAGCAAGTCCTCTTAGAGCTCCGACCTGGAACTGATGCTTCCAGAGGAAGAAATTCATTCAAATGGCAAAATTCACAAAGGCAAATGTTTTCTACAAACTTATGAAAAGTAAAAAACTACAAAGAACACACATGGCTCTCCAGCAAGCAGAGGAACAGTCTAATCTCTGTGCTGCTGATGCACAGTGGAAATCGCTCTGGCCCAACGCCGCCCTTACGTGTTCCTGCCTTGCAGCACCTGCACACCGAGCGGCCTCCTGTGCCTCTCAGCAAACACTCCTCCTGGCCTCGCTGCAGGACAGCTTCTTCCTCAATGTTAGGCAGCTGTTACAAAGAACGAGGCACGCCAGGAAAATACACCCACAGATAGATAGATAGATAGATAGATAGATAGATAGATAGATAGATAGATAGATAGATAGATGATAGATAGACAGATAAATAAAAAATTATAAAATGAAAGAAAATACACCCACAACGTTGTATGCAGACACATACAGAAGGCATTTGTGCAACGGCAGGTAAAGAAGAATCCTGATTGGCTCAAAAGATGCACGTGCATGGGTGTGTGTACATGGATGTATGTACGTGTGTGCACACGCGCACTGTGTTCAAAGTTGGAAGGCCATGCACCTCTATTAAGAGTGGGCACCTCTGCAAGTGCAATTTGGGAAGGAAGCAGTTCAACTTTTCTTTCCTATTTAAAGCTTTGTGTCTTTGAACTTTTTTTTTTTAACAAGCACACACTATCTACACAATTTTTAAAACTCCAAGAAAGATATATTTTACAAGCTTCCTACCCGAGGTGTGGGCCTCCGTTCATGAGGTCGAAGACCTGGGCGGGGTTTAGTAGCTGTTTGAATCTTCTGAGGAACTTCACACCCTGGTTGTCCCCACTTTTTGAATTGACGAAGACCAACAGTGGGCTTGTGCAAGAAGGAGGACAGCTGGCCTTCCAGAACCCTGGACGCAAGAACGAACAGAAGAAAATATATAGGCCACGGAAGACGCTGAGGGCACCACTGATGGAATCAGCAGCAGCAGACCCCCCCAAAGGACACACACCTGACACATGCACACCTGTAAGTCAGGAGGAGGTCAGTGAACAGTTCCCCACAGCCGGTCTCCATGTGTGAGGCCGGGAGCCCCATCCATCTGACCTCCACATTCACAAGCTGTCCAAATGCCACCTTTCTGCTGTCTTCTCTTCTTGATCTCCTCTGAGCCATGTACCCCACATCCCCCTTTCCACCAGTACTTGTCAACAGGTGCCACCATGTCCCAGCCAGACATGAGAGCAGCTGCAAGCCAGTGTGCCAGCATGTGCTAGGCAGAGATGGGGCACAGCTTCAATGGCTCATGACGGAGAAGGCCCCAGACCTGGGTTGCACTCAACAGCATCACCTCCACGTCAAGTGCCAGGCTCGGGTCTCAGGCCTGTCTAAGCCTGGGTGCCACTCAACAGCATCACCTCCACGTCAAGTGCCAGGCTTGGGTCTCTGGCCCATCTAAGGGCAATGCCGCAGCATCAGGGCGCCGTGTGCCGCTCTGTGCAACTCCTCCAGCACCCCCAACAGCTGTGCCTGACCTCTTGCTGACATCTCACCAAGATAACCAACTCCAGAGCTGGAGAAGAGAAAGTGCGTGGAGAAGGAAGCGTGTGGGCGTGCATGAGAAGGATAAGCATGTGTGGTACCCACCATCGGAGTCGATGCTGTTGAGAGCCGTGGGTGGGATGACTGACACTTTGCACAGGCCAAGTGGGCACTTGGTCAGCAAGGATTCTTTACACGATGTGTGAACCTGAAACAAGAGTCCCCGCGTCACCAAGGGTCACTGGCATCCTTCACACACACCAGAAATCCTCCTGCCCTGTAGCTGATGAGCTGGCCTCGGGGGAGGCAGGTGATTTCAGAGCTGGGCTGGCCTGCTACCATCAGGGGCCCTGGGCCGGCCTGCTATCATCGGGGGCCCTGGGCCCTGGCTTTGCACTTGAGAAGGCATAACACGGAAATACCCGGCAGGAGCCAGTCATGCTTCACACCGTGTGAGCTACAGTCCTGTACCCAACCTTCTGGCCCTTCGACCACAGCTACCTCAAACTTTCAGGACGAGGGTGAGGGCTCCTGGGGCCATGTGCCTCTATGTGTCCCCTGTGTCTTGGCTTCCTCCTGGCAGCCAGATGTGCTAGGCAAGTGACTGCAGCAGCCACTTCACAATGACCAACCCAGAAGCAAGTACATGGAGGCTCCCTGAGTCTCTCCCTGGAAGCACATCTCACCACCCAGAGCAACGATGAGACCCAGGACCTGGCAGGAGGCCACTGGGCTGCACCCCTTCCACATGGCTGTGCTCACTGTCAACACTGCCCAGAGCCAACGCCGCTCCAAATGGCCTCTACAGCTTTCCTGCTTCCACACCACAGAGGCGGCCAGCTCAATTGTCCCAGGTGACCCCTCACAACCCGGCTACAGTGCCGCATGATGCAGGGTGACATCTGTCATAACAATACACATCTGCATATGTCTAAAGACAGGAATAAATGCAAAAGGAAGAAATACCCCAAAACATAGCTAAGAAGGAGAATGACCCAACAGTTCAAAAACCCACTCTCAGCCGGAGGGGCCTCTGGGATTAATTTACCAGGATCCAGCAGATCATGCGGAGCCGCAAGGCCCGCATGGGCACGGTAGGGAGCAAGCCCTCCCCTCCAGCCCGGGCGCAGGGCCCACACTCACCATGGCCTTGCACCAGAGGCAGCGCCAGTCCTGCAGGCGCAGCACACTGCCACAGGTCTTGTCGCACACAGTGCACTTGGCGCTCACAGGTAGGTTTCCTTCCAACCACTGGTGGGGCATTGCAATCTGCAACCAAACAGAGGCACGCACTAGGGACGCTCCCAAGGTTCCACGTCCAGGGCAGCCAGGAAATGCTCGTTGTGAACTCAGCCAAGGCATTCTTCCCAGAACAAGCTCCTTCCCTGATGGCCAGTGAGGGAAGGGATGGCAGGGCCTGTGAAGTACCATCTACCCATAGCACCTGTCGGAGGTGCAAACAAGACTCACAGGGACAGGATGGAGCTCGGGGGTGCGACAACCACACGGAGACCGCATATAATTTCCACTGTGCCACCCAATGCCAGTGTGACCATCTCAAATGAAACAGTGGCAGGGAGGGCAGGGAGGAGGCTTGCATGGGGCCGTGCAGGTGGGGGACCCTGGCTCAGGGCCCCACAGGTGGTATTTCTTAACATACCCCATCTGCATCTTCAATGATGTCCTTCCCGATCGAGGCCAGTGTGGTCCACTTGCAGTTATTGGTTGCACGCACAGCACAGCGCTTGTGGGCCTTAAATTTGCACACTGTGAGAGAAGGGGCACATGAGCCTACAAGCTGTGTCTGTGCCAAGAGCTTCCCATGCTGAGCAGTGTTGTGAGAACCGTCCAGCTCCAGAAAAGTCAAGGAAGGAACCAATGGCACTCCCATTTTATAAGTGAACTACTGTGATACGCTTAGAGGCTGATGGCGGTGGGACCGGCAGCGGCAGGGAAAGCTGGGGATCAGTAAGCTTTCTGTAACAGGCCAGAGAGTGAGCAGTGGAGACTCTGCAGGTCGCAACCAGCTTCCGTCACCACTAATCAACTCTGTCATGTAGCACAAAAGCAGCCAGAGACAATGTTTTTTTACGGGCACAAATTTGAATTTCATGTAATTTTCATGTGTCACAAAATATGATTCTTCTTTTGATTTTTTCCAATCATTTAAAAATTTAAAAGCCAGTCTGAAGCGTGGGAGCTGTACAAAAACAGGCAGAGGCAGGGTGTGGTCCAGGCTATAGCTAACAAGCCCTGCTCTAGCCCACTGCTTTGCCACCAGACTGAATGCCCTTGCCCAAACCCTGCAGCCCTGACCTCTAAGTCTGTAACACACTTTCAGTCCATATATGCACAGCCCCGTTTCCCCGGCTGCAGAGTGTGAGACACAGGGGCCGACCACTGTTCCTTCAGTGCCTTTCCCTCTGTGTGCTCTAGATTTCCCATTTCTCCTTTTGCCACCCACCACTTCCCTTTTCACTCTGAGCACTATAAAAAATGATTTATCAAGGACTCTTCGGCAGGTAAAATAAACAAGAATGGCATCACAGAAATCGCTGTGCCCTTGACTGACCACATGGGTGACAACGGCTTATTTATGGTGACTGGGTTTGGATTTCCAAGGCTTTATCAAGTAAAATGCCAGGCCACCTTTCCTGACAGAATAACAAACGCACATCCGTACCCTCGCAGGACAGCCCGTGCGACGTGACCCCAGACAGAGCCTCACGGCACACATTGCAGTAGGTCGGCCTCGCGTGGGAACAGGCGTACCAATTGTGCATCCCTGAGAAGTGGTCCATGCTGTACTGGGTGGGCTGGAAGAACGAAACCAAGAGGGCAAAGATAAGACTTCTCTTTTAAATTGTTAAATGCAGTAACTTGGACAAGATTAAACAAAGTATCCAAGAGAGGAGAGGAGGAAGGTTTATAAAGGACAGGTCTGCTGAGAGGACAAGCAATAAGCTTTAATTGTATAAAGAACATGCTAAGAACGTGAGCTCCAGACTGTGGGTCCGCACGTGGGAGACACTCAGACAGCAGACACTGGGGTGAGGGAGGCAACAGGAGGCATTTGGAGAAGGGTATTTTCTTTTTTAACCTCAAAGTGCTCCCTGTTCTGCACAGTCTTTAATGCTGCAATCCAATCTTCCATTTCTTTTCTGTTATCAGCACACAAGATGAGCTTCCTGCATGGAGTTATGACCTAGAGAAAGAAACAGGTTCAACAGATCCATGAACAAAAGGCAAGTGCTGATAGCTATGAACGCTTTCTTAAAACCGACCTCACACAGACATAAAAATTACTATTTCATTCAGGTATTCACACTGAACCGAAAACAAAAATGGTTATCAAGGATCACTAAAAATTAAAAATAAGAATGATCTCAAACCAAAAAGACAGTGAAATTTAGTTTTTATATATTCATCAGCAATCAATTTAAGTGGACATTTATAATTGCTTGCTACTTAGACACAGTAGTAAACCCTAAGGAAATAAAAAAAGAAGTAACAACTGTTGTTTTCCGAACAGTGGAAGACACAGTTGCTACTGCTTCAGGGAGCCCACAGTGATGGCCAGCATTTGAACAGTTGAGGGAAGTCTGCTCAGCTGTAAGTCTGGAATACCATGAGCATGTATCACATATAAATGTTCTTGTAGAAAACCTCAATATCAGACTATGCAGGACCTGAACAACTTGACTGGAAATAAAGCTGTGACCTGGTAATAATCAACAAATGAAAATGATATCCATAATATATAAAGGGTTCTTATCAATCAGTAGAAAAAAAATCTTCCTGATATAAAAAAGGCTATGAACTTGCATTTCACAAAAGAAATACATCAACGTTCTTTTTAATTTTTTTTGTGGGTACATGGTAGGTATATGTATTTATGGGGCATATGAGACACTCTAATACAGGCACAGAATAATCACAGAGTAAATGGGGTATCCATTGCCTCAAGGATTTATCCTTTCTCTGTGTTATAAACAATCCAAGTATACTCTGAGTTATTTTTAAATGTACAGCAAATTATTAACTGTTGTCACCCCGTTGTGCTATCAAATACTAGATCTCGTTTATTCTAACTACATTTTTGTACCTATTAACCATCCCCCCAGCCCCACTACCCTTCCCAGCCTCTGGTAACCATCAATCTACTGCCTATCTCCATTAGTTCAACTGTTTTCTTTTTTTTTTTATTAGCTCCCACAAATAAGAACATGTGAAGTTTGTCTTTCTGTGCTTGGCTTACTTCACTTAACATTAAGGGTCCTCCTGTTCCATCCATGTTGTGGCAAATGACAGGATCTCATTCTTTTTCATGGCTAAATAGTACTCCATGTGTATATGTACATTTTCTTTATCCATGTGTCTGTTGATGAACACTTAGGTTGCTTCCAAATCTTGGCTATTGTGAATAGTGCTGCTATAATCACATGAGTGCAGACATCTCTTCGATACACTGATTTCCTTTCTCTTTGGTATATACCTAGCAGTGGGATTGCTGGATCACACGGTAATTGTATTTTGACTTTTTTGAGGAACCTCCAAACTGTTCTCCATGGTGGCTGTGCTAATTTACAATCCTACCAGCAGTGTACGGTTCCCTTTTCTCCACATCCTCGCCAGCATTTGTTATTGCCTGTCTTTTGGATAAAAGTCATTGTAACTGGGGTAAGACATTATCTCATTGTAATTTTTATTTGCATTTCTCTGATGATCAATGATATTGAGCACTTTTTCATATACCTACTTGCCATATGTATGTCTTCTTTTGAGAAATGTCTACTTTTCCTATTTTTTAACTGGATGATTAGATTTTTCCCCTTTTGAATTATTTGAGCTCTCGATTTATTCTGGTTATAATCCCTTGTCAGAGGAATAGTTTTCAATTTTTGTTTTGTTTTGTTTTGTTTTTTTGAGACGGAGCCTCACTCTGTCCCCCAGGCTGGTGTGCAGTGGCGCAATCTCCGCTCACTGCAAACTCCGCCTCTTGGGTTCATGCCATTCTCCTGCCTCAGCCTCCCGAGTAGCTGGGACTACAGGCGCCCGCCACCACACCCAGCTAATTTTTTGTATTTTTAGTAGAGACGAGGTTTCACTGTGTTAGCCAGGATGGTCACGATCTCCTGACCTCATGATCTGCCCACCTTGGCCTTCCAAAGTGCTGGGATTACAGGCGTGAGCAACCACGCCCGGCTAATTTTTTGTATTTTTAGTAGAGACGAGGTTTCACCATGTTAGCCAGGAGGGTCACAATCTCCTGACCTCATGATCCGCCCACCTTGGCCTCCCAAAGTGCTGGGATTACAGGCGTGAGCAACCACGCCTGGCTAATTTTTTGTATTTTTAATAGAGACGAGGTTTCACCGTGTTAGCCAGGATGGTCACGATCTCCTGACCTCGTGATCCGCCCACCTTGGCCTCCCAAAGTGCTGGGATTACAGGCATGAGCCACCACGCCTGGCAGTTTGCAAATATTTTCTCCCATTCTGTAGGCTGTCTCCTCACTTTGTTGACTGTTTCCTTTGCTGTGCAGGAACTTTTTAACTTGTTAAAAACAGGAGCTTTTTTTCACTGCTTTTTTCCTGCATTGCTAATGCAGGAGCTTTAACCATTTGTCCACTTTTTGCTTTGGTTGCCTGTGCTTGTGGGAATTACTCAAGAAACCTTTGCCCAGTCCAACGTCCTAGAAAGTTTCCCCAGTGTTTTCACAGTTTCATAGTTTGAGGTCTTAAAGTCTTTAATCCATTTTGATTTGATATTTGCATATGGCAATAAATGGGAGTCTAGTTTCATTCTTCTGCATATGGATAACCAGTTTTCCCAGCACCATTTATTGAAGAGACTGTCCTTTCCTCAGTATATGTTCTTGGTACGTTTGTCAAAAATGTGTTCACTGTGGATGTATGAATTTATTTCTGGGCTCTCTATTCTGTTCCATTGTTCTGTGTCTGTTTTTATGCCAGTACCACGCCGTTTGGGTTAGTATAGCTCTGTAGTATAATGTGAAGTCAGAAAATGTGATTCCTCCAATTTTTCATCAGGAGAATTTTGGCTATTCTGGGTCTTTTGGCTATTCTGGATCCATATAAATTTTAGAATTATTTTTTCCATTTCTGTGAAGAATGTCATTGGTATTTTAATAGGAATTGCATTGAATCTGTAGACTGCTTTGGGTAATACGAACATTTTCACAATGTTGATTCTTCCAGTCCATGAACGTGGAGTATCTTTCCATTTTTTGTGTGTTCTCTTCCATTTCTTGCATCAATGTTTTGTAGTATTCATTGTAGAAATCTCTCACTTCTTCAGTTAATTCTTAGGTATTTTATTTTATTTGCAACTACTGTAAATGGGATTACTTTCTTGATTTCTTTTGCAGATTGTGCACTGTTGGTACATACAGAAATGCTACTGAGTTTTGCATGTTGATTTTGGATCCTGCAACTCTACTGAATTTATCAGTTTTAATAGTTTTTTTGGTGGGGTCTTTAGGCTTTTCCAAATATAAGATCACATCATCTGCAAACAAGGATAATCTGACTTCTTCCTTTCCAATTTGGATACCCTTTATTTCTTTTTTTGTTGTTGTTTGATTGCTCTAGCTTGGACTTCCTCACAGAAGAAATACAAAATGGATAATAAGCAAGTAAAAAGCTGCTTAATCACTCTAGTCATCAGAGAATGCAAATGAAAATAGCAATCTATTTTTTGCCCATGGGATTGGCAAAGTTTTAAAAGATGACTATCCAGTACTGACAAACATGTGGGGGAAAAAGAGTTCTCCTCAAGTACTGACAGGAGGTAAACAGGGTATAAACTTTTTAGAGAAAAAATTGATAGTGTATATCAAAATTTTCAAGGGTCATAACCTTTTACTTAATTTTGTTTTATAATGATTATAATATAGCGATGGAGTTCCAAAGTCAAATCTACAAACAAGGTAGATTTAGAAATCTAGCTTTTATATCTCTCCCCTATCTTGGTTCCCATAGGCTGCTTTACCAAAAAAGAGAGAGAGAAAGTAAGGTTTCTCCTTCCATTTTTAAGATACATGCAAACATGTATATCACATTGTCCCTTTTGTCAACAGTAGCATGGACACTTTTCTCCACCTTTGCCTTTCCATTTAATTACATATCCCGGCCATCACTCCTTAGCAATATCCAGGGCTTCCTCATTCTTTCAACAGTGGCACAGTACTCCACTGTATAGGACTCAGCCAGCGCCCTATGGATGGGAATTTTGTGCTGTTTAAAATTCTTCTGCGATTTCTCATAGTGTTGCCGTGAATTATCTTTACAAGCATCTTTTCCTGTTTTTACCAGTGTATCTCTGGGGTAAATTCCTAGAAGTAGAATTGCCCTGACAAAGAGTAAATGCACATGTAATTTTGCTAGCTATTGCCAAATTATTCCCACAGGGGTTGTACCATTTTGCATTCTCACCAACAGTGTTAGGAAAATGCTTGCTTCCCCATGGATTCAAAAACAAAATATGTTATTTAACTTTTAGATTTCGGCACATCTCATAGCTTTAATTTACATTAAGAAGACCCAATTTAGGAATACCCAATTTAAATTATTAAATGACCATGTTTCTGGCTCAGAAACCATAGAAAGTGCTTTACAGGGAGATTCTCCAGTGACTAAGTTTCACCGCAGAGGGGATAAATGGAACTGGGTCGCCACTGCATGGTTCGCTTCTTCTTCCACATATCCTGGGTTGGTGGGAGAAGAACACCTGGGGCCGGGCTGGGCGTGGGAAGCAGCAGAGCTGGGAGAGAGTGAGGGCGAAGGAGAGACGGCAAAGGCAGGCCCGGAGGGGCCGTCTGCCTTCTGCCCTGCTGCTGTTCAAGCTTGAGAGCACCACAAACAGCCCCTCTCCCTCCAGAGGACACCCCCCGGCTCAGCAGATGCTGGCTAGGTGTCTCCTCTAGACTGGGGATTCTAACAACATGGTGAGCAAAGTTCCTCCCCTCACAGAACTCACAGCGTGGAGAGGCAGGCAGATAACTATTTCCCACACTGACTCAGCCATGAAGACGACAAAGTGGGCCCTGAGAGTGGGACTCAGGGAGTCTCTGGACAGCCACTGAGGGACGGTCATGGGAGACTGGGAGCTGCCAAGGCCGAGTGGGTGCATGTCATCGGCACCGTCCCTGTCTACCTATCAAGTCTGAGCACACGTCCCGAACTGTTCACCCTGGGTGAGTTTTAATATTTGAACACTTTTGTCAGCATAGTAAATATAGTAAGAGAAAGATAATATACCTTACTGTGCATAACTCGGGGATTATATTAGGAGTCATGCAACAGGATATTTATAGAAGACAACAAGGAGATGTTTTAGGTCCTGAGTCTACTACTCCCACGGCAGCCTTTACGAGCTGAAGTGCCAACTTTGCTCCAGAACTCAGCCTCAGCGTTTGAGAAGATGGATCTTTGGGCCCACCTGACCCACACACTGAAGGAGAGGGTGTACTAGAATTGCTTTGTGGGTATTGGGCACTACTAGACAGCAAATTATAGACAAAAGCATTAGGTTTAAAGACAGTGAGTTAAGATACAAGTGACCAATGGCATCATTGCCTTCACCTGTGCTGTTGTTTGCAGACAATAAACACTGAGCAACAGATAAATGTCAGAGAACCTGGGTTTTGGCTTCTAAGGAAAAAACAGAACAACAACAACAACAACAAAAAAAAACCTCTTATTTGTGCCTGTTCTGTTGTGAAGAAGCCTGAGAGAGACCCAGATCTGAATCCTACCTGGCCACTGATAAATTTGCGAAATGGGGGCAGACCCTCTTTGCTTCTCGTCAAGAAAAGTGATGCTAGAAGCAACCTGCAGGGCTGTGGTGGGACTGAACAGGACCAAATGTGCACAGGGCCTGGCACATTCCCTGAGTCTGAAGCCCTTGCTAGCTGTGTAACTTAGAGCAGGTGCTTCTCCGCCCTGTGCCTCCACTGCCCCATCTGAAAACCGGAGCTATTAAGAGCAGTGTCGCATCCTAGCCTTGTTGTTGTGAGGTGCCAGTTGGTGCAACCTGATAATGTTCTGGGCACTGTCACTATCGGTGCTACCTTGGGGTCGAAGCCCTCAGCTTTGATGTCATCATTTGACACTGCTGAGACCCCTTTCCCATGTGAGCATCTTTCTTAAGACTGCTCTGGTATCAGTGGTCCACTCTCCCAAACCACAAGAAATGTCACAGGAGAGTCCCACCAAATAAGTCAGAATCCATCCTTCTTAGCTGCCCACAGAGGGGACACAACTGGGCCTGCCTTCTCTATGTCGGTCCCCAGCTGCACACAGGAGATTTGCCATGACTCACACTTCCATGCCATGCCTCCATCTTCTCAGCACACCCCTCCTGGCGAGCTCCAGCCCCCACACCAACCAGCAGGCACCCCTTAGGCAAGGGCCCACCTCCTCCTCCTCTGGCTCCCCTCCTACTCCTGTTCCCCTAACACCAGCCACAGCCCAACCTCTGGTAGGGGAGGGTGAGTCTCTTCGGGAGGCTGATTCTGGGGGATGTTCTGAGCAGCACTTCCTATTCAATCCCTTGATTTGGGAGACAGCATGGGTAGGAAGGACCCAGGCGAGAAAGCAGGGGCTAGATACAGGCCCTCAGGCTATGCCTTCCTGGCTGCTCACCCTGCCCACCAGGGCAGGTGGCAGGGTGCAGGGAGATGCTCTAAGGAATACTAAGAGCATCCCTATGTCTGGACTGCAGCCAGTATCATAACTACTGGCAACCAAGGAATGGTGTAAAAAAGCTGAAACTATCTCCAAAATCCAGCCTTCACAAAGAAAAGTCTTTGGAGACTAAAAGATGGCTCATATTTTTCAAGCAAATGTATTAAATAAGAAACAGTTCACACCCCTGAATCAACTTAAAAGATAATTGCAAATCAGAAGCAGGGCAATAAGGCTGGGCGCAGTGGCTTACGCCTATAATCTCAGCACTTTGGGAGGCCGAGGCAGGTAGATCACTTGAGGTTAGGAGTTCGAGACCAGCCTGGCCAACATGGTAAAACTCCATCTCTAACTAAAAATACAAAAAATAGCTGGACGTGGTGGCATGTACCTGTAATCCCAGCTACTTGGGAGGCTGAGTTGGGAGGATCACTTGAACCTGGGAGGCGGAGGTTGCAGTGAGCCAAGATTGCACCACTGCACTCCAGCCTGGGTGACAGAGTGAGACCCTGTCTCAAAAAAAAAAAAAAAAAAAAAGCAGGGCAATAAACTGAACTCAACAGGACAAATGAATGACATCCCAGGGATTCAAAAGGCCAGGCTGCAGGACGTCCCACCAAGAGAAGGAGCAGAACTGCATCAGAGGTGACTGCATGGAAACCTACACACTGGAGAGAGAAAATATCCTCAGATCTTGATGCTTGATGACTGGAGAAAGAAACGTGATGTCACAGAGGAGGAGTGGATAAAATGGTGGATGCATTTCTCACAGAATCCTGAGGCAGGCTAGAACAGCCATAGACAGATGTGAATTTTTACACACCTGCTGGAATTCTCTTGAGGGTAACAGAACTTAAAAATCAGTAAGAGCAGACAAACTAATAGTAAAATGGACGAAAGACTTGAATAGCTATTTCACAAATGGCCAATAAAGCACATGACCCGGTGCTCAATTTGATTAGTCATCAGGGAAGTACAAATTAAAGCTACAGGGTGATGCATCTCTCACAATGGCTGAGCTGTAACAGACAGTATCAAGTGCTGGTGACAGTGCAATTTGGTGCAACTACTTCAGAAAACAGCTGAACTTGTATATACCCTGTGACTCAGCAATTCCACCCACGCATCCCACAGAAATGCAAACGCATACCTTCCTCATCAAAGCATACGAGAATGTTCATAGCATCACTACTCTAAACAGGCCTACAGTGAATACACTGTAGTATACTCATACATTGGGAGACAAGCAATAATGTAATGAATCTTACAACAGCGAAAGAAATAAGCCTGACACAAGACGACATATACTCTGTGTAATTTCCTTATGCATTACATAAAGTTAAAAAAACAGACATAACTAATCTATGGTATTAGATGCTAGCTTCTCCTAGCAGCTGCTTTGACAGGAGGGGCACACAGGAGGGATTCCGGGGGCTGCAGTGTTCTCCGTGGTCGGGAACATGCATCAAGCTGTGCGTCTGTAATGAGTACACTCCTCCATGTGAATGCTGCACCTCAGTCAAAAAGGATACAGAACTTGGGATTTCTCAAAAACACATAACCACATAACTCAAAAGAAAAGTGTGCAGAGCTGCCCAGACTCCTGCATAAAATCTGGTTAGAAAATAACTGTACAAGAGACAGGGAGAGAAAGGTGGAAACATGAATATGAATATGAAATATGAAGCATGAATATGAGAGTCTGGCAGCACTATGTTAAAACAGTGTTAGAAATGGATTTTCAACGTTTATGAAAAAACGCTGTCTTATAAGGCAAATGCAAGTTAAAATTAGGAGATCCCATTTTTTAACCTACCAGATTCACAGAGATCAAATGTTTTATAATATGGTCTACTGATTCTCATACACTGGGGCAAAAATTAATACAACCTCTATGGAAACCATTTGGTAAAATCTGTCAGACTTGAAAATATACACCTGTGTCTCAACAACCATGCTTCTATAAATTTATCCTCTCCTGTATCTTCATGAGAAATCACATACTGTATATACAAGGTTATTTGTGGCGGCATTCACTATAAAGACAAAATATTTGAAACCAAACAAATAGTGATCAATATAAGGCTGGTAGAGACTGGCTACAGTAATGACAGTACATTCATATAACAGAAAACTATGCAGCCACTAAAACCCCTGAAGCTACTCTACATGTTCTTATATGGAACAACCTCTAAGACACACTGTTAATAGATAAAAGCCAATTGCAGGAAGAGTATGGGTACAGAGAAAACACTAATATTAGTCACCTCTAACTGAGAGGACCTCTGAGTGGCTGGGAAACACTTTATATCTTTTTAGCCTTAAGATTTCTGTACCACTTGCATGTGTTGCCAATCCAAAAATGAGCTATTAAAAAAGAATAAAGTCGGCCGGGCACAGTGGCTCACACCTGTAATCCCAGCACTTTGGGAGGCTGAGGCGGGCAAATCACGAGGTCAGGAGATCGAGACCATCCTGGCTAACACAGTGAAACCCTGTCTCTATTAAAAATACAAAAAAATTAGCCAGGCGTGGTGGCGGGCGCCTGTGGTCCCAGCTACTCAGGAGGCTGAGGCAGGAGAATGGCGTGAACCCGGCAGGTGGAATTTGCAGTGAGCCAAGATTACGCCACTGCACTCCAGCCTGGGCGACAGGGTGTGACTCCATCTTAAAAATAAATAAATAAATAAAAATAAAGTCTTACGTTTATATGTTAAGGATTAAAAAAAAAAGCTTTAAAATTCTATTTGAAAGAACAATTTTGGCTTCTATTCTTGATTCAAGTACATGATTTTCCAAGAGAAATGAGAAAATACCTTGCTACTCTAAATGAGTTGCCAAGCCAGACAAAATGTCCTCCCATGTCCTGGGAAGAATTAGCCCAGGGGGTTATTAAACCGCAGGGAGTGATCTCTGAGAAATCATGGTGAAAAAGGAGACATACTGGAGACATGCAGACGTGATTTCTCAAATGGAAAAGAGGGTGGACTCTGGCTTACACACACATGGCAGCTGATAGAACAAGGGACAGTTTGGCTAATATGGGCGAGGCACAAAGAAGGTCTCGGCAATCCACCGCGTGTTTTCCAGGTTATCTGCTCCATTCAGCTTCTCCACAACCTGACGAACCCGGCTGAGGGGCCTGCTCACAGTCCCACAGCAAATGAGCTGATGTGGCCAGGACACCAGGCAGGGGGGCTCCAGGCGGAGCCCTGGACCTCCATCCCGCAGCCTCTCCTCATCTGGGTGGTGCCTCACACCAGGGCCAGTGGGCCGGAGGCAGGGAAGCAACTGGCACTCACCACGAGCTCTCCCAAGCTCACTCAGTACAAGCGGTGTCTGGCACATTTCATTTCCGTTTTGGCAGGGTGACTGGCTTGGAGGATCAGCACAAGGACGATACCAACATCTCATTAAGTCATCTGACTAGTTGTCCCTCCCACTCTGACCAGGTTTCCCAAGAGTTCAAAATAGAAGGTGGAGAAATAAGATCTGGAGGATAATGACAAAGGCAGTTCACTGATTGACATCAGGCTGAATCACAGCACCCAAATGGCTATGTCCTGTCCAACCATTTCTAACCATGAATTTGGACATGCAGGGATCTGGACGTGGATCTCATTCATAAATGACACTTTAAATGACAAAAAAGATCAAAGTCCAGCAAACTGTGTCACGCTGAAACCACAGGCCAAACCAAAAGGGCCTAAGAGTAATTAATGTGAGGCCCGGGGACCACAACGGTCCAACGGTCATGACGAGCGAGCAGGGATGGGTAGAGGCACAACATTCTGAATGGACCCCCTCTTCACTTTTCACGGGTCCAAATTCAGATGACAGGGAGGTACTTTTCCCCACTCCTCTCACTGAGAACTGAAAACCATGGGCATCAGAAAATCAACACAAAAAGACCCTGAAAGGTAGAGAGAAGATGGCAGCCTGACAAGGGTCTTGTCCAAAGGGATGACACTGTGGTGGCCCTCTGGGTTTTCTTTTTACCTGGTATACCCTAGACTTGGAGCTAAAGAAGCAGCAGCCGAAAACAGTGATGGATACTGGGGGGGTGGGTGGAAAGCCCCAACAAAAGCCTGCTCTTCCAGGCCAAGGATCCAGGAAGGGGGCAGTCAGACAAGACAGAAACTGACAACGGCAGTAACACCCACCTTACTCCAGCCAGCGCCACAAGAAAAAACCATGCCCACCCCACTCCCAGGCCGCAGCTAGGCACTCCAGCACTCACCTAACAGAGTATCCAGAGGAGGCCAAGCTGAGAGCCGGGATGTCTCCTATACCACCTGGAAATGAGTCCTCACCCCCGACAGCACAAGAGGATATGCAAGCGGCAAATAAGCACACAGAAGATACTCAACATCCTTAGCCATCAGAGAAACACACTGAAACCACAACCAGAGAGCCCTACGCACCTATCACGATGGCTACAACAGAAACTAGTGCCAACACCACCTGCTGGAGAGAATATGGAGAAAGTGGATCTTACTGTTGGGTGGGATGTAAAACATTACGGCCACTCTGCAAAACGGTTTGGCAGTTTCTTAAAAAACCAAGCATGTGACTAGCATATGACCCAGCAATTACACTCTTCAGCATTTATCCCAGAGAAATGGAGATTCATGTTTGCACCGAAACCTACCCAGGAATGTTTACAGCAGCTTTATTCATGATCACCAAAAGCTGGAAACTATTCGGATGCCCTTCAGGGGGTAAATGATTAACAAACTGTGGTACACCCGTGGAATACTACTCAGTAATAAAAAGGAACAACCACTGATAAGACTCATCAACCTCAATGAGGCTCCAGGGAATTACGCTGAGTGAAAAATCCAACCCCAAAGGTTACATACTATAAGATTCCATTTATATCACATCTTGAAAAGACCAAATTATAGAAATGGAGACCAGATGAGTGTTTGCCAGGGGTTACAGAGGGACATGTGTGAGGCTGTAAAAGGGCACAAGGAAAATCTCTGCGGCTTGGAGGCTACCCATCTCCACTGTAACGAGGTTAGTATCCTGGGTGTGACATTGTACTGGAGTTGTGCAAGAGGTTACCACTGCATGCAACTGGGTAAAGGGTACAAAGAATCTCAAAATAAAAGCTTTAATTAAAAATAAGTAACCACCATCAACAATATTTAAGTTTAAACTGGGAAAACCAAGGAGTAACTCCAGAACAATGCTGTGTTTCTTAAGGACAAGGGCGTATGTGGGCAGCGCAAGTTAAAAGTGTAATCTTATCTAAAGTCCTGTATTTGTAGTTAGTGCAACCCATGAAACATCTGACGCCAAGAAAATATTATGTGGACACAGCCGACACACCTTTGGTACACATTCTCAAAGAAAAGGACCAGGTCCTCTATGTCAGGAGGGGTGGGTAGAAATGCCAGCTGCCCCGCCTGTCCCTGCGCCTGAGTCCAAGCACACGCAGGAGTGTCATGGACCACGCCCTCCGGTTGAGCTGCTCATTTTGCTATGGGCTCTGACACGTGGCCTGGGTACTTGAGCCTGCACAAGGCAGGGCCCTGGAAATGGAAGGTTTCATTTCTAAACACAACAGTGCTTGAGGAATCAGTGGAGCTATGTAACCTGAGGAGCTCAGCCATGAAGAGAGGATGTCAGAATCGCAGGCTCCTGCCCTCAAACAGTAGTGCACTTCCTGGGTGGGGCGGGCCAGCCCAGCACCCACTACGGCAATACCAATGTATGCTCTGGGAGTGGCCGAGATGGTGCCAAGACAAGGCCCCAAAAGAAGCTGCCTCTGCAGCCCCACAGCCCACTGGCCATGCCCCTCGGGGGTCCTACTACACACTTAGGGGGCCTCAAGGTCCTTCTGCCACTGCCTCCCAGAGACCAGTAATTGTCCCATCCCCCCAACCTCCCAAGTCAGAAACTGCTCCCTCAACTTCACCTCCTCTCTCCTGTGCTATCTTCATCATTGGGCTCCAAATTCTTTCTTTCTTCCTCAGAAATAAATTCAGGCAGTCTTTCACTTGAGCAAACAGAAAAGATTCCTGCTCCTGCGGAAGTTACATTTGAATGCAGGCAGTAAATTAAAGACTTATTAAAGAAGTGAATTACACAGCATGGAGAGTAGTAGCTGGTGACAAGCCCTATGGAAAAACGGGAGACCAGAAAAGAGAGGTCTGGGGGCCAGGGGACTCCACAGCAAAAACGGGGAGGAGGCGAGGAAGGAGCCAGAGACTGGAAGGAAGCAAGGAAGGAGGTGGGAAGGGCTGAGCAGAAGCAGGCGCGTGGTGCGTGGCTGGGGCTGGCATCAGGAAGGGGGCCAGGGGCCAACCTGCAAGCATCAGGACCACAGAGGGCCATGCAGGTGTAAGAACTTTGGCTTTTACTCCACGTAAAATAAGAAGCCATGCAAGCTCAAGTTTTGAAAGCATCATTCTGGTTGCTTTATTGAAAGCTGACAGTAAGATGCAGGAAAGAAGGCAGGAAACCTTTTGGGAGGCTCCTCAGTAACCCCATCACGAGATGATGGTGAGGAGAGTGGGCAGGCTCTGGATGTGCTCTGAGGACAGCAGACGGGACAGGGTGAGACAGAGAGGAGTCCACAGTGACCTCCGAGCAGCTGGCTGGGTGCTGCTCCCATCCCAGGAAGGGGACACTGTGGGTGGAAGCAAGCTTTACAGCTGGGGTGGCGGCAGGGCCAGCAGGTCCGTGTGGACATGCTGAGGGCACGGTGTCGATTAAAGTCTCAGCAATGTCCAATGTCTTATCTCACTCATGAGGTCTTCATCTTGCCCTCAGTTTGGTATGTTAAAAAAGAAAAACTTAAAGACACTATAGAAATGAGATCACTCATACGTGACCACTGCTGCTGATAGTTCTGGAGGTAATTTGACGATCACCAGTCAAGCTGAAGATGCACACACCTGGCAATTCTATCCTTAGAAACACATTCTAGAGAAACTCTTGCCCATGTGCCAAGAAGACGAAGATAAGCATATTCACAGCAGCACTACTGATCACAGGGAATCTGGGAAAGTGTACGTCCACAACAGGACGTCTTAGGTACTGGAACACTACAGAGGCCACGAAAACCAGCATCGTGGGCCTCAACTCAGGCCGCGCCTGTCAGGAGCTCTGCGGTTCATGCCTCGTTCCCCAGAAATTCTGATTTAACTCCAGGAATCAGGAATCAGTTGTATTAAACCTTGAACCATTTAACTAAAGCTAGATGTAGCCACAGGGATAAATCCAGGAAGCGTAATGCTGTGGCTGTCCAGTCTGATAACATTTATTCGACATTTCAGAACCAGTTCAACAATGCTATATACTGTTTATGCCTACACACACTTATCAAAAAAGTATATAAACATGAAAACAAATGACAAACACCAAAGTTAGGATGCCCCCAGGGAAGGGGGAGCAGGAAGAAACGAGGATAGGAAAGAGAATTCCAAGTGCCTCTGTTATATCTATTATGTTTATTTCTCAGGCTGGAAGCAGTCATAGCTGGGTTCATGTGTTACTTTTTGAATGTTTTAAATGTTTTGGCACAAAAATATGCTAACATGCCCAAGCCAGAACTAGAGACACACACAATATAGCCATGCCCTATATTTGTAGTTTAGCCATACGGAAGGTTAACAGGTCAGCCTGAAACCATGCCAGTAGCCAGACTCTGCTGAGGGAACTGGGGGAGGGGAATCTCCTGAGCGCCTGAGCCTGGAATTCACTCCTTTACCATCCCAACCCCTTTATGCAGGGTTCCCAGGGCTTTTATACACCCCACCAGGCCCCTGCCGACTGCCACGCGTCTCATGGCAGACACAACTGTTCCTAATTTGTCTCTCAAATTTCTCATCCCAGAGTCAATTCCTGAATCCCAAATAGCTCGAGTGTCTGAAAACAAGGTGGATGCTTCATGAAGGGAGGAAAGGGAGGTCCTGGCGGGACCACTCAGAAGGGAGCTTTTAGAGGAGAACAGCAAAAACACCTTCCCTCCCAACACACACCCCTCCACAAACCACAAACCAACATCACACCCTAGAAACCTCAAAGCACACAGGGACAGGTCCTGCACCGTCGACAGACAAGGTGAAAATCCACCCACACCCAAAGCAGAACAAATCTGGGCTCTGTAGTGCTTGCTTTGGGGGACTGGAGGGAAATTTTCCCGTGACAAAGCTCAGACTGTAGGAATTCACCACACACAAGCCTCTTCCACCTGCAGCTTTCTGTCTGGCCAGGTGAGAACCACAGAATGTTTCTAGCACATGAGTAAAGTCACACCACAAAGCCTATACCTTAAAAATTCCAGCCTTCCATTTCTAAGACATACAAGCCAAGAAGCAACCCTCTGGAGCATCTTACAAGGAAGCTCAATTCCTTCCGCTTAATTCCAAACCCTGACCTTGAACTCACCACCCAACAGCCTCCCAGTATGATGGCACACTGTCCCCTGGGGCTCTTACCTGCTGCCCTTCCTGCTCAGAACAGTTTCCAGCTGCTCCACGTGTATCAAAATTGAAGTGACCCAGCACAAACAAAAACTGGGTGTTAAAGTCAATGGGCAAGAGCCTACAGATTACGAAGTAGAGCAGGAACGCTGGAGCAGCAAATCAGTACCGTGCAATCAGCCACCAACCAAAAGAGGGGCAAAGGGACGGTGCTGGGGGCAGGATGAGGCACTCGGAAACACTCTGCTAAATATAGCTCCTGGGCTGCAGCGCTTGGAAAGGTGGCCGAGAATAAGCATCTGGCGCCCTGGGTCATTTCTGTCACTTCCTGTTACTCACATCCTGCTGTTCCGATGCTGCCCGAATCCTGGATTCCCCGTACACAATTCCCTACCTGGAAGCCCCCAGAGACAGACCATTCAAAGCAGCTGGGATGTGCGTAGACAACAGACTTCCTCACAGAGCACCACACAAAACACAAAAATAGACACCACCACACAAACAAGCTCTTGGAGTTCCCCATATAGAAAGAGCCTGAGTGCCCAGGTCCGGGTGAGCTCCGCACAGCACTGTGTCAGACCCCGCCCAGCCCACCAGCTCTGCACGCTGCCCTGTCTGCAACCTAAAAGGGAACGTGGGCCCAAACAGCTGTCATGCACTTCCTCTCCTGGGCTGCATCTCACCTGCAGCCTCAGAGCAGCTTTGGGGGGAAGGAGGGGGTCCCCAGCATGACAACTGACAGGTGCCACCCACAGCACAGTCAGAGCAAGGCATCCTCCATCTGACCCACTCCTGCCTCCCCAGGAACTCAGGAAGCCCAGGTATGGAGCAAAGCCAACTTGGCAAGAAGTTAAAGTCACATGTAACCTACCAGAAGATAGGTTGTTTTAATTTATTTATTTTTTTAGAAACCCATAAAGTAAAATGAAGCAAAAAGTGAAAGTTCTACTTAAAAATGAAACGTGACAGAAATATTGTGTTACTTACCTATTCACTATTTCAACAGTACTTCATTAAGCTTGAGTTATGTTCAACTGTGAGAAAACTAGAGATTGGGGACTGCCATGGTTGGCGGGGGGGCCTCTGGCAGGAAGGGAATATTATTACCCATGAAAGGCACCCCAGATGTAGAGCTGGTGCCCCAACATGGGCTGGCCATAGTCAACCAGCATGCAGAAGGCAAAATACAAACAAATGTGGTTTCAATAGCAAAACGCTGGCAGCACCTCAGTCTCCAGACAGGGGGCTGGTGAAGTAAGCTCCAACATGCTCACACAATGGTATGTCACAGGCCCATAGTCATGGACACAGAAAGATGTTCATGAAGTAATAAGTTTTAAAAGCAGGTCATAAACTAGTCTGTATAAATAATCCAAATTTTTGTAAAACTAAAGTGTATTTAATAATATTCACAGAAAAAGGCCCCATAACTATCTGTCCATATCAGGGTTTCTCAACCTCAGCACTATTGACATTTTGAGCCAAATAATTCTTTGTTGTGAGGCTGTCGCACAACACTGTTGTGCCTCTGGGGACACTGAGCAGCTTCCCTGGACTTTACCAACTAGGTGTCAGCAGCACGTACCCCTGCTCTCCATACCCACAACTGTGACAAACCAGTGTGGAGTCCCCAAATGTCCTCTTCAGGCCAATCTCACCTCCCCCACTGCCTTATCCCTACCCATGTTTGAGAATCGCAGGTCTATATAATAGTGTTTAATCTAGAATCTCAGTGATAAGACTTTTGAGTGGTTTTTGTTTGTTTGGGTTATCTGCACTTAATTATCTATAATGATACATGTTATTTGTATTAAAAGGGGAATTAAAAAGAATCTTAGCATCAGGAAAACCTTCCAGGTATTTTTGCCATAATGCAATTTTTGAGTTCCTAAAAACCCTCATACTCTACAAAAGGGCACAATAAAAGTAAAAAGAAGTCCCATGGGAATAGGTAAGCTGGGGCAGGCCACTGAGAACTTATGCAAATTTGTAACCAAGCATCAAGGGAACAACAGCAATATTAAATGTTTTTAAATGAACAAATTTTACCACATAAACACTACAGTAAATACAGAACTGCACCTTTTAAAAAATGCACAAGGGGGGCTAGGCGCAGGGGCTCATGACTGTAATCCCAGCCCTCTGGGAGGCTGAGGTGGGCAAATCACCTGAGATCAGGAGTTCAAGACCAGTCTGGCCAACATGGTGAAATCCCATCTCTACTAAAAATACAAAAATTAGCCAGGCGTGGTGGCGGGTGCCTCTAGTCCCAGCTACTCAGGAGGCTGAGGAGGGAGAATCAGTTGAACCCAGGAGGCAGAGGTTGCAATGAGCTGTGATCGCACAACTGCACTCCAGCCTGGATGACAGAGCAAGACTGTCTCAAAAAAATAAAAAATAAAAAAATGCACACAGGAACTAAGACACAGTAAGCAATTCCAAGGCAGAGCTTGCGGCTGCAATGCACACCGTAGCAGGAAGGTGGGAGAAGTAAGACCAGAAGCTTCATGTCCAGGGCTGTGCTCCTCCTGGGCTGACTGCATCCTGCGTTAGTGACCTTGGCTTTCAGTAGCTGGGCTGCTGGACTTCTCGCTAGAGAAACAAACCACAGCAGGAGGGCAGAGTACCTGCATCCTTCAGCTACTGAACAGAAGAAACAAGGAGCTGAAAGACCTCGGAGTCCTGGTGACAAGGAAAGGCAAACCAAAGGTCCCTGGTAGTAAGTCTGGAAGGGATGGGGTGGAGGGAGAGAAACGGGAATGCTTTGGCATTCTTAAGTCTGACAGCCACCACGCTGTCATAATTTATCCATTTTTCTCTGGGATTAACTAATGGTAAATCTGCATATACCCAAAGGCGTCTATAGTAACACTGTAGTTAACAAGTAAGTATCAAGAGGAAAGTAACAAGATGAGAAGGAAAAAGAGTTTCATAAGCTACCCGAAGCCCTTGACACTACCATCCACTTTTTTGGTCACTGAAGGTCAACCTGACTAAGCAATACAATTTCCCAGAGCAAGGTGGCCAAGGCAGAACAATCACATCTGCTGGCTGGGCCAGGTGTCACCCTTAGGACAAAGTCTTGTCCACACCTTTTCAAATGAATTGATTCAAGCCTGTTTGTGTGTTCAATACTTAGAGTGGTTAAGTAAACCACAGAATGGCTACCACACAGAAAACAAAGCCACACGAGGAGGGAAAAACAAGTAATTTATAAAAGGGCATATTTATACTGTACTCTTAAAAATGGTTAAGATGCTAAATTTTATGTTATGTGTATTCTACCACAATAAAACAGTATTCTACCACAATAAAACATAAATGAGGGAAAGGGGGACATACTGATGTCATCGTATTGTGTTTAAAAAAGGCAGGACACAAGCAGCCGGGAAAACTGGAGGTTCACACATCAAGTGGTAGGACTGAGAGATTCTTTTTTTTCTTTTCCCTCTGGTTTTCTCTATTTTCCAAATTGTCTACAGTAAAAGGTGTCTTTAAATTTATCTATGCCTGGTTGGGCGCAGCAGCTCATGCCTGCCAATCAGTGCTTTGGGAGGCCAAAGCAGGAGGATCCCTTGAGCCCAGGTGTTCAAGACCAGCCTGGGCAACACAGTGAGACCCTGTTTCTACAAAAAAAATTTATAAATTAGCTGGGAATGGTGGTGCCTGCCTGTGGTCCCAGCTACTCAGTAGGCTAAGGTGCGGGAATCACTTGAGCCCAGGAGGTCAAAGCTGCAATGAACCTTGATCACGCCATTGCACTTCAGACAGGGCGACAGAGTGAAACCTCATCTCTAATTAATTAATTAATGTATCTATGCCTTTTCAAATTTATCTATGCCTTAATCTACGCCTATTTCCTACAAAAATCAAGATCAGAGATAATTACTCCCATTTGCCTATACAACCTCCTTCATCCATTGACCTGCTATCCCAATGGCCTCTGGCAGGGCCTAGCTAAAATACTGGGTCTCCAACCACCCCTGCAGCTAGAGACAGCAATGGAGGTGAAGGAGCTGACATCACCGGGGAGAGTGGTTCCAGGAAAGCTCTTTGAGGGAGATGACTCAGCTGGCAGCCACCCTGATGGCACTTGCTGCAGGCATCTCATAACCAAGATGCCCTACCCTAACGTACCCTACTCCTATTTCACATGGAAAATTAAAATAGAGTTTCTTTTGTGGGCTAAGGAGTCCCATGTCCTCCAACTTTTCTGTGCTTTAGTCTGAAAGCTCAGCTGTCTGGGAAAACAGCCATGTCTCCTGACAAGGTCTAACTGTTACCTGTGTGAGGGTGCTCTCAAGTTTTGCTCTTGGCAAAGAACTAGGCCAGCAGGGACAGAGTCCAAAGTGTGGGTCCAGCATGTACCTGTAGTCTCAGCTACTCGGAAGGCCAAGGCAAGAGGATTGCTTGAACTCAGGATCTCCAGACCGGCCCAGGCAACACAGCAAGACCCCGTCTCTAAAAAATACCCACACACACAAAGAATGGGCCCTTCCAGCCCCTTACCAACTCCCTCAGACTGGAAGGTCAGGATGCCAAATCAGCCCCAGGTCAGTGTACAGACAAAAATGGTTCACTGCTCACTCTGAAAAGAGATGGCCTCATTCCCCAGCCAATCCACCTGCAGGATGGAAGGGCAGTCATCTTCTCTCCCCCAAAACTAACTCTAAGGAAAACATCTATAAACACACTACTATTGCACTTCTTGAAAAAACATACCTGAAACAACCTGAAGCTTTCAATTCTTCTAATTGTGAAGCAAAAGTACAGGACCGCAGAGACAAGGTCCTGTACCACAGGACCCAGGACCACGATACCTGAGACATTTCTCTTCCAAGTGTCACAGTCATCACATTGTAATGTCAGGAGCTGGGGCCACAAGACAGTTGGCCAAGTCACCTCATCCAAGGCATGCCGTGGTCTCCCCCTGGAGGGAGGGATGGAGTGCCTGCCTGGTGACCCTGTGGTCTGGCAGAGCTGTGTTTGCTATCACATGAACTCAGCACTCTGCTTAACAGGAGAGACTACAGGTCCATGAGCGGCACAGCTGTTGTTCTAAGTTTCCCAGCTTTGATAAGGGAGCCCCTGATTCCCAAGCCCAACCTCTACGGCTGCTGCTGGTGCACAAAGACCCAGTCCCCTTAGGATGCAAAGGATAAGTGGGCACAGACTCCTTCCAGATGCTGGGGACCTGAATGCAGTCTGTAGCCACAGCAGTCATGTCCTGAAAGAGAGAGGCCCAGTCCAAACTACCCTGTTCTTTTTTAACTCCCTGGCTGATTCATGTGTTTGCTCCAGGGGCTGTCATTTGTAATCTGTCCAGGAAAGGGCATCTCAGACCACATTCCCAGTCAGGGAATCATATACAAGGTCAAGAGCCTCCTGGAATTGTCCTCCCTCATCTAGAACCCCCGCTTCCTAATTTTATTTGGATGCTCAGAGGTGGTTTATCCCTTTCCACTAACCAAGCTTACAATGGCTTTCCTTATTCCTCTGATACTTCAAGTACATTGTAAAAATGAAAAGAAGTAATTCCAACTATAGGTTTTAATATTTTAAAAGACCAAAAAAGGTTGAAAATATTTTTTCCATTGGCAAGCCCTGACTCAGAGGGTCTGTGTACCAGTGCTGGGCACATAGCCAAGAATTTGAAGAGCCACCGTGGGAGGGCACGGCATGCAGGGCAGCCACAGCCTGCCAGCCTGACTCAGCCAGCTCCCGTCACAGCACAGTGACGACACGGTCCCATGTGGACGGGGGGAGACAAAAATGCTTCCCAGAGGTGCCAAGGAATAGAGATACAGCAACAACAAATCAATTAACCCCACAGGCATTTACAGTGTGGCTATTTGGTGCCAGGCATGGTTCGGGGGCGCTGGGATGAAAACAGATCAACAAGCCCCATGATATCCCTTCTCTCATAAAGTTTCTACTTCTCCATCCAACAGACATAAATCAGAGGGAAAAGGAAGAGAATGCAGAAAATGTCACTGCAGACACAAGAAACAAAAAATCTGAACATTAAAAAAAAAAAATCACAGGGTATTATCAAAAACTTTACCCCAAAAAAACTGCATACCTACATCATTTCACTGGTAAACTCTAGCAAATATTTCAGAAAGAACACCAAGCTTACACAAACTTTATCAGAAAACAGAGGCGGGGTAACACTGACTCACTACATATATATGTATTTTTAGTAGGGATGAGGTTTCACCATGTTGGCCAGGCCAGTCTTGAACTCCTAGCCTCAAGTGATCCACCTGCTTCGGCCTCCCAAAATGCAGGGATTACGGACGTGAGCCACCACATCTGGCCTGACTCTCTATTTTTTAAAGTACCAAAACCTGACAAAGGCAGAAAGGAAGAAATGAGGGAAGAAAGGGAGAGAAATAAATTACAGATCAATACCTTCATGAATATTGGTGCAACAATCCTTAACAAAATAATGGCAAATTGAATCCAACAATAAATAAAAAACATATTATGAGCAAATAGGGTTTAACCCAAGAATGAAAAGTTGTCTTAAATTTGAAAATCAACCAATTTAATTTGCCCTTTTAATAATATAAAGGAGAAAAAAACCATGTGTTCACTTCAATAAATGCAGAAAAGCATTTGACAAAATTCAACACCCATTAATAATTAAAACTGTCAGCGATCAAGTAAAGAACATCCTCAAACTGATAAAGGATACCTACAAAAAGCCTACAGCTAACATCACATTTAATGATGAAAACCGAACTGTTTCATGTTAAGACTGGAAAAGGTGGAAGGATTCCTGCCTTCGCTACTCCTATTCAACACTGTACTGGAATCTTAGCCTTTGCAATGAAGCAAGAAAAATAAATAAAAGGCATGTGAGTCAGAAAGGAAGAAGTAAAGCTGTCCCTATTTGCAAATGATACAACTTTATATAGAACTTTCTAGGGAATCTACACAATGACTACTAGAATTAAACAAGCAGTATTTTGCAAGGTCACAAAATCCACTGTATTCTTATATATTAGCAGCAAACAGATATAAAATGTTTATAAATTCCATTTAGTTAATAAAAATAAAAACATAAATTACATTGAAATGAATCTAACAAAAGACGTTAAAGACATCTACACTGAAAACTACAAAGCACTGCTGAGATAAATTTAAAGCACCTAAATAAAGAGAGAGAGATCGTGTTAATGTACTGGAAAACTCAACATCATTAAAGATTCAATGTTATTAAGATAGCAATTCTCCCCAAATTGATCTACAGATTTAACACAATCTCAAACAAAATTCTAGCAGGCCTCACTTATAGAAATTGACAAACTAATATTAAAATTTATATGAAAATGCTAAGTACTTAGAATAAAGCTATGTTAGAAAAGAACAAAGATGACTCTAATTTCAACACTTCCTATAAAACTACAGTAATCAACAAAGTGTAGAATTATTTCAGTAAAGGCAGACATAATATAGTTCAATAAAACAAAATAGAAAATCTGGAAAGAGACTCAAAAATAAAAGGTTAATTGACTTTTGAAAAAAGGCAGCAAAGGTAATTAAATGAGGAATGGAATGTATCTTCAATAAACGCTGCCTCAAAAACTGAATATCCATATGGGGGTCGGGGGAAGAACATCAATAATAATCCCAACTGTAAAACCTAAAACTACAAAACTTATAGAAGAAAATCTTTGCAAGCCGAGGTAGACAAGGGTTTTCTGGATAGAATACTAGAAGAATGAGCCATTTAAAAAACTGATAAGTTGAATTTCACCAAAAAGAAAGACTTCTGTTCTAAAAGTGTCATTAAAGAAAACACAAGCCACAGACTGAGAAAAACATTCACAACACATGTATCAGACAAAGGACTTACATCCAAAATACATAAAGAAGTCTTACAACTCAATAAGAACCCAATTAAAAAAATGGATAAATGTCCTAGCACACATTTCACAAAAGACATACAAATGACCAACAAACACATGAAAAGATGTTGACATCATTAGTCATCAGGGAAATGGAAATTAAAGCCACAATGGGGTAACACTACATAACTATTAGGACACATAAAATTAAAAAGACTGATCACACCAAGTGTTGGTGAGGATGTGGAGCAACTGGAACTCTCTATACACTGCTGGTGGGAATATAAAATTGGATCACCACTTCAGAAAACAGTTTAGCAGCCTCTTAAGAAGTTAAACATATACCTACTATATGATCCAGCGATTCCACTTCAAGGTGTTTACCCAAGAGAAATGAAAATATGTCCACACAAAAGACTTGTATACAAATGTTCATAGTTTTATTAGTAATAACCCAAAACTAGAAACTACCTAAATGCCCACCAATAGAATAGACAAATGCTGGAATATGCATACAATGGACTACTGATATTCGTAACATGAAAAATCTCAAAACCATTATGCTGAGTGAAAGAAGCCAGACATTAAAAAAAAAAGTAGTACATGCTGCATTACTCAATTTATATAGCATTCTTTTTAAAATGCAGAGTAATCTACAATGACAGAAAACAAATCCATCCATGTTTGCCTGTGAAGAGGCAGAGAAGGAAGGATTACAAGGAAATTCTCAGGGTGATGGAAATGTTATCCTGACTATGGTGACAGCTTCAGTGTAATTATGAGAGAGAGAGAGAGAAAGTGTGTGTGTATAAAAACTATCAAACTGTACACCTTAAATACTGCAGTTTATTGTACATCAATTATGTCTCAAGTCACAAAAAATGGTTTTCATGTATTAGAATAGTCATTAAAGAACACTATGAACCTTTCTCTGAATAAGCAGGGTGACCATATAGCTTATCATCCAAGCCAGGAAACTTATGCAAGTCAAAGTGAGTGCTAAAGATAAGAGGTTGTGTACTGCCCTGGAGAAATCAGCACTTAGGGATTTGGGAAAAACAAATACCCAATCTCTTCATTGGTGTGATTAGATATCACCCCAAGGTATCTAGTGATACCTTAAAGCAAACCATCAAGTTTTCACAGGAAGCAAACCATCAAGTTCCTCAGAAGGCAGCGCAGAGCTGGCAACAGCCTTGGCAAGTCAGCTGCGCCCATGACCTTGATTTACAGAAAAGGAAGCGATCCCGGTCAATGACGGGCACAGGACAAACCCCAAGGCTCCTGCCTCCAAGGTCAGTGTCCCTTGAGCCCCCCCTCTTTCTTCAAAGAGAAAAAAAATCAAAGAATGGGGTGGAAGCCAATCCCCCTCTTAACTATTTTCCAAACATCTAATTATCTTGACCCACCCTCTATAGCTTTGCAGCCAATGAACAATTCAGCTACAAAGAAAACAGCATTGGCCAGGCACAGTGGCTCACACCTGTAATCCCAGCACTTTGGGAGGCCAAGGCAGGAGGATTGGATCATGTTGACCAGCCTGGACAACATGGTGAGATCATATCTCTACCAAATTTAAAAAAAAGAAAAAGAAAAGAAAACAGCATCGACTTTTCTGTATGAAGTCCAGCACTGATTAACACACCCAGCCACAGGCCTGGAGGCAGCTCCCACAGGGCACATTCTACACCAGACCCAGTCTGCAGGGCCAACCCTTCTGCACAGATCTACTGATAACCACTCCCACAGTCCTCCTCCTGTCTTAAAAAAAAAAAAAAAAAAAAAAAAAAAAACGGTATGGGGGGATCACATGTTTTTTAGGTTTACACTTCAAACCAGGTTCTTCAATTGTGTGGTGAGGAGGAAGGACTGGGTCAATAAACAGCAGTCTCCCTACCACAGAGCAGGAAATTATCTTAATTTGATAACAAGTTGTTTCAAGGAAATAAAAAGATCCTACCACTATGTACTGTGAAACACCAGGTTATTCTGGGACGGGAACGTGGGATTTTTTTTTAACATGATTTCCTAGAGAATGATACCATTTTTGTAACTTTCAAGGAAAAAAAAAAACCAGACAGACGGAACTTGGCTCAATCACACCGTGACACATTTAAAAGCATACTGAGTAAAGATGGCTAAAAAGTATTCACTGCCTAGGCACCCTAGGAAAAAATTCAATCAAATCCATGTATCTTCCCCCCAGGTCTTTTCTCAAAGAACTCTTTCCCTTACTAAATTACTATAATCCAATGACAGTCTCTCAACTATCCACTTTGTTTTCTCTGCCATTTGTAAATAAAGACAATTAACAAGTACGCTACACTTGTTCATAAAAATTAACAAGTATAACAAGTGTTAACAACACAAATACTTTTTCAAACACATACAATCATAAGGTGAAAATGGCTTAGATTTCACAAATGCAAACCCCACTGATAATCTAAACAAACAGCCCAGACGAGTAACTGCGTCTTCTCCCACCCCAAACTCTAAAGAAGAGACACCACAATTGGTTCCACTGCTCACCAGCCAGGCTGCCAGAAGAGGACAGCATCTTCTCCCTGTGCCTGCTTGGAGTGACTGTTAAAACCGACCCCTAAGCCCTCACAAGGAGCAACCTGGCTTTTCAGACCAGCTGTGCTGCAGAAGCAGGTGCTGCCTTCAGTAAAACCCCACACTTAGCAAACAGCCACCAATTTGACTCAATGCCTGCTTCCTCCTGCTTCTTTAACCTGAGAACACAGTGTGGATTACCAGGTGTGGAATTCACTGGGTTAACTTCCTTCTGCACCTGATCCCGCAGGCCTGCACTGCTGTCCATGGCATGTGTTAATAATTACAGTATTTCATTCACTGAGCACCTACTCTGCCCGGTGCTCGACTGCCCCACCATTGCTGTGCTAGGTAGGACCACCCTCATTGGCAGATGGGAGAATGAAGCTACAGGTGGCCAAGAACCCACCACTGAGAGCTGGCAGAGCTGGGACATGCAGTCAGGTTCTCCTGGAACACTGCACTTGAGCAGAAATAGAGGCAGGCTTGCTTTGCAGAAGTGAGCCCAGGGGGCAGGAGCTGCTAACGAACGTGGGGCTTCCCAACAGGAAGAGCAAAGACACTTCACACTCAAGAGGACTTTTGGGACCCACAAATACAATTCTCCCTGTCCCAGACCTGGGCCAGCAGTTGCAGCAATTAGGAAGAGTCTTTTATGCAGAGACATTTGCCAATTATATACAGTTTCTCTGGATGGGCGCAGTGGCTCACGCCTGTAATCCCATGAGGCCGAGATGGGTGGATCACCTGAGGTCAGGAGTTCGAGACCAGCCTGGCCAACATGGTGAAACCCTGTCTCTACTAAAAATACAAAGTTTGCCAGGTGTAGTGGTACATGCCTGTAGTCCCAGCTACTTGGGAGGCTGAGGCAGGAGAACTGCGTGAACCCGGGAGGCGGAGGTTGCAGTGAGCTGAGAGCGCAGCACGGCACTCCAGCCTGGGCAACAGAGTGAGACTCATCTGAAAAAAAAAAAAAAAAACAGTTTTTCCTCTCTCCGAGCCAAAGTTAACTGGCTTAGGAATTTTGCCCAGAAAATATCTGAAATCCAAACATGCTAAAAAGGAAAACTGATGATGAAATCTGGATAAAGATCACGGTTCCTCACCCAAGAAGCAGTCCTAACCATCCTCTGGGCTGATGTCTGTTAGAAACAGCTGAGAAACTCAGCCACAGTTTCACGCTAGGTAGGCCTACTAGGGAACTTTCATTCACCCAACAAATATGAATGCCACATGGACAAGATTTATTTTATGTTTTGAGACACGATCTCTCTCTGTTGCCCAGGCTGGAGTGCAGTGGTGCAATCACAGCTCACTGCAACCTAGAACTCCTGGGCTCAAGTGATCCTCCCGCCTCAGCCTCCCAAGTAGCTGGGACTACAGGTGCATGCCTCCGTACCTGGATAATTTTTTTTATTTTTTGTAGAGACAGGATCTTGTTATGCTGCCCAGGCTGGTCTTAAACTCCTAGCCTCAAGTGATTCTCCTGCCTTGGTCTCCCAAAATGCTGGGATTACAGGCATGAGCCACCGTGCTCTGCCATGACAAGATTTAAACGCAATACTCTGATCCATTACATAGCTTCCTTTTTATTTAGCTACCAATTAAAGGCATCTTATATGTTAAATTATACTTGGTTTTCCCTTAACTTTTATTTTTCCTGTTTGTATTGATTATACCTTGAAAACTTTTAAGGATAACTTTTTCCGGATATCTACTCTTCTGCTACAAAAGCTATTTTTAATATATCTGTAAAGTTGGCCTCGTTTGAAATCCTTTGAAACTCCTATAAATCAGAATAACTGTTACATGTTAGCAAGTTAAACCCTATTACTTTCCTACTAGTAGAGATGACTGGTGGTGGAGATTAGAAACTAGGAAACATTCAGAACGCACTTCTGTGCCAATCCAATGACCTTTGAGATACAGTCCAGTATTATCCCATTTCACAGATGAGAAAATTGAGTCTCAGAAAGATGAAGTATCTGCCCTAGGTCACACAGCTAACAAGGAAGACCTTCTTTATGATATACTTCATCAAACTTCTTGATACCATAAACTATTCAAAAATATTACTTGGGGAAAAGGAAGTCATAAATACAGACATGAAAAATCACCCTTCTCTCTGCATAACATGGTTATTCTGATATGATTATTTCAGGGCAAGCATCCTGAGAGCTATACGGTATGAGCACATAACTAAAGATCAACCGGGAGGATGTCCGCAGAAGTGCCATGTCACACTTTGGAGAAGTCATACAAGAGCTCCTCGTCTGTTCTGTGCCATGGACCCCTTCTGGCAGTCTGGTGAGGCCTATGAACTCCTTCTCAGAATTTCTCTAAGTGCCAAAAATAAAATACTTATGATTACAGTGGAAACCAATTTTAATACAATATAGTCATATCCACAGACCGCTTTGAGGGGGCCATGAATCCTGGTTATGAACTCCTACCAGGCAACACACTTTCTCCTCTCCTCGTCTCCCCGTCCAACAACAGGAGACACAGTGGTGACTAGCACCTCATAGCCTCTTAGACTAGAAGACTCACATTCTGGAAGGGCTCGGTCGACCTTGCAGAATGACCATACTCACCAAGGACTACTTTCTTTGGTGTGAAAGAATAAAACCTTGCCTGTTCACACCATTCTTATTTGTAGCTATAGGGCATCGAATGATGGCCTCCAAAAGGTATGTCCATGTTCTAATCTCTGGAACCTGTGAATGTGACCTTATTTAGAAAAACAGTCTTTGCAGATGTAATCAAGTTAAGGATCTTGAGATGAGATCATCCTGGATTATCTGAGTGGGCCCTAAATCCAAGGACAGGTGTCTGTTTAAGAAAACAGAGGAGAAGACACAGAAGAAGGAAGAAAAGGCCATGTGGAGACAGAGGCAGATCTTGAAGCGATGCAGCCACAAGCCAGGGAATGCCTGGAATTACCAGGAGCTGGGAAAAGCAAGTCACAGAGTCTCTCCTAGGACCCCAGCCCTGCCAACACCATGATTTCAGATGTCTGGCCTCCAGGAATGTGATAGAATTACATTTCTTCTGTTTCATGTTATCTGATAATTTGCTATGGAAGCCATGAGAAACTAATACAGTAGCTAAACCTAACTCTAACATACACTACCTTCATGATATTCTACCAGCATTAAATATAAACTGCCCTTTATATATGCAGTATTATATAGCTATTACACATAAGCAGCCCTCTAGACATGTGTCTTAGTCTGTTTTGCGCTGCTGTAACAGAATACCACAGACTAGATAATTTTAAATGAACAGAAGTTTATTTGCCTCATAGTTCGAAAGTCTAAGAGCATGGTGCGGCATCTGGTGAGGGGCTTCATGCTGCGTCAAAGGTGACAGTGAGAACAAGGGGGAGGAGATGAACTCATCCCTTTATTAGGAACTGACCCCTACAATAACAGCATTAATCCATCCCCAGAGCAGAGCCCTCCTGGCCTGATCACCTCTTTTTTTTTCTTTCTTTTTTTTTTTTTTAGACAGAGTTTCACTCTTGTTGCCCAGGCTGGAGTGCAATGGCACAATCTCGGCTCACTGCAACCTCCGCCTCCTGGGTTCAAGTGATTCTCCTGCCTCAGCCTCCTGAGTAGCTGGGATTACAGGCATGTGCCAACACACCCAGCTAATTTTGTATTTTTAGTAGAGACAGGGTTTCTCCATGTTGATCAGGCTGATCTCAAACTCCCGACCTCAGGTGATCTGCCCGCCTTGGCCTCCCAAAGTGCTGGGATTACAGGCGTGAGCCACTGCACCCAGCACTGATCACCTCTTAAAGTTTCTACCTCTCAATACTGTTGCACTGGCGCTTCAGTTTCCAACACATGAACTTTGGAGGACACAATCAAACCATAACAACATACATATCTTAAATTTAATTTTCACTTGGCTCATAATAAAAACACCCTTTATTTTTGATCCCCATTATTTGGCCAATCCATTTTCCTGAAATTTAAAAATAAACCAAGGGCCGGCCTGTCCTTTTTCTTCACTCTGTTCTTACATGATACCAACAAGTATTCACTTCTCACCTTCTGTCTTCTTTCCAAGCTGGTTCCATTCCTGTAAACCAGCCCCATCCCTCATGCAAGTGTGTACTCAACTCTTCTTCTACCACCTTCCATACCTGGGGCAGCTCTCTACCTACCCTCCACCCAACCTCATTCCAGGATGTGCCACTGGAACAGCAGACGTTCACCCAATGTCTGCTCACATGTCTTCCTCCACCAGCTTAGCCATATAAGCCAGAGTCCCCTGATCTGTCCACTTCCCTTCAACAAACCCAACTTCTTCTTGATATTGCTTTTTTAAAGTTATGTGACATGCCAATCCTCTAGAGATTCTGGAGGCTTAGGATATCTGAAAGTTCAAATGATGATCTATCTAAAATGGTGTAAAGTAAATAGAAGCTGAAATACAGAAATACTCAAAAATAAAGCTGTAAACCAGAACCAAACTAGAATCACCCAAAGCAGGAGGAAGTTTTGTCTTCTCAACTCTCAGGGCAGGTAACAAAAAGGAACCCAAGACCAAACCAAAGCAGCTCCTGAAGGGCAAACTGCACCCTCTCCTGGGCAAACAGGGCTCAGCATGGAAGCTGCTCTGCAGGGGAGAACAAACTCACCTCCCTAAATGTCCCTCCTGTGATCTGAAATGCACATTCTAGCATTATCTCCAACAGGAAAAACTGAAACATTCTCAGTTCCTAATGCTGCAAGAGTGAGCAAATAAAGTTTAACTGATCAGTGATGACACATCTACACAATGAAATATCTGCCACCATAAAAAACGATCATTACAGAGACTCATGATATGGGGAATCTTATGATAAAACAGCAAATAAAGCCAAAATACAAAATTATACATGTATATAACACATGTAAATTATACATGTATATAACACATGTAAACACAAAATTATACATGTATATAACACATGTAAAATGTAATTTTGTAACACAAAACACAAAATTTAACTTTGTAACACAAAACACAAAATTATACATGTATATAACACATGTAAAATTTAATGTGTGCCTATTAAAAAGTCTGAAGGGAGGAAGGGCGCAGTGGCTCACGCCTGTAATCCCAGCACTTTGGGAATCCAAGGTGGGCGGATCACGAGGTCAGGAGTTCGAGACCGGCCTGGCCAGCATGGTGAAACCCCGTCTCTACTAAAAATACAAAAAAATTAGCTGGGTGTGGTGGCACACGCCTATAATCCCAGCTACTCAGGAGGCTGAGGCAGGAGAATTGCTTGAACCCGGGAGGCAGAGGTTGCAATGAGCCTAAATCGCGCCACTACACTCCGGCCTGGGCAACAGAGCGAGACTCCATCTAAAAAAAAAAAAGTCTGAAGAGAAACATGAAAAAAGAAAACAACTGCAGAGCTACTGTGGGAACATTTTCTCCCTATTTTACTTTTATTTTTATTTTTGAGATGGAGTCTTGTTCTGTCGCCCAGGCTGGAGTGCAACGGTGCGATCTTGGCTCACTGCAACCTCCACCTCCTGGGTTGAAGCAATTCTCCCTGCCTCAGCCTCCTGAGTAGCTGGGATTACAGGCGCCCACCACCACATCCAGCTAATTTTTGTATTTTTAGTAGAGACAGGGTTTCACCATGTTGGCTAGGCTGGTCTTGAACTCCTGACCTCAGGTGATCCGCCTGCCTCGGCCTCCCAAAGTGCTGGGATTACGGGTGTGAGCCATCACACCCAGCCCATTTTCTCCCTATTTTAAATTTCCTTTAAAATCATTACTAAGATTCAAACACTTTAAGAACTAAGTTAACAAATGAATCCATACAGGAGGACTTGTACCTGGAAAGCAGGCACTGCTAGTGTGTCACATGAACAGACACTCCTACCACCTATTTCCTGGATGTCCCCGACTCCCTGACTCTTCCCCAGTCCTCTCTGCAAAAGGGACCCGTCCCCACATCCAGCTCTCATGCCGCTCCTCAGAGAAGCTTACCTCCCCTCCCAAGGCTAACCACCACCACTCTAACTGTACTTTGTACCTTCTTCCACTCTACTTATGACAGGGCACTAGAACTACTTCTTTATATACTGTTAGAAGTCTCCCAGAGTAGGGAACACACTTACCTACCCCGTACACCCTCAGGCACTCAGTAGACAGTTTGCCGTGATACAGGATAGTTCAAATAAGGAATAACAAGTTCTAAAACTTGCATCTTTTCCAACTGATTTGAAATTAGGTGGCCAGGGTAATGCCTTACTTGTCAAATGACTCCTCCATTCTCTGGGATAAACAAGTTTTCCAGCTGGCAAACTCGCTAAAAGCGCACACACAGAGCACAGGGGCTAACCTTGTCCCCAAGCTGCCGGCCGGACATGAGCTGGGAAATTGTAAAAGGGGGAGCCTGGCCCACAGAGGGGTCCACAATAGTGAGCACCTCTTCAGCGGGGCTTGCCAAGGAAGGGGTGAGTCAACATTCTCTCTGTTGTGCTAACAAAAAGAAGCAACAGAACCTGCTTCTTCCAGCTCATATTCATACACATAGTCACCCCAAAGGGCAGAGCACTGGGGACCCTAAGCTGCCAAGACACTCCATGGCCTTGAGCTCAAGGTGTGGCCAAGTACACATTACTAGGGAGCTTGTGCTAATGTAGCATCACATGAGTGACACAAAGTACCCTCAAGAAGGGGGTCCCAAAGTGGTTGTACCCTAAGATTTTGGAAAGCTTTGAAAAAGCACCCACTTGCAAACTTCTGGGGAAAGTTCCAAAAGGTGCTCGGGCATGGCCAAGTTTGAGAACCACAGTCCCACAGAAGCATATGGCAGTTTCCTGAGCACCATGTAAACAGGAAGGCTTCCCTGAGGAGGAAACGGACAGGGTCGGTGGGGAGAATTTGGGGAAACAGACCCCCAGAGACCAGGGCCAGCAGGTGACCCGTACACACAGGGAGCTCCCTAAGAAGCACTGGGCTTGGCTGGGGAGAGGCCAGGCTGGGAGGGCACATGAGGACCAGACCCTGAACTTCATTAGGTAAGAAACGAGGGGCCCCTCGATGGTTTATAGTGCTTGCTTTTTTTTTTTTTTTTTTTTTTTTTTTTGAGACAGAGTCTCACTCTGTCGCCCAGGCTGGAATGAAATGATGCGATCTCAGCTCACTGCAACCTCTGCCTCCCGGGTTCAAGTGATTCTTGTGCCTCAGCCTCCTGAGTAGCTGGGATTACAGGCGCCCGCCACCATGTCTGTCTAATTTTTATATTTTTAGTAGAGACGGGGTTTCATCATGTTGGTCAGGCTGGTCTTGAATTCCTGTCCTCAGTTGAACCACCGCCTCAGCTTCCCAAAGCACTGGGATTACAGGTGTTAGCCACCATGCCCAGCCTTAGTTCACAGCGCTTTTAACAATGGGCAGAATATGACCCTTCTAAATGGCTCTGTATTTCAGGCATATTCCAGTAAAACTTGTCTTTCCTCTCTAAGGTTCACCTCAGCTACAGTTGCCATGACCCAGGGAGTAGTAATAATACAGCCAGACTAACTGAAGCCCAGTGAAATCTGGACTAATTAGTAGTGATTTTGTTCAATTAAAGTTATTATTCAGTAAACAGAGAAAGTATGAAACGTTAAGTACACCAAACTAGAAGAAAATTTTCCACATACCAAATGATATAATAAATGAATTTGGTTTATTGCTTTCAGTTCATTCACTGAATAATCAGTAAGTGCCTATAATCACAGTGTTAATAGGCACAAACACATATATCATGCCTACATTCATTAACTCATTTAGTCCTTACAACCAAACCACCCCACAAGGCAGGTTACTAGCCCCATTTCTCAGATGAGAAAATGGAGGCTTCGAGCTGTCCTGTGACTCGCCCCCAGTCATCTGCTTGGAAGAAGCTGAGCTAGGATTCACACTCTGGCTTGCCTTAAAGAATGAAGTTACCTTGCAGAGTCCCGTACTTTCAGAGATCAAAAGAAGAGAAGGAGCCCAGTCCTGCTGCCTTGGGTCTTCTATCTGGTAGAGGATACACAGACCCTGGACATTCAAAGACAGAGTCCCTGATTCCTCTGGGGAGCTCACACTTTGGAAATACCGCGTAGCATAAAACTTCCCTCATAAAGGAAGTAAAAGGCAACTGAACATGTAGCATCAGGAGGCCACACACACTCAGCTGCAACAACTGAGGAAGGATCAGCCTTTCCACGGGCCTCCTGGGCAGTCCAGGCCTGTCGAGCTCTAGCTCTCCGGGAACAGCAGCTCAGGCCTTGCCCTCCAGCTGTGCAAGCAGCCCTGCCCATGAGAGGTGACCAGGGCTACCCGAGAGAGCTCAGGGAGCTCAGGTCTGCACACTCCACCACCCACTGAGGGAGTCAAATGTGTGCTTCATAAAACCAGCACCCGAGATGGACTCAAACTATATCCCACCCACATCCTGCCCAAGGTAGGGGGCACGGAAGGAGAGCCGTGAGAGGAGAGGCAGTTAGGAAGTGGCACCCCCACAAATGGGAGAGGCCATGCCAGCAGGTGGCCAGGGAGGCCCAGGCCAGGACAGCATGAGGCGTCTCAGACAGGGCAGTGGGCACTGGGTGTGAAGGGCAAAGGGCCCTGTGGGAGTGGAAATGGCCACCCTGCATCACCACTCTCTCCTAGCTCCAGGCTCCCTGCCCTCCGAGGGACCTGGCCAGGGCTCAGGCCTTGACTGCCTCCCGCTGTCCTGTAGACAAAGCCTGGCTATGGGGAGCACCCACGCCCACTTCGGGTGATGAGCCCTCTTCCTACTTAGTCTAGAAAATCTTTGCTAAATTGAATTTAGCTCTGATTCTGCCTCCTTCACAAGGGACACAGACTCTGACACCAGCCACCATGAAGTCAGTCTCAAAGGGGACATTTCTAGAACTGGAAAGGCCAGCAATACCAAAACACTCTCAGTGAGGAGAAGAAACTGTGCATCTGGAGTCCTGCAGGGGTGCTGTGATCATGTCACTGTGTACAGCGCTGCTTTCTAGGAGGCATGCATCATGGCCAATGATACAGTATGTTCCTTCAACACTGTTATTAATATTTAATTCTCAGAGTCACCCAAAACAAATAAAAGTACCAACAACAGCAGAAGCATGGACCCTGCCCGCCTGCAGTGCATGGCTCTCCTCAGGCCCCATCTCTCACCTCCATAAGCACATCCAGGCTGTCCACATCCTCATGTTGGGGGAAAGGCCCCTCTGCACCCCTTCTCATCCACCTAGCCAACTCTTCCCTGCAGATCTCGCCTCCAGCAGCAGACAGACTCTTCTAACAAAAACCCAACTTTACCACCCTGCTTTAAAATCTTAATGGCTTCCCACAGCTCTGACAAAAAAGCCCAAACCCACCCCAGCCTGGAAAGCACTTCCTGCCTCAGAGGCTGCTCACCCAGCGCACCTCCCACGCCCACTCCCTCTGGCAAGAAACATCCCTTCCACCCCACAGCCACGTACCCCCTTCCCCCACCACAGGCAGGGAACCCCCATGCCCTGCCCAGAGAAGCAACCCACATCAGTTCCTCCCCAGCCCTGCCGTGGCTGCTGGGATGCACATGGACTGTGCCCTGCAGGAAGGAAGACCTGATCTTGCAGCCAGGCCCAGCATCTGGTCCCAGGAAGCTTCCTGCAGAGCCGAACAATGAGGGGCAGGGCCCAAATCATTCTGGAACTGGAGGTGACCAAGCCACTCTTCAACAAAGAGTTATGTGCACCTACTGTGTGCTGGGAACTTGGTGTAAAGCCATGAACAAAACAGACAAAAATCCTTGCTCTCATGTAGCATATATTATAAATAAATAAGACCAAATGGAATACAGGTAGGAATGACTCTCCAGGAGGGTCAGGGAGGGTGAGAATAAAGCCCACTGCTTTCATTCCTTTTTGCTGCATTTTGAAATTTCAAAAACTAAATGAGGCAATAAAAATTAATCCTTCATCAAAAGAGAACATGGGTTTAAAAATGATGAAAAACACTGACTTGGAGAAATAAGTAAATAAAAGCATAAAACTCGAATGGACCCTACAGTCTTGTAGTGTTCCACAGCTCTAGGCTGCTAAGGGAAGATGATAAAACTGGGCATGGTGGCTCACACCTGTAATCCTAGCACTTTGGGAGGCTGAAGCGGGCAGATCACTTGAGCTCAGGAGTTCAAGACCAGCCTGGCCAACATGGTGAAACCCATCTCTACTAAAAATACAAAAATTAGCCGGGTGTGGTGGCGGGAGCCTGTAATCCCAGCTACTCGGAAGGCTGAGGCACAAGAATCACTTGAACCCAGAAGGTGGAAGTTGCAGTGAGCTGAGATCGCATCACTGCACTCCAGCCTGGGCGACACAGTGAGACTGTCTCAAAAAAAGCAAACAAGCGTAGGACTTGAAGACAACAACTAAAATTACTATAACACAAAGTTTAATAAATCAGGGGAGAAATCCTAAGTCAATGAAAACATGTGAAAACCCAAGAGAAAATGGAGAAGATCAAAGGAAAATCTTTCCCTGGAGGGAATGACTTTGTTAAACAGAAAACTTTTAAAAAATATTTTACCTATTGGCCGGGCGCGGTGGCTCACACCTTTAATCCCAGCACTTTGGGAGGCTGAGGCCGGCGGATCACGAGGTCAGGAGATCGAGACCATCCTGGCTAACGCTGTGAAACCCCGTCTCTACTAAAAATACAAAAAAAAAATTAGTCGGGCGTGGTGGCGGCACCTGTACTCCCAGCCACTCAGGAGGCTGAGGCAGGAGAATGGCGTGAACCCGGGAGGCGGAGCTTGCAGTAAGCCAAGATCGCACCACTGCACTCCAGCCTGGGCAACAGAGCGAGACTCCATCTCAAAAAAAAAAAAATTTTACCTTTCAAACAAGAATAAGCCAGGATAAATACAAAGTATGCCAAAATCGGGGGTGGGGGGTGGGAGCTGGGAGGGGAGGTTGCAAGTAAATGTAGTAACAAACAATATAAAAACTTTGATAACTAGAACTAGGAAAAAAACCAACAAATTAAATAAAATAAGGCTAAAGAATGTGACAGACATGGAAGATAAAGAAGCCTCCCCCACCACCCCACAGCCCCTCTTCTGGACTCCTGAGCTCACTTAACCAGCCTGCTGCTGTACTCAGCAGAAGCCCTGACACCTTCATCTACTCCACCCCCTTCTGACCTGATCACTAGCCTGCCCACTGCCCCCTAGACACCTCCGCACTCTCCACTCCACTCTCTCCTAACAATCCTACAAACCTCCCTCCCCTTCCAGTTCACCCTCCACCCTACAGCCAGAGTAGAACTTTCTGACACCTGCAAATCTGAGAATTTCACCAAATAAAACTATTCAACAGCAGCCCAAGTCCTGAGGAGTAAGTCCCAAGCTCTGCCCTGGTCCCCTCTGGAGTCCTCTCACTCTGGCCTCTGCCAGCCACTCTGGTCCCCTCTGGTGTCCTCTCACTCTGCCCCCCCCCCCCAGCCACCCTGGTCCCCTCTGGTGTCCTCTCGCCTCGCTCTGGCCCCCCGCCAGCCACCCTGCTCCCCTCTGGTGTCCTCTCACTCTGGCCTCTGCCAGCCACCCTGGTCCCCTCTGGAGTCCTCTCACTCTGGCCTCTGCCAGCCACCCTGGTCCCCTCTGGAGTCCTCTCACTCTGCTGCCCCCCTCAGCCACCCTGGTCCCCTCTGGTGTCCTCTCGCTCTGGCCCCCCCCCCAGCCACCCTGGTCCCCTCTGGAGTCCTCTCACTCTGGCCTCTGCCAGCCACCCTGGTCCCCTCTGGAGTCCTCTCACTCTGGCACCCCCCCCCCCCCAGCCACCCTGGTCCCCTCTGGAGTCCTCTCACTCTGGCCCCCCCCGCAGCCACCCTGGTCCCCTCTGGTGTCCTCTCACTCTGGCCTCTGCCAGCCACCCTGCTCCCCTCTGGTGTCCTCTCACTCTGGCCTCTGCCAGCCACCCTGGTCCCCTCTGGAGTCCTCTCACTCTGGCGCCCCCCCCCCCAGCCACCCTGGTCCCCTCTGGAGTCCTCTCGCTCTGCCCCCCCCAGCCACCCTGGTCCCCTCTGGTGTCCTCTCGCTCTGGCCCCCCCCAGCCACGCTGGTCCCCTCTGGTGTCCTCTTGCTCTGGCCTCCATCAGCCACCCTGGCCCTTCCACCACTTTGCACACTCCACGTGGTGTCCCCATCCCAAGGTCTTCGCACTGCTGGTCCCTCCACCTGCCCCATCCCCGAGGTGCCTATTTGCACAAGAAACACACAGACACACACAAAGAAACACACAGACACACACCAACACACAGACACACATACCCTCTCAGGCTCATGCTTCCCTCAGTGGATTTACCACTATCATTCTTCATGTCTCAGCTATGAGACCTCACTTCCTCTGAGAAGACTGCCCAGCCCCTCCCCAAGGCCAGGTGGGGTCTTCCACATATCAGGCACCATGTACTGCTCTTCCATCGGAGCTTGTCTCAGCCTGTAACTAAGGTTCTATGTATGTGCTTATCTGATCTCCCACGAGAATATAAGCTTGATGCAGAGTGGCTCCTCTCCATTTCTACCCACCGCACTCAGCATGGTGTGTGGCCCACGGTAGACCCCAAAAAAAATGCTTGCCAAAACAATGACTAAATAAACGAGCCAAATTCCCAAAGAACAAGACAAAGCACATGAACCAGAATTCGTTTTTTCAAGTGTAAGAGAAAAGAAGGAAAAAACAGTTTTTCAAAGCTGGAAAGCCCAAACTGGAGTGAGGAAGAAATCAGGCTTGCTCTATCCCAGACCAACCAGTTAGCAAACCCGCATTGCACAAGAGAGAAGGCAACTCTGAGTCTCCGAGCAGAAATGCCTTCAAAGACAGCAACAGCATCGAGCCTGCTCTCGACAACCCCCTGCAACACCAACATTGGGAAATACTATGTTCTCGGAGCTCACTAATAAAATATCGTATTTGATTCCTTTCTGGAAAACAGACCATTTTGCATTATTTTTCTTCCATGTTCTTCAGTCCTTTTTCATTTTCATGGTTTGGTATGAATCGAATAAGAGCTAGTGAAACAAAGCATTGAGTAGCATGTTCTCTGTGACTAAACCCTCAGTAATACACAAAGCTTGACCAAAAAAAGGATGTCACCATATGGGCTGGCTACAAACAGGTCTAGCATAATAAAATTTGTGAACTTGGCCAGGCATGGTGGCTCATGCCTGTAATCTGAACATTTTGGGAGGCTGAGGCCGGTGGATCGCTTGAGCCTGATATTTCAAGGCTGCGGTAAATGGTGATCATGCCACTGCACTCCAGCCCGGGCGACAGAGTAAGACCTGTCTCTTAAATTTAAATTAAAAAAAAAAAAGGAAAAAGGAAAGAAAGGAAGATAGAAAAAGAGAGAAGCGGGGAGGGGAGGGGAAAGGAGAGGAGGGGAGGGGAGGAGAAAAAAGAAAAGAAAAGAAAGGAAAAAGAAAATCTGTGAACTATAAATGTTTAAGAGACAACACAGAAGGGAAGTAGAAGAGAGGTACCAAGAGACCATTAAAATAAGAAAGCATGGCTGGGTGTGGTGGCTCATGCCTGTAACCTCAGCACTTCAGAAGGCCAAGGTGGGTGGACTACTTGCACCCCAAAGTTCAAGAATAGCCTAGGTGACATGGTGAAACTCCTTCTCTACAAAAAAACAAAAATTATCTGGGTATGGTCACATGTGCCTGGAGTCCCAGCTACCCAGAAGGCTGAAGTGGGAAGATTACTTGAGCCTAGGAGGTCGAAGCTGCAGTGAGCCATGACTGCACCACTGTACTCCAGCCTGGGTGACAGAGCAAGACCTTGTCTCAAAAATAAATAAATAAACAAACAAACAAACAAGAAAGCACAATACATTCAGCCACAAAACACAGGCATCAGATATGCAAGAATCCTGACAGCAGAAAATGGCTGAAGCACAATATTTACAAGGCAAAGGGTTTCTGACTAAAATAAGACAGATTCTAACAACATACTGTTTACAAGAATTAAATCTAGGCAAGGCACATCGGCTCATGCCTGTAATACCAACACTTTAGGACACCAAGACAGATCACTTGGGGCCAGAAGTTAGAGACCAGCCAAGGCAACATAGTTAGACCCCATCTCTACAAAAAATAAAAAATTAGCTGGGTGTGGTGACAATGCCTGTGGTTCCAGCTACTGGGGAGGGTGAGGCAGGAAGATCTCTTGAGACCAGGAGTTTGAGGCTGCAGTGAGCTAACACTGTACCACCGCATTCCAGCCTGAGCAACACAGCAAGAGCCTATCTCTAAAAAAAAAAAAAAAAAAAAAAAAAAAAAAAAAGGGAATTAAATTCAAAATAATAAGGAAAACTAAAGATAAAAGTTAGGATGGAAAAGGGTGGGGGGTATGTATATCAAGTAAATTCTGAACAAAGAAAAGAAGACTTAGAAATACTAATATACATGAGAGAACAGTTAATGACACAAACTACTCATTGCGAAAAAGATCTTCTTTAATCCCAGCACTTTGGGAGGCCAAGGCAGGAGGATCACTTGATGCCAGGAGTTTGAGACCAGCCTGAGCAACATAGCGAGACCTTGCTTCTACAAAAAAATGTAAAAATTAGCCAGGCATGGTATCAAGCACCTGTAGTCCCAGCTAACTGGGAGGCTGAGGCAGGAGGATCACTGGAGCCCAGGAGTTTAAGGCTGCAGTGAGTCATAATTGTGCCACTTCACTCCAACCCAGGTGATAGAGCAAGACCTTGTCTAGGAAAGAAGAAAAAAAAAGCTACTACTTTATTAATCTTTATTAACAAATGATTACTCAATATTGAAGGTATTATCTTTTTAAATATTTACACGCTTAACAAAGCTTCAAAATGGAGAAGGTGAAAACTGTTAGAAATACATGAACAAAGTGTTAAACGTAACTGGCCTGAAAGAGATTCTAACTCCTCATTAACAGCCTATGGAAGCTCAAGCGATAAAAAACAAGATCATAAGAGGACTTGAACAACATATTTCGTAAGTTACAACAGATAAAAACTAATACACAGCCGGGCAAGGTGGCTCACACCTGTAATCCCAGCATTTTGGGTGGCCAAGGTGGGCACTGAGGTCAGGAGTTCGAGACCAGCCTAGCCAACACGGTGAAACCCTGTCTCCACTAAAAATAAAAAAATTAGCTGGGCATGGTGGCATGTGTCTGTAATCCCAGCTACCCAAGGCTGAGGCAGGAGAATCACTGGAACCCAGGAGGCGGAGGCTGCAGAGAGCCGAGACCACACCACTACACTCCCCCCTGGGCAACGGAGCAAGACTCCATCTAAAAAAAAAAAAAAAAAAACCAATACACATAAATACAGACACTGAATTAGAAAACAGGAAAGTAGGGCCCAGCATGGTGCCTTACACCTGTAATCCCAGCACTTTGGAAGGCTGAGGCAGGAGGATCACTTGAGGTCAGGAGGTCAAGACCAGCCTAGACAACATGGCGAAAACCCATCTCTAACTAAAAATACAAAAATCAGCCAGGCGTGGTGGGACACACCTGTAATCCCAGCTACTCAGGAGGCTGAAGCAGGAGAATCACTTTAACCCAGGAAGAAGAGGTTGCCATGAGCCGAGATCACAGCACTATACTGCAGCCTGGGCAACAGAGCAAGACCCTGTCTCAAAAAAAAAAAAAAAAAAAAGGAAACAGGCCAGGCGTGGTGGCTCACACCTGTAATCCCAGCACTTTGGGAAGCTGAGGCAGGCAGATCACTCAAGGTCAGGAGTTTGAGAACAGCCTGGCCAACATGGCGAAACCCCGTCTCTAACTGAAAATATAAAAACATTAGCTGGGCGTGGTGGCAGGTGCCTGCAATCCCAGCTACTCAGGAGGCTGAGGCAGAAGAATCGCTTGAACACAGGAGGTGGAGGTTGCAGTGAGCCAAGATCACGTCATTGCACTCCAGCCTTCCAGCCTGGGCAACAGAGCAAGATTCCGTCTCAAAAAAATAAAAAAGGAAACAGAAAAGGAGAATTGTTCAATAATCTAAGAACTAGTTCTCTTTAAAAACAAAGAAAACAAAAATGCTAGAGTTTACGAAATCTGACAAGAAAAGCAAACTAAACTAATAAAATTAGAAATGCAAAGGAGATTCAACCAGAGACACAGGTGTTTAAACTACACAACAGTACACGCTACTAACTTTGAAGGTGTGAAATTTGTGGGAAAGTAAATTACAGATGTGGACTCAAAAAGTGAAAAGGTTCAAAAAATGATCAAAATGCAAGAAATAAATATTTTAGGATTTATTTCTATTACAGCCTTATCTCCCTAAAAAGTCTTCTTGACAAATAATTTAAAATAAATTCTCTCGAACTTAAGAAACAACCAATCCCAAAGCTACATAAAATGTTGCAGAAAACATAAACTCATAGAAAGTTACTAAATGAATTTTATGGGGTTGGTTTAACTCTGAAATCAAAACACAGTATGTCCAACTATTATGTATCCATTAAAATTAAAAACAGAAAAAACAATTGTTTAAAACTGCAATAAGGCTACATTCTCACCCAAAACAAATGCATACATACCAGTGGGAAAATTCTAAATTGCAAGATAAAGGAGTAAAATTCAACATTACCAAGAATAATTTTTTTATTAGGAAATATGCAAATAACTGAAACCAAAATGAACATCTAAATTAATGCCCAGGGCCAGGCACAGTGGCTCATGCCTGTAATCCCAGTACTTTGGAAGGTTCAGGCGGGTAGATCACTCCAGGCCAGGAGTTTGAGACCAGCCTGGCCAATATGGTGAAACCCCATCTCTACTAAAATTACGAAGATTATCTGGGCATAACGGTGCACGACTATAATCCCAGCTACTAGGGAGGCTGAGGCATGAGGATCCCTTGAACCTGGGAGACGGAGGTTGCAGTGAGCCGAGATCACACCACCGCACTTCAGCCTGGGTGACAAAGGGAGACAACATCTCAAAAAAATTCATTAATTAATCAACTGATGCTCAGAACACTCCAAAGAAATTCAACACCTACTCCTATTAAAGACTCTAAAAACCACGAATCAAAGAAAAATCTATTTATGTGGTTAAAAATGTCTCTTCCCAGCTGGTAAAAATAAATTAATAGAGAAAACTACAAATACTCCAAGTAAAATAAGAGCAGTTAATCAACACAAAATAAGCAGAGGTTTAGACAGAGAAAGGAAAATCCCATTTGTATTGGCAACATCAACAATGAATCCATCAATAAATAAAATAAAACAAAACTTGAAAGCACCTGAAACTAGCACTAACCCAAAATATCAGATCCTAAACTTGAGGAAAATTACTCACCTTGACTGAATTATAAAAGAATAATTTTTTTAATTAGGGTACACACTTTTTGTCTACATGGGATGGCCTAATAACATAAAGAAAAACAGCTTTAAAAGTTCTAGTGCTGTTATTAGAGTCAAACCTTACACAGGCAGGCGCTAAAGTCAGCCCGTAAAGCCTAAATTATAAAATCCTACAAGAAAATGCTACTATAGCCATTAAATAATATCATGAACATTTAGATCAGCTGACATGAGCAACTCTCTACTATAAATTGTCCTGGGGGGGGAAAAAAACACAGGTGTAAACCAAAAGGTTCAGCATGATCTCATGGGTACATGTAGGTAAAGACATAAATATACAGAAATAAAGATAAACACTGTAGAGTAAGCAGCTGGCCACTTCCAAGTGGTGAGATCACATGATTCTGTGCATTTAGAACTTTTGCAGAAAGTCCTACATAACTTTTATAAATTTGGAAGGAAGAAAGTTTAAACATAAAAAAGGAAAAAAAAAAGAAATACACCAAAATATTAACATTCAATGTTTTTTGAGGTGGCTGTTATGGCTGCTTTTTAATTGCTTTAACATACTTGTCTGCATTTTCCAAATTTTCTACATTAATCACAAAAAACAAAACTCTGTACAGAGGTAGTAAGATGTGAACCAGCAAAGCGTGGTGGCTCACACCTGTAATCCCAGGATTTTGGGAGGCCAAGGAGGGTGGATCACCTGAGGTTGGGAGTTCGAGACCACCCTGACCAACACGGAGAAACCCTGTCTCTACTAAAAATACAAAATTAGCCAGGTGTGGTGGCACATGCCTGTAATCCCAGCTACTCGGGAGGCTGAGGCAGGAGAATCGCTTGAACTCGGGAGGCGGAAGTTGCTGTGAGCTGGAGATCACGCCATTGCACTCCAGCCTGGGCAACAAGAGCCAAACTCCGTCTCAAAAAAAACAAAACAGACGTGAACCAAAACACATATAAAAATTTTTCATTTGGTCCCTATTGTCCTTTTGTGCTTATGCATGCCAAATTCTTGGTTATTCTCCAACCACAGTATTACTTTCAGCATTAAATTCAAATTTTACCAGCAATCATTCCAATCAGTAAGAAAAGAATGAAAACGTTTGAACTGCTTGGACACATGTTCAGATCAAAAAGGAAAGCCAACTTCAGTGAAGAATCAAGAAAGGCATGACTGAGGAATCTTACCGTAAAACTGTTGTTGACGTTTTTGGTACTGGATTCAGCTACGCTGGCATCTGTCAGATCCACCTCATCAAATATGATTGACTAGAAAGAGACAAACACAGGGACTAAGGCACATAAAGACAGGTACATCCCTAAGCACTAGCCAGCGCTGCCCACCACACCCCAATGATCCCTAACAAGCACCCACAGAAGCCCCAGTACCTTGAAACTGTAGCATCCAATCAATAAGCCAATCCAAATTAACCCACCCACCTGCTTCTAACCAAAAGCTCGGGCTCACAGGTATAGTGCCATGATTTTTTTAAAAAAATCTACAAACATTGTCATTGCATTAGTGAAGGAAGAAAGAGAGAGAACCAAAGCAAACAACCCAATGCTGGTATTTCTGTATTTACTACTGTCAATACCAGTATTCACTTTTACATGTGAAGTATGTTCTCACACAGTGTTTTAGCTGAGGGAAGGCCGGGGTCTGGACTGAGGATTCCGTGTCCTCCTGGCTTGTTCCTCCAGCGAGCACATGGAGGGGGAAGGTCCTGGCTAAAACAAATTCTTCTGGAGAAGAGAGACAGGTCCAAATGGAAAGGGTCTGGCCGTGAAAGGAAACAAGGGAGTAGAGCAGAAGGATCCTGGTCCTGGAGAGAAAGATGCTCCAGGGCAGGGCTGGGAGTCAGGCCTGGGGACCTCCCCCGTCTCCCTCTCCACTCCCTACAGGGTCCCCCGGCACAGCCCCTGCCTCCTGTTTCCCTTATACCATCCCCTCTATTCTACGATGGCTCTATGAGGAACCCTGGAGAAAATCAAACTAATAACTCAGAAAAGAAACTCAATCTTTTAAGTAACCTTTCCCCTCCCCGCACCACCAGAACTAACTGTAAAAGGTTATTTTGTCGTGTTTTTTTTTTTTTTTAATTGAGGGAAGTGGTCAGAACCCTTTCTAAACAAGCTGCTTTGTTCCATTTCAAATTTTAATGCAGTAACTTTCTAGGGATATGTCTCAAAATGTAAATTATTCAGACTCCAGATTTCTTAAATACCAAAATATTAGTACTGACACCAATCCTGATAAAAAACACAGGTATTCAGAATCCCAGCCAACACACTGGTGTCTGAATGTCTAACACCACATCCGCTTAAACATGGCAGTAATCTGTGACTTTCACTGGCTGCTCCTCCTCCAGCAGCACCCACCTGGTGCTTCTAGCTTTAAATCTACCTACAATAGGGCACACAGAAACAAGGTTAATTGCTAGAAAGCCTAAAAATAAAGAATTTCCCATTTCTGTTCACACATCAAGAAGCTCAGCTCCTTCTACTTTGGCTGGGCACAGTGGCTCATGCCTGTAATCCCAGCACCTTGGGAGGCCAAGGCGGGCAGATTACTTGAGGTCAGGAGTTCAAGACCAGCCTGGGCAATGTGGTGAAACCCCATCTCTAGGCCGGGCACGGTGGCTCATGCCTGTAATCCCAGCACTTTGGGAGGCAGAGGCAGGCAGATCATTTGAGGTCAGGAGTTCGAGACCAGCTTGACCTACATAGTGAAACCCCATCTCTACTCAAATATAAAAATTTTAGCCAGGCGTGGTTGCAGGCACCTGTAATCCCAGCTACTTGGGAGGCTGAGGCAGGAGAATTGCTTGAACCCAGGAGGCGGAGGTTGTAATGAGCCGAGATCTCGCCACTGCACTCCAGCCTGGACGACAAAGCAAGACTCCCTCTCAAAAAAAAAAAAAAAAAAAAAAAGAACTTCAATATACTTAAAGAATAAAAATTATTTAATAATAAGAAGATGAAATTCATAGCCCCGTGATTCCCTCCGCCTTTCTGAGAGAGAGATATCCAGCTGTAACGCGGCTGTCTCTGTGACCCTTTTTTCCTTTTCCCCATTACCGATGACATTAAAGAAAAGGAAAATGAACAGAAATTAATTTTGATAAGAAATAAAACATGCCTTGAGACAAGTAAAACCTGACAGCGTGGAGTGTTACAAAACTCACTGGCAATAACAGATCTGAGAATTGAAGCTTTTCCCACACAAGGACTCAGCACCCCCAGTTCCTCCCCTGGGACGGCTCCTGTGATGTCCTCGCGTGTGCTTTCCTGCATGGGGCCTCACCTTTGCCGTTTTGGCATAGTAAAGCGTTCGCCCTCGAAGCTTAAAGTATCTCCTTTTTGATCGCTGGAATGAATTGTTCTGTTTGGTCAGCATCCCCTCTTTGATGATGGTCTGAAAGTACAGAAACATATTCATAAACTTGCGTTTTCAAGGTGCCCTTTCACTCTTCCGGCTGAAACGCAGCCTGTTGCGGCTGAAACATATTCGTGTCTCTAACAGAAAATATTTCTCACACTCTCAACAGACCTTGACCTATGCACAGGCCCAGCACGCTGCCGGGGGCATGGGGGGTTGCACCAATCCTGTCCTCTAAGGGGCAATGTGTGCCTGTGTGGGTGGGGGTGTCAAGAGGCCCAGGGTGTGCCCTGGACGCACTGGCAGACATGAAGAAGGGACACTGAGGCTCACAGGGCCACAGTACACAGCAGCTGGGAGGACACTGGGACGCGGGGCCAGTGCATTCTCCAACTTCAGCATTTGGTATTTTTCAGCTATTCTTGGCCCTGTCTCTGTGTTCTCTGGCCCCCTGCCATTTCTCAGGATGCTGCTGCCAAAGCTGTCTACGTCAGCGGCTCTGGGGCTCAGAAGCTCCAGGCCCGCGCCCTCAGCCCAACCCACCACTCACAGGCCTGGCGTGTGCATCTGCACACACCATGAGAGGAAAGTGCCTCGGCCACAGACACTAAAACTCCTCTCAACCCGAAAAGCTGATGAGTTCACCCCAACACAAGACGTTCTCTTACGAGAATCCAGAAATGGATTATACGGTCCACTCATCTTGGCTCAATTAAAGCCAAGAATGAAGGGGGCTCTACTTCTCCCGGAGCTGCTCTCCCGCCTTACGCAGCCCATGCCACCAAAACATCAAATGCGTAACTAACTACTTGGTCATGAGATGTTTTGACGTACTCGGAGCCATTAACACAATCAAAAAGAATAAACGACAAGCATGAAGACAAGAACCTGGCTCTCGGCGTTCGCACACTATGTTACATCCCACCTCACGGAAATGCCCAGTCCACAAGGAGCCTCAGCATGGAAATGGAGGGAGGCTTCCTAAAAATTCTGTTCAAAGACAAGCACATTGGTTCAGAGAAGCTTTTGCTTAACTACCTAATCTCATATAGCTCTGCACTTTACGTAAATGTTTCAAACAGTGCATGTACAAAGTTCTTAAGTATCCACAAACACTTAAAACTCCCTAAGATAAAACCAGCAAAAGCAAGACACAGGAGGCTCATGTCCCCCACCTATGCCAGAATGCAAGCGCAGAACACTGCGCTGCCTGTTCCATCCACCGGCATTCACAACAGGAGAGACAGTGGAACAGGGAAGGCTGCAGAAAGCCCCCAGCCCGACACGCCATCAACATGTGGACGGACACCAGGACCACACCCGGACAGCACAGGCCAATGCAAACTGCCTAGGGGTCTCTTCTCCTTATCCCGCAACCAGCCATCCTCACTGTGCCCTTCCTGGGTTGGGGGGAACTGGCTGCACTCACGACCACTTCCAAGAGCTTCTTGCTCACCAGCATGTGCCAATCATGGTGAACTCTGCTTTTGGCACTGACCCAGTGGCACAACAGCAGCCCTTTCCAACTCTAGAGGATCAGCGCAGGGCAGAGCTGCTGAAGAATCTACTGACTCATTCTTGGCTTATACATTCACCTCACACTTCTGAAGAAGGCACCCACCCTCTCCCCAGTAATTAAAGAGTGCCAGGAAGGAAAAAGAGAGGAGCCCAACATTATCCAACGATCAAGCATTCTGATGACGCTTGTTTGCCAGAAGTGACCTCCCCACCCCCACCCCCTCCCCTAGAGACAGCGGGGATCCCCAGCATACAGTTAGCATCTGAGGTCCCGTCCAAAACAGACCAAGGGTGATCCAAGGCAGACAGAAAGTCCCACCCCGATTCTGGTAGCGAGGATATAAACCAGTCTTCAGTGTGAAGGACTGGGAAATGGTATTTGTTTCCAAACATCCTTTTCACATCCAAGTACACATGGATGAAACTCATTTCAAATACATCTGCACAGAACAATGCCATCCATGGAAGCCTGAAACATATACCACGAGACCCTTTCTCTGTTGACCTCAAAGGCCTCACTGTGAAGACGTCTCTCCTGGCCCCCCATTCATCTTCCTTACCTTTGTGGGGAAAGCAATCACTTCCATCTCTTCCCTAAATGGGAAAAAAAAAAAAGACAAAACCAACAACCCAAAACCCAGAAAAGTTATAAGTTATCTTTAAAGGACAGATGCTGGAGTATTTTTTCTTGCATCTCCTGCTACACATCTCATACATAAAAGAAAAGCAAAATTAAAACACAACTCACTGCACCACATACTTACACACACGCACACACACGCACACGCACAATCTTTCTGAGGGCGGATGAGAGTCTGCGATCTTGGGCTGCCCAAGGAGAGCTGCTGCTTTATTTATAACAAGAGTGCTCAGAAAAAGACTGGTGGGTTTCAGCGGAAAAGGCTGGGGAAAAGATAAAGACCATTATTTCTTTGAAGCCTTCTCAGAAACTGCATTTCTTCTCCTGATTCGCTGCTTGTGAGTACTATAGATATGCTGCAGAATATTTTTAAACATTTAGTCAAAAGCAATGAACCAAAAGTGGTCAAGAAAATAACACCCCAAAATAATGTGCTGTATTTTGCACGTGGCAGCTGTGAAAGGCACCCACAGGAAATGCTGCTAGGCTGACGAGGCCTCTCCTTGCCCCCTAGAGCAGAGTCAGGAGTGAAAGGGCCAGGCCCCTGCACAGTTCGCTCGGGCCATGCCGGGCCACCGGGCTCTTAGAGTCACTTTGTTGGGTTCTATGCACAAACAAAAGGGCCAACTGTCGTTCAAGCCATCTAAGATACCCTTATTCCAATCAGAGACAAATTTGCAACACACACAGCACCGAGAAAACTCTTAAGCTCCAGTCAGAGAGCAGCAGGTGGAAAGTGAACACGCGCCCACCAGCAAACACAGGCAAGACACCAATCCCAGTGCTGGGCTCCCCAGAGGAAGTTGGCGAGAGCACTGGGCCTGAGCTGGAGTGTGGTCCACGGCCACCCACTGACCCGACAGACATATGCCCAGCCCACAGGTCCAAGACTACCACGTGCAGCTGCTTGGGGGGAAGCGCAAGTCTCCAGTGGTCCTTGCTTAACAGTAAGACAGCTCTGAGAATGTCCTTGAAAAGGGCTTCAAACCAGGAGGCAGGGAAAGTCCAGAATGGACTCTGTCTGAAAGGCACTAGCAGGCCCAAGCACAGGGTGAGGTTGCCCCCTCTCTGACACGTGGCTGCATCACCAGATGCTGGTCACTACACTGGGCTCTGAGGGCTGCATGGCCAGGAGCTCAGACCAGAGGAAGGCGGATGTGTACACACCAGAGTGCTCTGGGATGTGGGGCACAGGGCAGTGAGCAATGCCCCATAAGGGAGCTGCCTGAGACAACAGGTACCTGAGCAGGCCAGGGAGGAGGGGCTGGGCAAGCAGAGGCCGGCAGCTGCTCCCTGGGGCTACAGACAGAGCCCGGTGGTGGCTCAGAAATACACTCTGGAAAGCTGACTGTGGCCACAGTGTGGGAAAGAAGAGGGGTGAAATGTGGAGGCTGGCAGAACACTCCAGAAACTCGCATAAGGGGGGAGCTGATGACAAGAGTCTGGGGTGGCAGGGGAGAGATGGACACAGGCATGGGAATGTTCAGAAAGATGTGAGAATCGACCGAGGCGAAGGGGAGGAGACAGGACAGAAATCCTGGATGCCTCCAAAGAGTGTGGCTCAGTGGGGGGATGTGGGTTTCATTCTGGATGTGCTGACTCTGCGGGCCTCGAGGACGTCAGGGGAGTTCAGTGTAAGGCGACGGCCAGCTCTGCAGGTCTGTGATGTAGAAGTTTTAACACAGGAGATGCCTTGCCAAGGGCCCCAAAGGAGAAAGCATGGAGTACACGGAGGCCCAGGGAAATGGGAACCCAGGGACACCAATACCAAGGAAGGAAAGCCAGAAAGGAGAACAAGAAGAAAGTGGGCAGAAGCGGAGGAGAGCAGAGAGCACGTCGAGAAGATCGCATCAGTGATGTCCAATGCAGCAGCGAGGTCATAAATGAGAACTGAGCTGAGGATAAAGGAAGCAGCCACCAGGGGGTCACCGAGGACCTGCCAGAGCGGACATGGTGGCCTGATGGGGTCGAAGCCAGATCAAATCACCCTGAGTGTGACCAGGACAGGAGAAAGCAAGATAACAGGTTTTTTTCAACTTACAACTTTCTTTTTATGAACGTGGAATCCATACTGTACATACTGTTATGTGACCTTGCTATTTTTTTGTCATGTATATTATCACCATATAGCCACATCAGCAAATGCATTTTTACCGGCTACAGAGTATCTCACGGCACCTACACACCCTCCCCTCCATCATTCACCTGCTTCCCACTGCCGGAACATTTAGAATGCTTCCCGTTCCCTCAATGCTATCATCAGAACTTCAGTGGATATTCCCGTAAGTAAATATCTGCTTATGTCCTCAACTATCCTTAAAGCAAATTAAGAGAAGCGGAATTTGGGGACCAAAGATAGCCCAGAAACAGACCCTTGCAGATTTGGAAGCTTGATGTGTAACAGGCAGCACTGCAAACCAGGGTTTGGGAGGGAGGGGGACTTCAGCAAAGGGGCTGAGATGGCAGGTTAGCCAAGGACACCACACGCGTGAGCTCCTGGCAGACTCTGGGTGCGCTACAGCAAAAGGCAGAAGAACTTCAAAACGTCCAGCAGACGACAGAGAATTTCCAATGACTTTGGAATTGGGAAGAGTTTCTTAAATGTAATAGAAAAAAATATTAGATATAAGCTATGACTGCTAAACTCAACTATATTGCAATTGAGAATTTCTGCTCATCAAAGACACCTCAGAAAGAGATAAAAGAAAAGCCAAGGTGGGAAAAAAAGGTACACTACTGCTGACAGCCAGTCAGTAACCAGTAACCAGAATATAGCAGAAACTCCCATGGAACGGGCTGGGCGCGGTGGCTCATGCCTGTAATTCCAGCACTTTGGAAGGCCGAAGCAGGTGGATCACCTGAGGTCAGGAGTTCGAGACCAGCCTGGGCAACACAGCGAAACCCTGTCTCTACTAAAAATACAAAAATTAGCTGGGCATGGTGGCGGATACCTGTAATCCCAGCTACTTCGGTGGCTGGGACATAAGAATCGCTTGAACCCAGCAGACGGAGGTTGCAGTGGGCCGAGATCATGCCACTGCACTCCCGCCTGGGTGACAAGAGTGAAACTCCCTCTCAAAAAAAAAAAAAGAAAGAAAGAAAGAAAAAAAGAAACTCCCACGGAATGATAAAAAAGAAAAACCACCAAAGAGAAAATAGGTAAAAAGTGTGAACCGGCATTTACCAGAAGAGTAAGTCAAATGGAGACTAAGCCCCAAAGGATGCTTAACCCTGGAGGATGCCACAGAAGAGCACCCTGGCACTCAGCCGCGCAGGTGGGTCCACGTGTGCACAGTCCGTGACTGTGCTTCACAACTTATGTGTATACTCCATGTATTATTCTGCATGTAAAATGGTAAAGGGAAAAATATAGTTAATCAATATAAGGATAGAAGTAAAATCTCAGACTATTAGTGTTAATGTCTTGAGCATGTAAGGAGTGAGGATTTCCACATTTACGCAGTAAAAGACAAACAAATGAAAAACAGCTGCCACGTGGGGGTGAAGAAAATGGAGGGGACTGACCAAGAGTCGTGTCCAGAGGCTGAGGGCAGCAAGCCACAGCCTGCCCAAGGTGACCTGGACAGAGGGGCTGCAGGCAGACAGCTGGGAAACTGGGGAGGGAAACAAAAAAAAAGTAGCAGAAAGGAAAGAAAATTAGCCAAATGTCCACTTCAGCCACCTATCTGTCCTTTAGACTTCCCCGGTCCTTCAACAACAACAAAAAAGCAGGTAAAACAGAAACCTGACTATGGTTAATTAAGCAACATCACCCAAATTCACAAAGCCCCCCAAAAGTGGAAATACTGGAATAAAAAATTAACATACAAATGTTTCAGTGGAAAGAAGCTGGTAAACTTATTTCTATCAATTTGCATATCTCTTTGTTTGTTTGTTTTCTGAGACAGAGTCTTGCTCTGTCGCCCAGGCTGGAGTGCAGTGCCACAATCTTGGCTCACTGCAACCTCCGCCTCCCAGGTTCAAGCAATTCTCCTGCCTCACCCTCCCGAGTAGCTGGGATTACAGGCGCGCACTACATGCCTGGTTAATTTTTTGTATTTTTAGTAGAGACAGGGTTTCACTATGTTGGCCAGGCTGGTCTCGAACTCCTGACTTTGGGTGATCCACCCACCTCGGCCTCCCAAAGTGCTGGGATCACAGGCGTGAGCCACCGCACCTGGCCCAATTTGCATATCACTTTAAATTTTCATGAGTATTTTTATATTTACTTGTCTTCTTAACAGAACAAACACTTCTGGTCTATGAGACAGAAACTAGTATTCCAGTTAACAAATAAGAAAACTGGTAAACAGAGAGACTGAGTAACTTGCCCGGTTGAACAACTAATGACAGGTCACAAAAGAAATCCCAGGCCTCTCCAATTCTATCTCTAAAGCTTCATCTGTGGTTTGCAGTTTACAAGCACCATGATTCACATATAGGAAGCAATCAGAAAATAATTTGTTCACAAAACGTAAGGCATGCAAAACATATTCAAAGACCTCCAGGTTATCTCCAACACTTCTTCACACATACCACAGCCACTACCCAAGTAGGAGCCATTTTCATCTTTTAATCTTCACACCAATTTTGAAAGTGGTGGTAATATTCCCACTTTACACATTACGAAACTGAGGGCCAGAGGATTAAGTAATTCACCCAAGGCCACTTGGCTAATGAATGACACACCAGAGCCCAGACAATAATACTTGTTGGCAAAATAAAACTTCAGCATAAAAGTCTGCTGATAACGGATTTAAATCAATTAAGCAAAGGTAAATTCCTGTATCTACTCAAAACACTACCCACAGATTCATCCTCATTCAGGAACTACCTGCAACTTACCCACCACCTGTCTACCTATAAGCTGATCTTACCGCATCCTGGCAGAAGCTGAGGGAGTGTGCACGCCCAAGGTGGCAACGGAGTGTGTGCCACATCAGCGTCTTCATGACACCAACGGCCAGCAGGAGAGAGCGCACCGGGCAACTGCCGCACTGCAGAATCCCGCTCAGCTCTGCAGAGCCAGGCCCTGAGTCTGGTGCTAACTCTGACAGAAAGGAACCCAACATAGGTTTTCTGAAGACTCCAAAACACCAACTCATGGAAAAAGGACAGTCATCCTTCCCTTACCCATCAAGAGAATCCAATTTCCCCATTGCCACTACCCTGGTTTTCAATGCACTGCCACCAGGATTATTAAAAACGACCATGTCCCAAAGCTCCTATGCCAAAGCCTCCACCGACAGGAGGAGAGACACCTCATTCCTGCCCCCACTAATGTGAGGAAGGACCAAACCCAAAAAAGCCAAAAAGTGGCAACGATGTGTATGCCCAAACCCCCAGGAGAGCGGCTCCAGGTCTGCCCCTCATTTGGAGTTCACACCCACTTTCCTAAAGCCAGGACGCTTCTCTTACTGCGGTATGCTGCGGTATGTGGTGTTAACACCCCCCCACACACACACACACACATCCTCACTGCTCACAGGACCTTGTTTCTGAACTGGGGGTGGTGGTCGCGGGGGACCTTTCATCATAGGGCTAATCCCCACTGCCCCAGTACTGGTCAAGGAGACCTAAGCAGTTCTGTTGGGGGTGGGGAGGTAGGCAAGTGCTTGGCTGGTATATGGGAACACGTGTAGTCTCAGTGCCACCTTTGCTTTAAATGAACATACAACATTTAGTGCTGCAGCAGCCATGCTGAGGCCACAAGGTAGCCAGTGTGGGTCCTGATGACATCAACCTACAGCCAAATGCATTCCTGTCTGATAACGATGGGTTGGCTGAGTTCACTCCCGCTCTGTCAGCATCACTGCTAATCCAACCTAGTCTTGCAGGCTGGCGTCCCCAGGGGCCAGGCCTCCACACTGAAATGTACCTCATCTCACTGTTCACTGACCCCCACGTTTCCTCTTTAGTTAATATTAATAGCATCATCAAATCTAAAAGAAGTAGCAGGTGCTCAACTCTTTTCCTCCTTCACTCCCCATTTCTAATTGCCTACCTAGGATCATTGATTGTATTTGTTAAAATAATGGAAGATTCTGCCCCTCCTCTTCAGCTCCGCCTACCTCAGGCTTAAGTTGTTCTGCCTCTTGTCTCTGCCTCAGTGCCTCTCAACGTGTGACCCAGACCACCACATCAGAACCCCTGGAACGTTTGTTAAAAATGCAGGTTACCGCTGGCCTGAAGGCAGTGAGCTATCTCAAACGATGGTTCACAATCAGTTACAGACTGAACTCCTTGCTCTATTCTCTACCCCATTCTCACTACTTCACTGGACTACTCTAAAAACAAAATACAGGTTATTAAAATAATAATATAGAAATAAAATAAAATAAAAAAGTAAAGAAAAAGCAAGTTACTGCTCCACTCCCAACCTCCTGAGCCTTGGAAATATGAATTTTTGCCAAGAGCCCAGGTGGTTCCTAAGCACACCAAGTTTGTTCTCTGTCCATCCTTCCTCCAACCTGCTGCCACAATTCTCTCAACGGGAGGATTTCATCCCAACTGCCACTACAATTACCTGACAAGCTTTGAGAAACAGTGACCACTGGCCCCACCCCACCAGTGATGAGCATCAGTGTGGGAGGGGGCAGGGAGCCACAGTGTTAAAAACTCCCAGGTGACTGGAAGAAGCATACAGTCTCAGAGCCAGGGCCCACTCCCAAACCTCTCCTTGCTTTCCTTGTCATCTAGGAAGGCTTCACGTGGCCCACCGGGCTCCTCCCAATCTGAGAGGCTCCTCTCTCACCCCTCCCAGAACCACCTGACCCAAACACAACCAACTCCTTTTATTTCCCCACTTTTTTGAATATACTCTTTCCTCCGCCTGGAAATCCTCAGCTCCTCTTCTCTTGGCTGGGAAATGACTAAGCTTTGAGACCCAAGTCAAATACCACCACCTTCGGGAAGTCTTCCCAGACTCCCCCAAGGCAGAACTAGCTATCACCTCCCCCCAGGCAGAACTAGCTATCACCGCTTTGCAAGTACATGAACATCCATTATGAGGCTGTCTCCCTCCCCAGACCAACAGTCCCTCAGGTTCAGTGGGTTTATTTATCTTAATCACGCCAGTGCCTCAGGAAGTTTTGTTTTTGTTTTGAAACAGGTTCTCACACTGCCAACCAGGCTGGGCTACAGTGGCTCAATCACAGCTCACCGCAGCCTTGACCTCTTGGGCTCAAGAGATCCTCCCATCTCAGCCTCCCAAGTAGCTAGGACTACAGGTGCGCTTGTTTTGTTTTGTTTTGCTTTGCTTTGTAGAGGCGGGGTCTCACTATGTTGCTCAGGCAATCCTCAGGCCTTGGCCTCCCTTATTGCAGGCATAAGCCACTACACCTCGCCAGGAAGTTTTACAAAATACTACAAAGGGCTAATATCCCTAATCTTTAAAGAAATTATAAAAATTGAGAACAGACTAAAAATCTGGTAGAAAAAGGGGCAAAAAATATGAAAACATTTGACAGAAAAAAATGCAAAAGGCGCTTAAACAAAGGAAAAGATGCTCAACCTAGCTCAGAAGAGAAAAACAAAACTAAGTGAAAATACTATTTGCACCATCAGACTGACAAAAAACAAACAAGGCTGAGCACAGTGGATCACGCCTGTAATCCCAGAACTTCGGGAGGCTGAGGCGGGAGGATAGCTTGAGCCCAGGAGTTTGAGACCAGCCTAGGCAACACAGTGAGGCCCCATCTCTACAAGTTTTTTTTTTTTTTTTGAGATGGAGTCTCACTCTATCGCCCAGGCTGGAGTGCAGTGGCACAATCTCGGCTCACTGCAACCTCTGCCTCCCCAGTTCAAGCAATTCTCCCGTCTCAGCCTCCTGAGTAGCTGGGACTACAGGCGCCCGCCACCACATCCAGCTAATTTTTGTATTTTAGTAAAGACGGGTTTCACCATGTTGCCCAGGCTAGTCTCGACCTCCTGAGCTCAGGCAATCCACCCGCCTTGGCCTCCCAAAGTGCTAGGATTACAGGCGTGAGCCACCACACCCGGCCTCAAATTTAGAAAAAAAAAAAAAATAGCTGGGCGTGGTGGTGCACACCTGTGGTCCAAGCTACTTGGGAGGCTGAGGTGAGAGGATCACTTGAGACCAGTAGTTCAAGGCCAGCCTGAGCAACACAGACCCTGTCTCTACAAAAAATAATAATAATTATTTAAAAATTAGTGCACCTATAGCTCCAGCTACTTGAGAGGCTGAGGTGGGAGGATCACCTGAGCCCAAGAGGTCGAGGCTGCTGCGGTGAGCTGTGATCGCACCACTGTACTCCAACTTGGGTGACAGAGCAAGACTCTATCTCAAAACAAACAAACAAACAAAAAAACCAAAGAGGCAACACATTCTGCTTCTATGGCAACGGGGAGACAGGCACTCAACACGACTGCAAAACGGGATGGCCCTGAAGACAAACATTTGGCAAAATCCAGAGCAGTTATTCATGCATTTACTCTTCTGATCTAGCAAGCCCACTCCTAGGAATCTATCCCAAAAGACACTTTGGCAAAATAGAAAAAAAAGTTTGTACAAGGCTATGTGCTACAAACTATTATAGCAGAACACTGAAAATAACCCAAATACCCACCAACAGGCTAGTGGTCGAATAAATTACGGTACATTCAAAATATGGAGTACCATATAACTATACAAGGATTGTGGAAGATATTTTTATACACTACGGAACCTCTCCAAATCAGAGCAAGTAAAAAGATAACTGTGCAGAACATGCATAGAACATGCTATTAAGGGGCCAGGCGCAGTGGCTCACGCCTGTAATCCCAGCACTTTGGGAGGCCGAAGCGGGTGGATCACCTGAGGTTAGGAGTTCAAGACCAGCCTGGCCAACATGGTGAAACTCCGTCTCTACTAAAAATACAAAAAATTAGCTGGGAGTGGTGGCACACACCTGTAATCACAGCTACTCGGGAGGCTGAAGCAAGAGAATCGTTTGAACCCAGGAGGTGGAGGTTGAAGTGAGCCGAGATCGTGCCATTGCTCTCCTGCCTGGGTGACAAGAGTGAAACTCCGTCTCCAAAAAAAAAAAAAAAAAAAAGGAACATGCTACGCTATTAATATCTTTTTGTAAAAAGGAGGACATTGTTTGTGTGTGAAGAAGATAAACTTAGTTTTTTTTTTCCAAAAAGAAACAATGGAAGGATTAACCAAAATAATAATAAAAATGGTTAAGTGGTTACCTCTAGGGAAAGGGAACAGGGTAGATGAGACAGGGAAGGCACACACATGATTTTAAAAGGACTCCCAGGACAGGGGCAGCACCCGCAGCAGCACCCAGGAGGCTGAGCTCTGACTTGCTCCAGGCTCAGGTGTAAGCACTTTCCAAAGATTACTCATTTAATCCATACAACGTTCCCCTTCCTGTGTCCAAGTGTTCTCATTGTTCAATTCCCACCTATGAGTGAGAACATGCGGTGTTTGGTTTTTCTGTCCTTGTGATAGTTTGCTGAGAATGATGGTTTCCAGCTTCATCCATGTCCCTACAAAGGACCCTAGAACTTAAAGTATAATAAAAAACATATATATTAAAAAAAAATCCATACAATGACCTCCTAAGGGAGGCCCAGGAAACATTCCCATTTCACAGAACCATGGGCAAGGAGAAGAAATAATCAGTATTTATGGAGTGCCTACTATGTGCCAGGAGCTTATGTAGAATCTGTATTTAATCTGCCCCATACAATAGTTATAGCCCCATTTTACTAATGAAGAAATTGGGGTCCAGAGAGGACATAGACATCTACAGTGAAGTGACAGATGTGGACTTCAGACCCAGATCTGTCTGATTTCAACTCTCTCCATGCTTAGACAGCAAATGAAAAACATTTTTTATGTCTGGGGAAGATTTACTTTTCATTATTTTTGTCTGTACAAGTTCAGACTAAATTATAGCCATAACCAGTCACCCTACTTTTTCTGAAAGTGAATTTATGCACAAACCCATCTCCACTACACACCAAAGGCGAAACAAACCTTAACCCCCAGCAGCAGGTGCGACATCCCAAAATACACACATGCGCTCTGTGGTTCATTAAGGTAGGAAAGATTCAGCTTCTGCGAAACCTACAGAACAAAATCCATCTCCCTATCGAGCTGTGGAATGAAATCACTCTGTTTCAATAAATGTTTATTGAACACTTGAGTGCTGAGTGTGGCTTGCAATACTACAGTGAAAGGGACTCGACCCTTGACCTTTCAGGAAACTGCTCCATCAGAGGGATACTTGACAGTAGGAAGAACCAGAAGTATTTGCTTTAAAATGCTCAGGAGAAAAGTAGGGGTGTGGGTAGGGGGTGGAGACAGATGAAACAAGAAAGACACAGGCTGATGTGATTAATTCAACGGTCTCTACTTCCGTGTCTGCTTGGAAATTTCCATAAATTGTTTTCAAGTGTCATAAGAGGGGTGCAGACAGGGCGCTTTGGAAACTTGGAAGTCAGTGAAACACACCAGAGGCCTGAAGCTGGTGCTGCCTGGACTAGAGGCAGCCTCCCCAGCTTCCTGACCTATGGATCCCACCTCAGAGGGCAAGGCACCAAACAGAAAAGCACCTGAGAACAATGCGGCAGTGCTGCCACTATCAGCATTCAACCTCCTCTCCCCTGGCATGTGCTCAACCAGCTGCTTCCTCACCTGTTTTCTGACATTTGGAGAATAAAGTCCTGTGTTAAATGGCCCAACTCATGGCAGACTTGTTTGCTGGAGGTTACTTTTTATTTACTTAAGACCACCAAGAGCCCAGCCACGCTAACACCTACTATTCACATGCCGAGATAACATCCTTCCCATCTGTTTTCTTTCTTTTTTTTCTTTTTTTTCCTTTTTTGAGACAGAGTCTCATTCTGTCGCCCAGGCTGGAGCGCGGTGGCACGATCTCGGCTCACTGCAACCTCCACCTCCCAGGTTCAAACGATTCTCCTGCCTCAGCCTCCCAAGTGGCTGGGACTACGGGCGTGTGCCATCACGCCTGGCCAATTTTTGTTATTTTTAGTAGAGACAGGATTTTACCATGTTGGCCAGGCTGGTCTCGAACTCCTGACATCGGGTGATCCACCGGACTTGGGCGCCCAAAGTGCTGGGATTACAGGCATGAGCCACCACGCCCGGCTCCATCTGTTTTCAAGTGTGTAAATAAAACAGAAAAGTGGGGCTGGGCATGGTATGTCACACCTGTAATCTCAGCACTTTGGGAGGACGAGGCAGGCAGATCACTTGAGCCCAGGAATTCAAGACCAGCCTGGGCAACATAGCATAGTAAAGTATCCCTCTGCTTTTATAGAGACTCTATCTCTATAAAAACTTTTAAAATTGGCTGGGTATGGTGGCATACGCCTGCAGTCCTAGCTACTAAGGAAACTGGGGCAGAAAAGTTGCTTGAACCCAGGAATTTAGGCTCCAGTGAGCTATGACTGAACCACTGCACTGCAGCCTGGATGACAGAACAAGACCGTGCCTCTAAAAAGAAAAATGTAAAAATAAAATTGTCAGGTGCTATGGCTCACACCTGTAATCTCAGCACTTTGGGAGAAAGAGGTGGGCAAATCACTTGTGCCCAGGAGTTCAAGACCAGCCTGGGCAACACGGTGAGATGCCATCTCTACAAAAAATCTAAAAATTAGCTGGGCATGGTGGCCCATACCTGTAGTCCTAGCCTCTGGGGAGGCCAAGACAGGAAAATCACCTGAGCCCAAGAGTCCAAGGCTGCAGTGAGTGATGATGGCACCACTGCACTCCAGCCTGGGTGACAGGGCGAGACCCCGTGTCAAGGCCAGGCGCAGTGGCTCACGCCTGTAATCCCAGCACTTTGGGAGTCTGAGGCAGAAGGCACACTTGAGGTCAGGAGTTCGTAATCAGCCTGGCCAACATGGTGAAACCCTGTCTCTGCTGAAAATACAAAAACTAGCCAGGCATCGTAGCAGGCACCTGTAATCCCAGCTACTCAGGAGGCTGAGGCAGGAGAATCACTTGAACCCGGGAGGTGGAGGTTGCAGTGAGCCGAGATCACACCACTGCACTCCAGCCTGGGTGAGAGCGAGACTTCATCTCAAAAACAAACAAACAAACAAAAACAAAAAAAACCCTGTGTAAAAAAAAAAAATTAAACTAAAAGACATAAAGGGGAGTTACATGATGTACAAATTATTCAATAACTTGCTTTTCCAAACAACAATATACTGCAACTAGATCTGCTTTTACTTTGTGTATTATTATTCTATATGTTATTTCTTTTTCATTTATTCAAATGTTTAGGGATGCTAATGTCATTATGAACATTATCTAAAGAACTGATAACATTGCACGCATCAAACAGTTTACATCTCAAGCTAAAATACATCCTATTCATATCAAGACCTTGAGCTCACTTCTTAGGTAAGTGTAGATTTAATTTCAACACAGGAGTTGAAAGTTCAAACAAGGGGGAACATAATTAAGTCGTTCCATATAATGTACCCATTTATTAGGATATTATGAAACTTAAATCCTGTATTTTCACAAGCATGCCCTTTTGTATATTTGACTCCTGAAATTCAATCTGTTTTGATCCAACAGTATCGTTTCAGCTGTTTTAGGACATTCCAGATAAGGCTGAGGGCAGCTGCTTCTCCAATCTGAATCATCTCCACGTCACAACACAGCCCCTCTTACCATTAGGAGTCTTCCATTGACGGGAAGCATGTTATGCCTTTTTGTTTCCTTTGGTATAAAATAATACATGCTCATTTTAGAAAATGCAGGCAAGCAGATGTAAACATAAAAATAATACAAATCTCACCACCTAACCCGACCCACAATATCATAAGAAACTTCCTCCGTGTTATTTCCTATTCCATCTTATTTCCAGTGTTTTACACACTGCTGAAACGCATTCTGTAAACACAGCTTCGCCTCTTTATTTCTCCAACATCACATAGTACCGTCCCTGTTGCTGACCTCCTCAATTACCTGGCTGGCAGCTTCAGGCATTGAGAGCCATGCACATTGCCACTTTCCAGCTTTGTGACCTGGTGCAGCCACCATGAAGTTGTGAAGGTGAAGTGGGACAGCACGCGCACAGAGCACAGCACGGGACCCGCCCGCAGTACCCATTTTATCAGCTATTATCATTAACTCACTGAGTCATTACACTGGAGTGTTCTGGTGGGGTTTGTCCTAAGCTGGACTTGGACACTGGGGTGGCTTGCAACTTTTTATATTTAATGGTACAATAAACATGTTGTTCATGAGCTTTATATTTAAGATTATTTTCTCAGGATAGAGTCCCAGTGTTAGAATTCTGGACCAAGAGTCTCTTGGAGTTATTCAGACACTCACTAAGTCACTTTCCCAAATGGTTATACCCATTTCTGCTGCCAGAGGACAAAGAAGCTGCAGTTAACTACCAAGGAGTTTCTACAAACAGCAAATAATACAAAACACTAGTTAGATATAAAAACACAGACAATTGTGACTAATGGACAATAAAAATACACATTGGCCAGATCTCCCTTAAATGTAAGAAAAAAAATAAAAATTAAAAAAAAAAGACTTATGTCTTAATTCTTGACAAACCTGGTTCTACTTGCCCTCTTGAAGCACACAAAAATGTTCAGCAACCACAGAGAGAAAGGAGATAGAGAACAACTTCTCAGACTTCCCTTCTGCCCAGCTTCTGAGTACTAGTCCATTTTTATCAGAGTTCAAATACTGAGAATGTCAAATGAGACTGGATTTAATGAGATGAGTGTTATTTCAAGTTTACCAAACTATAAAAAGAACTGAATCAAGTCCATATTCTCAAACATAAAATGTAGAAGAGGCTGGGCTCAGTAGCTCACGCCTGTAATCCTAGCCACTTTGGGAGACTGAGGCGGGCGGATTGCTTGAGCCCAGGAATTCGAGGACAGCCTAGGCAACATAGCAAGAACCCGTCTCTACAAAAAATACAAAAATTACCCAGGTGTGGTGGTGCATGCTTGTGGTCCCAGCTACTCAGGAGGCTGACTGGGAGGATCACTTGAGCTCGGGAGGTAGAGGCTGCAGTGAACGGAGATCATACCACTGCACTCCAGCCTGGGTGACAGTGAGATCCTGTCTGAAAAAAATAAAATAAAACAAAATAAAATGTAGATGAGTTCCATGGCAGTAAAAATTCTGAAATGCAGATACTTCCTTTTAAACTCTTTAAATATGTAAATGTCTCATAACCATACATAAGAATGATTCTATTAAGAATCACTTTATGAACTCCATTGAGATTTCCAAGCACTCCTGAGGAGCTCTGTGGCTGTTTTTCAATACTGCAGGGCTGTCTGCACAGCTGGGGAGGCAGACTCCAACTGGAGAGCGCTCCTCTTCAACAGCTGGTGCTGGAGCAACTGCACATCCACACAGGAAGAATGAAGTTGGAACCTGACCTCACACCACATACAAAAAATAACTCAAAATGGATCAAAGACTAAATATATTAATAATAGCTGAAACTACAAAACTCGTGGAAGAACATAGGTATAAATCTTGTCTTTGGATTAGGCAATGGTTTCTTAAGCATAACACCAAAAGCACGAGCAACAAAAGAAAAAAATTGGACTTCATCAAAATTCAAAACTTTTGTGCCTCAAAGGACACTATCAAGAGAGTGAAAACACAACTCACAGAATGAGAGGAAATATTTGCAAATCATGTATCTGATAAAGTTCTAGTACCCAAAATATATAAAAAACTCTTACAATTCAACAACAAGAAGACAACCCGATTGGAAAATGGGCAATGGACCTGAATAGGTATTTCTTCAAAAAATATATACAAATGGTCAATAAACATATGAAATGATGCTCAACATTGTTAGTCATTGAGGAACTGAATAATATAATATTCTTAAATTATTAAATATTATAACATTTATATTATAATAAGTGGAAAGTAACAAGAGTTGGCAAGTGTGGAAACATCAGAACTCTCATGCACTGCTGGAGGGAACATACAATGGTGCAGCCTTTGTGGTTTAGCAGCTCCTCAATAAGATAAACACAGAATTATCCAGCAATTTAACTCACATGTACGTACCCAAAAGAAATGAAAACAGGTCAGCTGGGCACAGTGGCTCACACCTGTAATCCCAGCACTCTGGGAGGCCAAGGCAAGAAGATCACTTGAGCCCGAGTGTTCGAGACCAACCTGGATAACACAGCAAGACCTCATCTCTACAAAAAATTAAAAAATTAGCCAGGCATGGTGGCACACATCTGTAGTCACAGCTGCTTGGGAAGCTGAGGTGGGAGGACTGCTTGAGCCCAAGATGTGGAGGCTGCAGTGAGCCATGACTGCACCACTGCACTCCAGCCTGGGTGACAGAGACCCTGTCTCAAAAATTTAAAAAAAAATACAAAATAAATGAAAATAGGTATTTAAATAATAATTTGTACATGAATGTTCACAGCAGTTCTATTCACAATAGTCAAAAGGTAGAAGCAACCCAAATATCTGTCAACCGATGAATGAGCAAACAAAATGTGGTACATTGACAGAACAGAGTATTATTCACTCAAACAAAAAAAAAAAAAAAAAAAGAAGAAGTTCTGAAACGTACAACGTAAATAAGCCTTGAAAACACAGTGCTCAGTGGCCGGGTGCGGTGGCTCACGCATGTAATCCCAGGACTTTGGGAGGCCAGGGCGGTCAGATCACTTGAGGTCAGGAATTGGGAGACCAGCCTGGCCACAACATGGTGAAACCCCCTCTGTACTAAAAATACAAAAATTAGCCAGGCATGGTGGAGTGCACCTGTAATGCCAGCTACTGGGGGGGCTGAGGTGAGAGGATCGCTTGAACCTGGGAGGCAGAGATTGCAGTGAGCTGAGATTGAGCCACTGCACTCCACCCTGAGAGAAAGAGCAAGACTGTATCTAAAAAATAAATAAATAATAAATGAAATATCCAGAATAGGCAAATCCATAGAGATGGAAAGCAGATTAGTGGTTGTCAGCAGCTGGGAGGAGGGGGAAATGAGGAGTGACTCACGATGGGGAAGGGATTTCCATGTAGGGGATACAGAAGTTCCCAAACTAGATAGAGGTGATGGTTACACAATACCATTAATGTACTTAATGGCACTTAACTGTGCACTTTAAAATGGTTAAAATAGCAGGTTTAAAAGAAAAAGAGTGTCCCTCTTCCATCATTCTATAAGGACAAAGCACCATTCATCAGGGGATGAGAGTCCAGCCCTTCCTGCAGGGGAAAGGGAGGCAGACACCCTTTACCCTCAGACACAGAAGAGCAGAGCCAGCAGAGTGGGCAGCAGGTGATCAGCAAACACCCACTACTCAGGAACACACATGGACACGGAAAATGGGGCCATTGCACATGAATTCAAGGTGAGGGGAGAGCCCGCCCAGAGCAGCAGAGACACAGCCTGGGCCCGTGGCCGATCACCCCACGGCCAGCCCCAGATTGTGCCCAGCCAAGTCCCCAGGAAACAGCAATTCAAACCCGCAGCCTGGCAAACGCCATTCAAGGAACATCACATCAGAACAGAAAGGGGGAGGGGAGAGGCTGATGGAAAAACATGCCATAAAGTACATGCACAAACCTGAAATGAATGATTGCAGAAAATGGAAGACCATTTTAGAAAAGATGTGATTCTTGTCCTAAGATGCAGGAAGACGTGGCCTTTATTTAAAAAGTTAAAATTAAAATGTTTTTAAAAGACAGGGAGCACCAAAATGAGAATAGGTTGAAATTAAAAGACAACAAGCTAAGATGCTGACCAAGATTAGAAAACAAAAACAATCACACTACGGAAAAATTAAAATCCAACTGGAAGGAGTCAAAGGGAAAAATGTACATTACAGAAAATGTCACTGGTGGCAAAAAGACAAAACTGAGGCCCCCAGAATGCTGATGGATACAGTGGACAGGGAAAAATACTGAGATGGACAGAGTGGTAAGGAGACAGATGGTCTAACCTACAGATGAGAACCTCCCCCCAAAAAATAAAATAAATGGAGATGCAATATGAGAGGCAGAGACAAAAGCCTTCCTCACAGAAAGCTACCCAACTCACTTTATGAGGCTGAGACAACCCTAAACCTAAGCCAATCCAAAAAAGGAAAACAAAGACCTGCCAGCCTGAAATCTTGAAACTCCTAGGCACTCTCGTCCCAGGACTGGCAGGAAATGGGCAGCAATGCACGCTGTGGGCTGGCAGCCTCGGCCACAGGACGCACACTGTCCCTTCTACCTGAAACTCCAGCTCCAGGACTCTATCCAGAAGATGAAAACAGATCGCAACATAGCAAGCAAGCCTTTAAAGACCAAAGAGCCAGATGAAGGTGTGTTTCCAGGAAAATCAGGATAATTTTAGCATCAAAAAGAATGACTGTAACTGATTGTAAAACACTGAATAAAAATTGCCATGAATCCATATAGTGATACTCAGGGTGGGTGTGGGGGTTTAGGGTTGGGGGGAGAGAAACATTTGCCTCTACTGGGGATGACTATTTACCAAATCCTTACCTCGAACATTGGTAATTAAACAAAGAATCCAGCAATTGACCTGCCTTTTTAGGAGGAACTGTGGTCCTTAACTCGGTTGAAGTGAGCAAATATCCTTTTATTTTCACTTTTTTGATGGAGTCTCGCTCTGTCGCCCAGCCTGGAGTGCAGTGGTGTGATCTTGGCTCACTGCAACCTCCTCCTCCTGGGTTCATGCGATTCTCCTGCCTCGGCCTCTGGAGTAGCTGGGATTACAGGTGTCCACCACGATGCCCAGCTAATTTTTTTGTATTTTTAGTAGAGATGGGGTTTTACCATATCGGCCAGGCTGGTCTCGAACTCCTGACCTCAAGTGATCGCCTGAGCCTTGGCCTCCCAAAGTGCTGAGATTACAGGCATGAGCCACCGCGCCTGGCCCCAAGAAAATATCTTTACAGAATAACACCAACAGATAAATGTGGAATAAATGACACAATGGGGGTGGCAGGAATCTCCATTTTAAAAACTCTTATAATAAAATTGCTTCAGGCAAGTCCTGTATTGTGTATGAATATGGAAACCATTTGGGGTAAAGGATATTTGCACAGTGCCCAGGAATCACCTATTACTTCCTAACTGTAAAGGGGAAATCACATCTCCAATGAAAAGATCTGGTCAGGCAAGGTGGCTCATGCCTGTAATCCCAGAACTTTGGGAGGCCAAGGCAGGAGGATCACTTTAGGTCAGGAGTTCAAGACCAGACTGGCTTAACGTAGGGAGATCCCACTTCTATTAAAAAAAAAAAAAAAAAAAGAAAAAAAAAAGAGGAAGAAAAGACCTAGAAATCTGTAAACCAAGCGATGACACAGCAGAGGGGGACAGCCTGACAGGACACACCCACCTCCAAGTGGGATGCGGTAGAGCACAGAGCATTCCATATTTAGGGATATGCCCAAAATGTCAACCAAAATATAGAAGTGAGAGTCTTTGAAACTGCTTACTTCTACTTTATAGGAAATATAGGAGATAAAACAACAATGTAAAAGAATGATGGGAAAACAATCAGAAAAATCCAGAAAGATTATTAGGTTGGTACAAAAGTAATGGAGGTTTTTGCCATTAAAAGTCATTAATACAGCTGGGTGCGGTGGCTCATGCCTGTCATCCCAACACTTTGGGAGGCCGAGGTGGGCGGATCACTTGAGGTCATGGGTTCGAGACCAGCCTGGCCAACATGGTGAAACCCCGTCTCTACTAAAAATAAAAAAATCAGCCGGGCATGGTGGCGGGCGCCTGTAGTCCCAGCTGCTTGGGAAGCTGAGGCAGGAGAATCATTTGAACCTGGGAGGCGGAGGTTGCAGTGAGCCGAGATCGCACCACTGCACTCCAGTCTGGGCGACAGAGTGAGATTCTGTCTGAACAAAAAAAAAAAAAAGTCATTAATACCAGACAACTGCCCTTGTCTCTTGAAAAAGTTGATGTTATAGGCAGGTAGGGAACGGGAAGAGAGAACAGTGGAAGCTGTTCTAATTTAACAAACTAAAGAGATAACAACAACCAAAGATGATGCGTAAAACTTGATGGGTACCTGGTTCCCAAAAGGAAGGTCATAAATGGCATTTCTGGTTCAACTGGGGAAATTTGAAAATGATCTGGATATTAAATGTTAAAAAGTTTTTTCAGGTATAATGGTATTGTTATATAAGAAAATATCCTCATGTTGTGGAGACATACACTGAGGTATTTAGAGGTAAACTGTGCTGGTTCTGGGGCTTCTCTGCAGCCCCCTTTCTTTCTCCTCCCCTGCCAGTCCTTCCTTCTTTGACTAGTCCTCCTCTTCCTCTTCTGCCCACCTCCTAAAAGCCAACGGCCCCAGCATCCAATCGGGCCCTGACCCCGTCACACTGTCCTCACTCTCGGGCTCAGATGAACCATCCTCACTGCTGCTGCATGACTGGGGGCTGGGGAGGAAGGGACAAAGGAGGCCCTATCTGGGTTCAGTGAGACCTACATGGCTTCATGGCACACTAGCAAGCCACCTAACTGCTGAATCTATGTCGTTCATTGGCAAAACTGGGGTAGTGGAGAATAAGAGGTTCCAGGATAGCATGCAGCAGAGCCAGGTAACAGCAAAATCCCCAAAGCTGTCCTCAACCACAGCTCCTTATATCAGAGAAGAGTTCCATTATCCAGCTCATCACAGGAATCACAAACCTCCTCTCCCCCAACACCCACACCAAACCATCACTGAGTTCTCACAATGTCACCTCCTCAGCATCTCTCAAATCCAGCTACTTCCCCCATCGCCACAGCCACAGCACAGGCCCAGGCTGCCAGCATCTTTCACTGCATTGGGTCAGCCAGCATCCACTCAGGCAACCGCAGCGCAGCTAGAGCCATCTTTTCAACCACGATCCAATTAGGTCATGGTCCTTCCTAAAATCTTAAAGCAATAGTATCCCACTAATCTGGGGGAAAATAGGCAGAGCTCCCTAACACAGCCTCCAACCCTCTCCAGTGTCAGATCCCAACCAAAGGCTCCCGATGCTTACCAGCCCTAACCACCACAGCCTTCTTTCAGCCCCAAGATTTCCCCAAGCTCCCTCTTGCCACAGGGCCTTTGCATACCTCTTTGATCAGCAACCTCCTCCTCCTCATTCTTCTATAAATCCTTTAAAAAAATACTCTATTTCCTTTGAGTTTAATGTGTTGCTATTCTTCTAACTACCTGATTTTCAGCATGTCTTCTTTTCTAATATACGTATTTTAAGCTATAAATTTCCCTCTAAACATGACTTCAGCTGTACCCCATTTTATATATACATATTTGCTATTGTTCAACTCAAAATATTTAAGCTTTCTGTGACTCATAAATTACTTAGAAATAGACATCTAAAATTTCCAAATACATTGAGATTTTCTTTTTATTGATCCTGGCTTAATTCTGTTGTCAGAACATACTCTATAATTTCAACTCTTTTGAAAGCTGTTGAGACTTGTGTTATGGCCAGCATATAGTGAATTTCGACAAATGTGCCTGTGCATTGGAAAAAAACTTAGATTCTACAATTGTTAGGTACAGTGTTCCATACATTTCCATTAGGTCAAGTTTAGTACTTGTGGCAGGTGCAGTGGCTCACGCCTGTAATCCCAGCACTTCAGGAGGCCGAGGCAGGTGGATCACCTGAGGTCAGGAGTTCAAGACCAGCCTAACCAAGACGGTGAGACCCCCCCTCCATCTCTATTAAAAATACAAAAATTAGCCAAGCATGGTGGCATGGTGATGGACACCTGTAGTCGCAGCTACTCTGGAGGCTGAGGCAGGAGAATCACTTGAACCTGGGAGGTGGAGGTTGCAGTGAGCAGAGATTGCACCATTACACTCCAGTCTGGGCAACAGAGCGAAACTCCGTCTCCCAAAAAAAAAAAAAAGTTCCGTTCTTGTGTTGTTCAATTCTACACTTTTACAAATTTCTTTGTCTACTTGATGTATACAGCATGTAAGACAGGTGTGTTAAAACATCTCACTATGATTATGAATTTGTTTCCCTTACAATTGTGTTAATTTTTCTTCTATATATTTTGAAGTCATTACTTCCAAATTTTAAATTATTATATCCAAAATGAACTTTTTCTCATTTATCAGCATATCTTTATTAATAATTTTGCCCTTAAAATCTACTTTGATACTAAAATAGCTACACCAAGTTTCTTTTGGTTAGTGTTTGCATAGTATCTTTTCCTATTCTTTTACTTTCAATCTTTTAATATCCTTATGTTTTAAACGTATCTCTTTCAAATAGCCTAGTCAGGATTTGCTTTTGTATCCCATCTCACAATCTCTGTATTTTAACTGGAGCATTTAAGTCCACCTAGATTTAATGTGATTACTGACATACTGGGATTTCAGTCTACTAACTTACTGTTTGCTTTCTCTTTGTCCCAATTGTTCAGTGTTTTCTCTCCTTTCTTGCCTTCTTTCAGATTTAGAATCTCTGATTCTATTTTTCTTGTTTAGCTTAGCTATCACACACTATCACAATTTTGGTGGCCACCACACAGATTACACACAACATGCATCCCTGACTTGTCTAATATAATTGGATCTTTGTTCTTCTTCCTGGAAATGGAAAGACTTTAGAAAAGTTCTACTCTATTTGCCTCCTTTCTAACCTACAGGACATTGTTGTCATGTATTTTAATTCTATATAATTTAAACCCAAAGGCATAATTTTTATAGTTAATAATCATTTGGTCTTTCCCACGTAGAAACCCTTAAGTCTCTATTCCTTCCTGTAACTCTAACGCTTAACTTGAGCATTTTCCTTTAGCCAAAACAAACAAAAAACACTTAATGTTTCCTTTAGTGTGGGTCTGCTGGCAAAAACATTGTTTTTGTTTATATGAAAGTATCTTTATTTCAACTGTATTTTCTGAAGGACATTTTTGCTGCATACAGAATTCTGGGTTCACAGTAACTTTCTTTGAGGACTTAAATTTCAATAGACTTTTGGTTTCCATTATTTCTGTTAAGAACACAGCTGTCATTCTTTTTTTGTTTGGTTTTTGTTTTTAGAAGCAAAGTCTCGCTCTGTTGCCCAGGCTGGAGTGCAGTGGTGTGATCTCGACTCACTGCAACCTCCGCCTTTCTCTCTTTCTCTTCATCTATGGTTTTCAACGGTGCTACAGTTATCAGTTGCTTAACAATGAGCATATATTCTGAGAAATGTGTTATGAGGTGATTTCATCCTATGTGAACATCACAGAGTGTACTTTCACAAATCTAGATGGCACACACCTCATCTGTATGGCATGACCTATTGCTCTTGGACTACAAACCCATAGAGCACATCACTGTGCTGACACTGTAGGCAACTATAACTCAACGGCAAGTATTTGCGTATCTAAATATAACTAAACATAGAAACAGTACAGTAAAAATATGTCATAAAAGATTTTTAAAATGGTACACCTGTATAGGGTACTTACCGTAACTGGAGCTTGCAGGGCTGGAAGTTGCTCTGGATGAGTGAGTGAATGACTGGTGAGTGAATGTGATGGCCTAGGACACTACTGACCAGTACTCTATGCTTTGTAAACACTGTACACTTAGGCTATACTACATTTATTTTTTGAAAGACTTTCTTTCTTCAATAACAAATTAACCTTAGCTTACTGTAATATTTTTACTTTATAAACTTTTAATTTAATTTTTTACTCTTTTGTAGTAACATTTAGCTTGAAACACACACTGTACACTTGTACAAAAGTATTTTCTTTATATCCTTATTCTATAACCTTTTTTCTATTTTTAATTTTTTTAATTATTTTACTTCTTAAATATTTTTGTTAAAAACTAAGAAACAAACACACACATTAGCCTAGACCTACACAGAGTCAGGATCATCAGTATCATTATCTTCCGCCTCCACATCCTATCCCACTGGAAGGTCTTCAGGGACAATGACGTGCATGGAGCTGTCACCTCCTATGATAACAATGCCTTCTTCTGGATACCTCCTGAAGGACCTGCTTGAGGCTGTTTTACAATTTGTTTTTCTTTTTTCTATAAGTAGGAAGAATATACTCTAAAATAATAAAAAGTATAGATAGTAAATACATAAACCAGTAACATAGTTGTTTATTATCATCATCAACTATTATGTACTGTATATACTTGTATGTGCTATACTTTTCTACCACTTGCAGTGCAGTAGGTCTGTTTACACCAGCATCACCACAAACACATAGGTAATTCATTGCCCTACAACATTATAACAGCTACCACGTCACTAGACAATTGGAATTTTTCAGCTTCATTATAATCTTATGGGACCACCTTTGTCCATGTGGATCATCATCCGGAAACATCATTATGCAGAGCACAAGGGTGTACCAGGAATTGATTAGATATGGTTCTTTCAGTTCATACGGCTATCGAATCTGTTCATGGTACCTGTTATTTGTTGTAGAAAATTCTCAGGTATTACTTTTCTTTCTTTTTTTTCTATTTAATACAGAGTTTCGCTCTTGTCGCCCAGGCTGTAGTGTAATGGTGTGGTCTCAGCTCACTGCAACTTCCACTTCCCAGGTTCAAGCGATGCTCCTGCCTCAGCCTCCCGAGTAGCTGGGATTACAGGCATCTGCCACCACACCCAGCTAATTTTTGTACTTTTAGTAGACACAGGGTTTCACCATGTTGGCCAAGCTGGTCTTGAACTCCTAACCTCAGGTGATCCGCCCACCTCAGCATCCAAAACTGCTGGGATTACAGTCGTGAGTCACTGCACCTGGCCACATTATCTTTTCAAATATTGTGTCTCCTCAATTTTCTCTCACTTCTCCTCTCTTGTGACAATTAAACACAAGTAAGACCTTCTTACTATATCTGTCTCCCACCCTCTCCAAATTTTTCCATTTTTTATGTCTCCAGGCTTCCTTGTGGGTATTTTCTTCTGAGCTATCTTCTGGTTCACACAATTTTTTCAGCCTGGGTCTAATCTGCTCTTTTTTTGGTTAGTTAATTTTGATCACTATGCTTTTTCAATTTTATAATTTTCTTTTATTGGCTGGGTGAGGTGGCTCACGCATGTAATCCCAGCACTTTGGGAGGCCGAGGCGGGCAGATCACCTGAGATTGGGAGTTCGAGACCAGCTTAGCTAACATGGTAAGACTCCGTCTCTATTAAAAATACCAAAAAATTAGCTGGGCGTGGTGATGGGCACCTGTAATCCTAGCTACTCGGGGGGCTGAGGCAGGAGAATTGCTTGAACCCAGGAGGCAAAGGTTGTAGTGAGCTGAGATCATGCCACTGCACTACAGCCTGGGTGACAAGAGTGAGACTCCGTCTTAAAAGAAAAAAAAAATGTCTAGTATCTTTAGTAGAGGCGGGATCTTGCCATGTTGGCCAGGCTGGTCTCAAACTCGTGACCTCCAATGATCCACCTGCCTCAGTCCAAAAGTGCTGAGATTATAGGCGTGAGCCATCTGGCCAGTGTGGACTAGAATTTTCATCTGGTTCTTTTCCATAGTTTCTAGTTCTCTGCCAAAACTCTCCATCTGATCTCGTGTCTCCTCCAACACAACGAGCACAGTTGTTATAAAGTCTGGGTCTGGAGTCTGGAAGCCCTGTGGGTCTGTCTACAGCCTGTAGTTTCGACTGGTTTTAGCTCAAGTGCCTCGCCTCCCTTGATGTCTATTTTTTTACTGTATGCACAATCATGAACGTACAAACAGACTCGTGAAAGTCATTAGAGGCCTCCATTGATAACTGGGAGGATTAGAGGGAGATATCTCCCTCTAGAGAGGATTAAAGTTTGCTTCTGTTGGGAATCTAGAGACACTAGTACACTGGGATTACTTTAATTTCAGAGGACTGAGGTGATTTGAAGCAGGGCTGCAGTCCTTCCAATACTTCTGGCTCCTGCGCATTCCTTGGAAGTGGCTTCTTTGGATCCCAATCCAAATTGTGAGGGGAGGGTGTCACCCAGGACTGTTGCCCTTTGGCAGAACCTGGCACCTCAGCCCTGCTAAGGCACTCAGACAGTCTCACAGGGCTCAGCCTCTTGGCTCCCATGTTTTGTTCAGGGCCCAGTGTTCTTTCCCCAGGGCTGCCCTAGGGCTGCCATAAAACTTCAAGGCTTAAAACAAAACTTGGAAAAAAAAAAAAAAAAAAAAAACTTGACTGTCTCACTGCTCTGGGGGCTGGAAGTCGGAGATCAAGGGATCAGAAGGCCGCACTCCCTCTAAAGGCTCTAGGGGAGATTCCATCTGTTATCTCTTCCAGCTTCTGGTGGCCCCAGGCATTCCTTGGTTTGCATCAACGAACTCTAATCTCCGGCTCTATTTTCCCATAACCTTTTTCCCAACATGTCTTTCTGTCCAAATCTCCCTCCCCTTCCTCTTATAAAGAAACCAACACTGGATTTAGAGTTTCTCCTAAGTTCACGATGATTTACTCTCAAAATCTTTAATTAGCCAGGCACAGTGGCTTGAGCCTACGCTCCCAGCTACTCAGAAGCCTGAAGCAGGAGGATCACTTGAGCCCAGGAGTTTGAGACCAGCCTGGGGAATATAGCAAGACCCTATCTCAAAATAAAAAATTTTGGCCAGGCACAGTAGCTCATGTCTGTAATTCTAGCACTTTGGGAAGCCAAAGGGGGAGGATCGCTTGAGCCCAGGAGTTTGAGACCCCAAGCATGGGCAACATAGTGAGACCCTCGTCTCCATAAAAATGTGTTTTTAAATTAGCCAGGCATCATGGAATGCATCTGGAGTCCCAGCTACTCAGGTGGCTGAGGCAGGAGGATTGCCTGAGCCCAGCCAGAGACTGCAGTATGCCACTGCACTCCAGCCTGGACGACCGAGCAAGACCCTGTCTCAGAAAAAAAGAAAAAAAATTTTTTTAAAGATATTTAACTAATATCTTATTATGTGGGCATCCTGAAGTTCTAGGTGGACCAAATTTGGTAGAGATGCCAAATCCACTACAGACGCCACTACAGATTCCAAGGTCAAAAGCAGCCCCAAATACCACACTCACTTCCACAGATCTTCAGCCACCCCAGATCCTAGTCCAGAAATTCAGCATCATCTTATTAGCAGACTGTGCTTGGAAGAGTGGCGCTGCAGTCACTCAGCTCACCACTGCCAGAAGCAGAAGGCACTGCTCCCTACTCACCTTCCAGACCCAGCCAGTCACTGCCTCAAGAAGCCCTCCTAGACCTCCCTGATATCAGGTCAAATTCACCTATGATGTCCTCTCAAAGTATTCTGGCCCTCTCCTCATCAGCACCCGTCCCCATCACAACTTCATATTAACTGTGTGATTGTTTTATTAATGTCTTCTAGACTATCATCTCTAAAAATTTTTGTTGTTACTCAATAAGATACCCCTGGTGCCTCGCACAACAGTTAACAATGTTAAGATCTCAAATATTTGCTGTTAAACTGAACCAGTGAAATACAAAATGTAATACCTAGCCCATGGTATTCCCACTAGTACTCAATAAATTAACGATTTCTTTAAAAAATGGTCTTTGTTAATTTTCAGCCAGATTTGTTTGTATTTGCTCTTCTGGAGCCGAGAGATGGAGACTCAGACCAGCCTGAGCTGGAGAAAAATGGAATCAGGGAAATGATTCCTATCTGGGATAAAAAAAAAAAAAAATCAGAAAGACAAAAAATAACCAAAAGCAACCATTTAGTGATCATTTACTATACATCAGCCACTATGTTAGGTGTTCTACACAAATTATCCCATTTAATTCTATGAGTTAACATCCCCATTCCTATTTTATGGATATAACAACTGTTATTTCTATTTTACAGACATGGAAACTGAGACTCAGGAACACAGAGTTAACATTTACTTTCACTACAACCAACCCAAGAACTAATATTTTCCATGTTTACAGATGAGGAAACCACGTCTTAAGGGAGGTTTAGACACCCTGTCCACAATCGCATGCTTCATAACTAGAAGCGCAGGGTCTGAAGTGACTTCATCTGACACCAAAGTTTAGACTTTGAAATCCGACAATAAAATGGCATTAAAAACCTTTTACATTACTTCATCCCTACTAGGATGGCTAGTATCAAAAGAGAGATAATAACAGTTACTGACAAGGATGTGGAAAAATTGGAACCCTCCTCATACACAGCTGGTGGGAATGTAAAATGTTACGGCAGCTTTTTAGCTGGAAAATAGTCCGGTAGTATTACCATATGGCCCAGCACTTCCACTCCTAGGTGTATAGCCAAGATAAATGAAAACCTATGTCCACACAAAAACATGTGCATGAATGTTCACAGCAGCATTATCCAGAATAGCCAAAAAGTAGAAATAACCCAAATGTCCATCAACTGATAAATGGATAAATAAAATACAGTGTGCCTGTAGAATGGAATATTACCCAGCAACAGAAAGAAATGAAGTACCGATACATGCCATGACATGGATGAACCTTAAAAATATTATGCTAAGTTAAAGAAGCCAGACCACATATTGTATGATTCCATTTATGTAAAATGACCAGAATCAGCAAACACAGAGACAGAAAGTAGATTCTTGTTGCCTATGGTTGAGGGAGTTGAGAGGAAACGGGGTGATGAAAATGTTCTAAAATTGACTGTGGTGATGGTTGCAAAACAGCGAATATACTAACAACCACTGAACTGTATCCCATGTGAATTATATCTCATAAAACTGCGGTGCATTTTTTTAAGTTTTTTACAACTTAAACCCTTTACCTAATTTTTACTAGTCTTCATTTCACAATGGAAAAAATGCTTTGTTTAAATTTAAAATCAGGAATCCAAGCACTTTCATGCTCATATCCAAAAAATGTTAACTTTCTAGAAACTTTTAAATAAATTAAACTCTTTTAACTGATAGCTTTGCAGAATTACACGGTTCTTCACTGAAATTTCAAAATACCTTATAATGTGCTGGTGAATGTGCTGGTCGGAGTGTTAGCTCCATTTTCTTTCTTTCCATTCTAGCTATGCAGTTCTACAGAGTCATTACTGTGTACTGTAGTCAGGAAATACAAATGAAGTAATGTCTTTGCTGTGGACAGCTTCAACTCTAAAGAGCTCGAACATATTAAAAAATCAGACATGCATGAAATGCTAAACTGATAAATGGCCATCACAAATCTGCACACATCAAATTTTCAATATGCTAAAGATCTATAACCTGAAGAATTATTTGAAGTTTGGAGAGGCTTCTCTTTACATGTGTGCCATAAGGTCTTGTTTTTCAAAGTCTGGTCCATGGACCAGCAGCATCAGCATCTTCTGGGAGCTTGTTAGAAATGCATATTCTGCCAGGTGCATTGGCTCAAGCTTATAATCCCAGCACTTTGGGAGGCTGAGGTGGGTGTATTACTTGAGCTCAGGAGTTTGAGACCAGCCTGGGGAACATGGGGAAACTCCATCTCTACAACAAAATACAAAAATTAGCCAGCATGGTGGCATTTGCCTGTAGTCCCAGCTACTTGGGAGGCTGAGGCAGGAAAATCACTTAAGCCCAGGAGGCAAAGGTTGCCGTAGCTGAGATCGCACCACTGCACTCCAGCCTGGGTGACAAAGTGAGACCTTGTCTCAAAAAAAAAAAAAAAAAAGAAAGAAAGAAAGAAAAAGAAATGCACATTCTAAGGCCCCACCCACCCTAGACCTACTCAACCATAATCATCATTTTAACAGGATCCCTAGGAGATGTGTCTGCACATTAAAATTTGAGGAGCACTGCCCTAAGACATTCTCTTTTGTTTTTCTCTTCATTAAGACAGCTCTGACTTGCACTAGACTAATATTTTAAAAGCCTGACATACATACAGTTCTGGTCCTGGGCCAGCTTGTCCTCAGATCCATTCTTTGTCCTTCTGCTCCAGTCCAAGTTGTGGAGGAGGTGACCCCAGCAAGGCCAGGGTTCCCAGGCAGGAGGGGAACAGTACATCCGCAGCAGCAGCTGTGCCCTTGCAAGGCTCCAGCCACTGCCAGATGGACCCCTTGTGACCCCAGTTTTTGGTGGGTGACAGCTGTCCCTGGAGTCTGAAATGCCATCTCCTTCCTTCACCCTCCAACTTAGGGGTGGCAGCAGTTTCCTGCTTGTTGCCTCATCTCCGGCTTGCCTCATTGCAGCCTGCATTCTCAGTTCTCACATCACCTGTGTGACCACTCCCCTAGATTACATTCCTTCTGTTCCAAATACTTAAGGTGAGTTCTGTTTTTCTTTTTAGACTCAGACTGCTACCCCATACCATTTTTGATGTTTCTATTATGTACCATAGATACCAGAGGAATTTTGTGAATGGCTTATCTGCTGGAAAAAAAAAAAATGGAGCTATTACATACAGTCAACCTCGCATTCCCACATTCTGACAATCTCTTAACAACTCAGAAGAAAAATCAGCCTTAAGCTATCTGTACAGCAGATGTGACTGTATTCAGAAACTCTAAGTCCTCGGGGTGTATTTTTAACAGTCTACCCATCACTCCTCCTCAACCAGAACAGCTGGTATAGCAGCTATTGTTTTAGGAGAAAAAAGAAGGAAAGCAAAAACACCTCCTAACCAACAAAATTCTAAACACTGGAATCTCCCAGGAATCAAATCTCTCTCAACACAATCTTGATCTTAATCAACCTTGTAAATCACATGATCTACCCCACACTGGTCAGTACCTTGCCTGGGCAACAGGAGAAAGCAACTCCTATCAGTATCATTTAGGGCTATGTGGAGATCTTCCCAAAAGCACATCTGATCCATCACCCCCATACTTTGAACAATCCTCTGTGGCCACCTCTTGCCCAAGGCCAAAAAGCAAACCCCTCAAAGGACCACCCCTTCGAAATTCAGCCCTAACCAACCCTTCCAACTAATAAGTCTAATCAACGTGATCCACCTCTGGCCCAACTTCTGATCATTTCGCAGTTGTGCCTAAAGCTCTAGACGCAAGGTTCAAATATGTAGAAGGCCATTTCTTACCCACTTAGCCTGGTGAATTCTTTATCCCTCAAGATCTCACCTTAAAGGAAACCACTCCTGCCTCCCCAGGGCAGGTCTCTGCCCCGAGTTTCCGCGGCACTTACAATGTTGTCATGTCAGGTGCACAGGCGTCCATCTCCCAACTAGACTGAGAATCCCTAGGTGTAGAAACTGCCTTCCATCTTACGGTCCTGACCATGGTTCCAACACACATCCACATTTACGACCTGTGACACCCTGGGCAAGTCATTTAACCTTGATTCTATTTCTATTCCAATTCCAAAAGACGGAGATGATAGCATCCAACTTATTGGGTTCTCACCAGTACTAATAAACTAACCATGTCAAGTGCTGTAAAGCTAACCCAAGAAAGTGCCTGGCACATAGAAGGCTTATTAAAGAATTGTTATTTGCTATTGCTATCATTATCATCACTACTGCTACTGTTATACCCGGAACAAAGCAGGTGTTCGGTACCTATTTGCTGAATAACTGGAGCACTTCACAACAAACCTGTTTGTAACATGTTAGGACCTCAGGTTCCCCCATCGCAGGTATCAAAGGCTGACAGAAGAGAAGGCTCCCACGGTGAAGGGAACGGCTGAACCTAATCCGCCCCGGAGGAAAAGCGCACTGCAGCAGGAGGAGAAAGTCCGTGCCAACCGGATCTGCCAGAGCTGCCCCAGGGACCCAGCCTGCTCGCAGCCACCTGTCCAGCCACCTGCCTGAGGAAGCAGTGTTCTAACCGGGCGGGCTCACCTGGAGCAAAAACCGTAAGCTGTTTTCAATAGGAAGCACAATGGGAAAACAAACGGTGCAACTTTCCTCCTGCAAAAAGGACGTGCGTCTTTATCTAACATTTAGCGTCAGGAGTTCTCCGTGGAGAGTTGGGTGCCAAGCGGGTGCGCGGTCCCGGCTTTGCTGAGAGAGACGGTCACTGAACGCGCATCCCTTCCTTCCCTTTTGGGATGAAGGGGTGAAGGGGTGATCCCTCGCACCCGGGTCCGAGCGGACTTCTGAGGGCACCACAGGGAAGTCTGCAGGGCACTCGCGGGACACCACCCGACCGCTCCTGAGAAACGTGCAGAACCGGGGTTTGGGGACCGCGGACGCCCGCGGGGCGCAGCCGGGAGCCCCCGCGTGGGACCCGCTCGGTGGCACGAGCGCAGTCCCCTGCATCTAGGCCTCAGTTTCCTCCGGGTCCTCGCGGCCCAACTCGGCGCGCGCCCCCCGCCCAGCGCGCGGCGCCCGGGGCGCCCACCTGCGCGCCCCCCGCCCGGCCCCACAGCCGCCCGCCGTCCGTCGGGGGCCGCGCGCTCCGCCCGGGGCGCCGGCCCGTTACAGCGGCGGGGCACGCTCGACAGGGGCGGTGACGCCCGCGGGACCCCGGGCCGGGCCGAGCCGGGCCTGGGCGGCCGCTCGGGCAGGGCCACGGGCCTCGGCCGGGGCTGCCGCGGCGTGAGGGGCGCGCGCCCGGGCCGCCGCGCCGCGGGCTCACCTTCTGTCGGATCTGACCCGACGTGGACACCTTGCGGATGAGCTTCTGTGGGGAGCCGGGCTCCGCCTCGGGCTCGCTGTCGGACGACTCCTCGGGCGGCGGCGGCGGAGGCGGTTGCGGGGGACCCGGCGGAGGGGCGCCCGCCGCCGCCGCCATGCTGCCGGGCCAGCGCGCGCACCGCGGGCGGGGGCGGGGCGGGGCCGGCGGGAGGGGCGGGGCCGAGGGCGGGCCGGGCCGGGGGCGGTGGGGGCGGCCTCCCGCCTCTCCCCGCCGCGCCCCCTGCCGGCCATGCGCGCAGCTGCAGACGGCGCCGCGCGGCCCCTCCCCGCCCCCACCTGAAGCGTCCCGGGCCCCCCGCCCACCTCTCCGGGCCGTGGCTTCTGTGTGTTATTTCTGGAACGCCGTTTGTGTTCTTGTTTCTATATTCACTTCTTAAAACATCTCTACTCTTCCGCATCAGAATGTAGGTAACCTCAGGCAGGCTGGGGCTGTGTCTGTCCTGCCCAGCCTTGTGTGGCCGAGTTTGGGGCGAGCTCGAATGCGCGCGCGCGTGCTGGAAAGAGACCCCGGTACTGGGACGGGCCTCGGGACGCCAGAGCTGGGATGCACCGCTCCATCTGGGAAGGCTTCCTGGAGAAAACGGTTCTTAAGGAGAGATGGAAAATGTGAGCAGGAGTTGTGACTAGAGAGGGAACCATGTTCTAGGCAGAGACCAGATTTGTGCAAAGGCCTGGAGGCAAGAAAGAACGAGTGTTGGGCGAAGACGGGGGAAGAAAGGGAAGCTGGTGCTTAGAGCAAGGAAAATGGCATTAAGATATGAGCCTCGGGGCGGGCAGGTCGAAGCGGGCTTTGGAAACCAGATAAGGGGATGGAAGGCAGCAGGAAGCCCTTGAGGGATTTAACCCTGGGCGGGGCTGGGTCACCACGCTGGGGCCTGTGATCCGGGCTTTGAAGTTATCAGGGCAGGTGGACGCCCTGGATTACCGAGGGGCTGAGAGATAGAGACGTGGACTGAGATCCAGGTGGGGAGTGACCAGCGACTGGAGGGAGACAGAGGTGACCAGAACGAGTCCCATGTTTCCCAGGGGGGCTGCTGGATGGTGGGCGGGTGGGGTCCAGCGCTGCTCTGGGCAGAAGAGGAGGAAGCGAAGCTGGAGATGAGATCAGCTAAGTTTTTGGTGCCATCCAGGTGGAGCAGGGCTTGGTGCCACCCAGAGGAAATGCTGTCCATCTGTCTGCCCTGCTCTGAGGGGCAAATCAGTAAGGGACTGCCCAGGTGTGCCCTCTCCCTGTCAAAGGGCTGCCGCTAGAGACCTCGCCTGCCAATAGGCATTCGCTGGCCGCGCCGCCCTGGGCAGTGACCTGGGGCTGCAGAGTGGCATCTGGCATGGGGACACGGCCAGGGGCATGGGCTCACGGCCAGGACAGAGGAGGACAAGGCCTAAGGCAGGAACAGTCCGGGACAGGCCGAAGGCCCCATGGTGCCCCAGGGTACTATAGCCACTAGCCACATGTGGCTACTTAAATTTCAATTAGTTAGAATTCAGCATTCCGTTCCTCAGCCACAGGAGCCACATTTCAGGGACTCAGTAGCCGCATGTGGCTTAGCAGCTGCCACGCTGGATAGCACAAATATAAAACACTTCCCCCGTCCCCCCAGAAAGTTCTGCAGCACAGTCGCATGCTGAACTGTGTCCTCCCGTAATTCATATGTTGAAGTCCTAACCCCCAGTACCTCAGCATGTGACTGCATTTGGAGTTAAGGTTTTTAAAAAGGTAATGAAGTTAAAATGAGGTCACAGGGGTGATCCCTAATCCGGTATGACTGGCGTCCTCATAAAAAGAGGAGATGAGGACACAGACACACACAGAGGGCAGCCCATGTGAAGACACAGGGAGAAGATGGCATCTACAAGCCAAGGAGAAAGGCCTCCGATGGAACTCCCCCTGCCGACACCGTGATCTCGCACTTCCAGCCACCAGAACCGAGAGCGTCAATTCCTGTGGTGGAAGCCGCCCGGCCTATGGTGCAGTGCTCTGGCAGCCCTAGGGAACTCATGCAGGCACAAAGGGCTCCAGCCTCCCCACAGGGTTGGGACTTTTCTATCAATTAACTACATGTGGAGTGATACACAGAGGCAAAACCCTGGAGGAGTGTGCAAGGCGGAGGAGGGGCGGGGACGCACAGGGGAAGAAACAGTTCATTCCTTCATTCCGCGGGGGAGCCGGGTGACCTGAGCAGGGTTTGGGATTGGAATGGAGAGGTCAGATATGAAGGGAGTTTCCCAGGAAAACGCAAAAACGGGGAGACTACCCCTACCAGGTGAGCAGAGCGGGTGACGAGGGATTTTGGTGAAGCCGGTAGCAAGGCGGGTGCGGGAGGCAGGGAGGTGAGCAGCGGCGCCAGGATGCAGAGTAGCCTCCCGGCCCTGCTCTGAGGCAAGGACTTCAGTCCCGTGGGCACTGGAGCTGGCAAGGGGGTTTGGGAAAGCAGAGGAACTCATGTGTCTGGGCAGAGAATGATCCATAGGAGAGAAGACTAGAAATAGGGAGGCCATTAAAATGCTGTTGCCGGCCGGGCGCGGTGGCTCACGCCTGTAATCCCAGCACTTTGGGAGGCTGAGGCAGGCGGATCACGAGGTCAGGAGATCGAGACCATCCTGGCTAACACGGTGAAACCACGTCTCTACTAAAAATACAAAAAATTAGCCTGGCGTGGTGGCGGGCGCTTGTAGTTCCAGCTACTCGGGAGGCTGAGGCAGGAGAATCACTTGAACCCCGGAGACAGAGGTTGCAGTGAGCCGAGATTGTGTCACTGCACTCCAGCCTGGGCAACAGAGCGAGACTCCGTCTCAAAAATAATAATAATAATAATAATAATAATAAATGCTGTTGCCTACACCTGTTAGGAGCTCAGGGGACATCCAGGCCCCAGAACTCATCATTTTAGAGTCAAGGAGGCAAGGGCATGAACGTGACGGTTAAGAAGCAGAAACCGTGGCTGGAGAGGAGGAAATCTGCAATTACCAGAAAGTACTGAGATTGTCACAGACAAGAGGAGCCAAGGAGACATGATGACTAAACGTCACGTGGGTTCCTAGATGGGATCCCAGAACAGAAAAAGGACATTAGGTAAAAGCTGAGGACATCAGAATTAAGTATGGGGCTTTAGTTTAATAATAATGCATCAATATTGATTCCCGGGTAGGAGGAGGGTGAGGATTGAAGAACTACCTATCGGGGATTATTGTGCTGATTACTTGGGTGACAAAAGTATCTATCTGTACACCAAACCGCCATGACATGCAATTTACCCATGTAAAAAACCTGCACATGTACCCCCTGGACCTAAAATAAAAGTTGGAAAGAAATAAGTATATTTTACTGGAAACAACATTTGAGTCACTCAGTGTGGCAAATGTACCCTACTCATGTAAGGGTTAATAATAGGGGGTTTTGGGTGTGGGGGACCTCAGTATAACATCTTTGCAACTTTTCTGTAGATCTAAAACTACTCAAAATAAAAAGTGTATTTTAAAAAAAGAGGATTAGGCTTGGTAAGAATTATATTCTTAAAGCAAAGAAAACTGGCATAAATGTTCTTTGATGATGAAGCAGCTTTTTTGTTCTCCTGGTGAGCGCACAGCGCTGTTCCCCTGGAGATCTCAGGAAGGGCTGAGACATCAACTCCCCCAAAGCGGTGGCCTGGAAGAGCACATTCCCTCCGGTGCCTCTTTATTGAATGAGTCACACTATGAATCATCTCTAACGACAGCCTGCTCCCTGAGTCTACCCCACCTTGAGGGCATATCAAGATGGCAGTAATAACACACTTCACGTCCAACCTAATTCTTCTTTGTGACACGTCAGTGAAGAGGCGCAACTCCTGTCAGAAAGAACCACTTCACATTGGAGAATATAAAAGGGAAACTTGAAAACATGGGAATCATCCAATTTTTACCCTGAACTAGGGTCATGATTGTCATTTGGAGCAGCACATTTCTCCACTGCATGTGACATAGAGCTTCTGGTCCCCAAGCATGTGAAAACCAAAAACCACCATACACATTTCCAAATGTCCCCAACTCCCACCCCGCACCTGCCCTACTCCTCAAAGATCAGTAAATGCGACTCAGTCCTGTGAAATGAAACTGGAAGGAAGAAAGGTTTTTTAAATGTTAAAGGAGTAGGAAAACAGACACCCTAAAAAGGAATTAACCACACATGTGACAAAATTGCAGAGAACTGAATACACACACTAGTACAAATCCAGTTGTGGAGATCTCAGTCAGATGAGCAGACTGGACCCACGTCGATACCCCGCTGGGATATTGTACTGTAGCTTTACATGATGTTGCCACTGGAGGAAGTTGGGTAAAGCGTTCCTGGGGTCTCTCCGTATTACCCCTTACAACTGCATGTGAATGTGCAAGTCTCTCAATGAAAATTTCTTTTTTTTTTTCTTTTTGAGATGGAGTCTCGCTCTGTTGCCCAGGCTGGAATGCAATGGCACAGTCTGGGCTCACTACAACCTCCACCTCTTGGGTTCCAGCGATTCTCCTGCCTCAGCCTCCTGAGTAGCTGCGATTACAGGCACCTGTCACTATGCCCAGCTAATTTTTTGTATTTTTAGTAGAAACGGGGTTTCTCCATGTTGGCCAGGCTGGTCTTGAACTCCTGACCTCATGATCCGCCCGCCTCGGCCTCCCAAAGTCCTGGGATTACAGGCATGAGCCACCTCGCCCAGCCTGAAAATTTCAATGGAAAAAAAAAATAGCAAGGGCCAAGGGCAGTTGTTGTTGAATCCTAAATGCTAATCTCCCTCCCCCCACTCCACCAAACTCTCCTACTTCCATTCAGCACCATACAGTGGGCAAAGGTCTAGTTATAGACTCAGGGACACCAGCATTCAAGCCTTGACTCTCACTAGCTGTGTGACCTATGTGTAAGGTACATAACCTTTCTGAACCGCAATTTCCTCATCTAAGAAATATGAATGATGCTACTGATTTATAAGTACTACTGAAATGGTTACATGTCAGATGTGAAGTACTTGGCACAAGGTAGGCACTCCATCAATAGCAGGGATCCATCCCCCTTCTCCAGCCCTTCATTGCTGGTTGCAGAACTTTCTCCATGCAGCACCTTCAACTGCTCTGTACCCCGTTTCTTGCACTGCATCTGTCCCAAAAACTCTGGGCCACACATTCAACCTGCACGTAGACTTCCTGCCTCCTGATACCAAGGGACACTACATGCCAGTAGACAGCCCCACACATGTGCAGGCTGAGCTGAGCCAAGCTTCCACTTTCTGCTCAGGGCAGCTGGCTGCTCGCTTCCTCCCCCAACTCCCTCCCCAGCGTGGCCAGCTGCAGGCCATAAACAAGCCAGCACCTGGAGGGCGTATCGAGACATTTTGGCACCAAAATAACTAGGAGGGTAAGGGCTGTGCTGACCTCTGCTCTCCAGGGATTGGTCTTCCAGCCCTTCCCTCCAGCTCTCTCACCCACGTAGTTCCAAAGGTCGGGCTTATTAACGTCCACCCTGACTTAGGATGTCCTGGGGTCAAGCAATGCAGGAACCAACGGGCTGGTCCTCTCACCAGGCACCACAGGGCAGAATCCCAGGCCCTGGGCTAGCCCAAGAGCTCTAGCAGGAGCTAAACACAGCAGCCTGTGTGCTGTGGCAGAGGACAGGGGAAGGGCTCAGTGCAATGGGGAACAGCTTTGGGAATCCTCAGAGGAGTGTGCCACCCTGGCCATCCCTTGTCTGCGTGCCCTGAGGGGAGCATGGGTTGAAATGGTCGTGCACCATTACCTTAGCATAGAGAGAAAAAGAACGAGGGACTGTGTCTGATCCTGCTAACTCGCAGCCTGAAGGACCAATCTTCCACCTGTAGTCTAGTGTATTATAAATCCTCCTCCCAATGCCAGGATGCGTGAGCCAGCACACGGGTCCACACCTCGCTTTGTCTGGGATCCCATCCAAGCTTCCCAAGTGGAGCCTCCTCATCTAAATCCCAATCTCCAGGACCCGAACAGCTGGAATCCTTCTGAACAACCCCAGATGCTGGGAACCTTCATGTGTATGGAACCCATACCCTGGCCAGCCCTCTGTCGCCATGTTCCATCCCAGAAGCCTGATCCACGTGTACTCCCCATCTAGAACCCCTCCCACTCACCCTCTGCCTTCTGTGAGTGGGTTGAACTGTGGAGGAATCTCCAACCCCCCTTTACCCTGCTCCCTTAAAGCATGGACCAGAGATGGACCAGAGCCTATGCATCTCCATCCTCTCCTTGGCCGCCATGAGCCTGTTCAGTATCTGTGCCATCAGCAGCAGGCCCGGTGGGTACCTCAGGGCAGGAAGGGACCCCACAAAGGAAAGGCCCTGGTATCACCTCTATTATCCCTCCTCCACCTGCAGTTCACCTTCCTCCCTGACACTCAGAGTGCTCTCCCCTATGCCTCTCACGCCCAGTCTCAGTGAAGCACGCTCTAAGTAAGCCCATGTGACTCACAATCAACCCCCTTTTCTGGGACTCTCCATCTCCAGGGCTGGGCTCTGCCATCGCTGACCACGGGGTGTTGATCCTCCCAGCCAAAGCTGAGCCAGTTGGATTCTCCTTCCCAATAACTGCCCACTGGGACCAAGAGACGCAGAGCTGGGAACGTATGGTGCTGAGCTGCATGAAGAGCCGCCCTGGAGAGTGGGTCCCTGACCCCTGAAGCTTCTCTGATTCCTGCTTACCCCAGGTGTGGCAGCTCAGGTTTGTCCTTCAGTTCTCTGATCACACCGGGGTCCTCCCACTACATTCCTTCTCCCCACCTTAATTTAACCAAATCTGATTTTGCTTCTTGCATTGAATAGAACTTTACCAACAACCCAAAGCTCAAACAGACACCTGGACCCAAAAGTTGAATCATTAACCAAGAGTATTTTTGTCCACAGATGTTCTCTGCCCTATTTAACTTAGGAGGCTCTTTAGGGGCCTGGAAGTTGGGACTGGTCAGGTAATTAGAAACATACACTGGTGGCCAGGCGCAGTGGCTCACGCCTGTAATCCCAGCACTTTGGGAGGCTAAGGTGGGTGGATCACCTGAGGTCAGCAGTTTGAGACCAGCCTGGCTAACATGGTGAAACCCTGTCTCTAATAAAAATACAAAAAATTAGGCGGGCATGGTGGCACACGCCTGTAATCCCAGCTACTCAGGAGGCCGAGGCAGGAGAATGGCGTGAACCCGGGAGGCGGAGCTTGCAGTGAGCTGAGATCACGCCACAGCACTCCAGCCTGGGCAACAAGAGCGAAACGAAGGAAGGAAGGGAGGGAGGGAGGAATAAAGGAAGGAAGGAAGGAAGGACAGACGGACAGACGGGAAGGCACTGTTTCCAGAGAAACAGCTCAGACTGGGACTCCTAGGAAAGCCCCTGGACACACCGAGGGCCCCACCTGGTGAGCACATTGATTTCCAGACGCCTTCTCTCCCTCATGGGAGTGGTGAGCCCTTCCGTGGGAGGCTGGCCTCCCTCTCCCCAACCCTCCCACTCCAGGGACCCTAATGGTGGCAGCTTGTGTCATGTCATCAACTCAGCCTCCCCAACAAATCAACCAACTCATGACCCAGGGGAGAACAAACAAGCTTTATTTCTCGGAAGAAGACTCATCCTTTCATACGCAGCATAACTCCAAAGGACTAAACTGTGGGGCTTTGCTCGTTGCACTGGTAACTACAGGTCATTTTCCGGCATCCTGAGCCGACATCTTCACTCATCAACGTCATTCTTGTCTCTCTTCCCCTCCTCAGCTTCTCCTGCATCTTTCAGATTATGGCGAGCAAACTCCTCAAAAACTAAATTTGCATCCTGATAACTAAAATAAAACAAACAACATTTTGATCATTGCACGCCCTTTGAAGCTGAAACTGAAACAAGATCCTTGATCTTTTTGCAACGAAGGAACTGATCAAGGTTTTCCCCATGATAGAACATGGGGGCACGCCATTTTCCTCAAGGCTTCGTTTAAAATTCCTTTAACTAGCACCAATGGGAGAAAACAAAGGCACGCGCAGAGTGAGCAAGCACACCCAGTGTAATGGTGCGTGCGTGCCGTAAGCACTAGGGAGCAGACGGGAAGTAGCGGATGTGCCTCCTGAGCCGGCAGGAGAGCTTGGGATATGTGCAAAGACTCAAAGAGGGTTTTGTGCTGGAGGAGAAGGTCCCAGAGCATAGGACAAATCAGGGCCACATTCAAGAGGCTCACTCACCTTTCCTTAGCTGTAAGCATGGAATAAAAGGGAGGCAGGGAAGAGGGAGAGAGAGACATTTGTTAGTCTAAATTCTATATCATAGCTGTACCTAGAAAATGTCTACCTTTTAGGTGACTTTACAATTTGAGAGATAAGGCCTAGATACATGCAGTTCATGATCACTGCGTGTAATTCCTGCCTCCCTGCCTTTCCCACTGGAACAGCTTTTCTCCTTGCATTTTATTTATTTTATATTTTATTTTATTATTTTATTTTATTTGAGACTGTCTCTCTCTGTCACCCAGGCTGGAATGCAGTGCCACAATCTCTGCTCACTGCAACCTTTGCCTCCTGGTTTCAAGAGTTTCTCGTGTCTCAGGCTCCCAAGTAGCTGGGATTACAGGCATGCGCCATTATGCCTGGCTAATTTTTGTATCTGTAGTAGAGAAGGGGTTTCAACTATGTTGGCCAGGCTGGTCTCAAACTCCTGACCTCAAGTGATCTGCCAGCCTCAGCCTCCCAAGTGCTGGGATTACAGGCGTGAGCCACTGCGCCCGGCCTCTCCTTGCATTTTAAATCACTGCTTCCTTTACAATGTGCCACAGCCTTCACCTCCTCACATGAAACCCCCCCAGTCTCAACTCTAGGATGCTTTCCCTGATCAGCCTTGCCCCCTCTGATGTCGCTTCTCCTTTCTTATTTATTTATTTGAGATGGCATCTTGCTCTGTTGCCCAGGCTGGAGTGAAGTGGCACAATCTCGGCTCACTGCAACCTCCGTCTCCCAGGTTCAAGTGATTCTCCTGGCTTAACCTCCCAAGTAGCTGGGATTACAGGCACCCACCACCATGCCTGGCTAATTTTTGTATTTTTAGTAGAGACGGGGTGTCACCGTGTTGGCCAGGCTGGTCTCGAACTCCTGACCTCAAGTGTTCCGCCCGCCTTGGCCTCCCTGCCCAGCCAGTTGCTTCGCCTTTCAAAGTATTTCTCCTTCCATGTCCTCGGGACCCCATTGAGGTCAGGGTCGCCAGGGTGCCGTGAGCATGTGCACCCTGGCACCTCCATCTGTCAGGCTTCAGAGGCCTGAGACCTGGGACTTGACGTTCACCAGCACCCCAGGGTTAGAGTGTGCATTAAAGCTTGAGGACCAACCCCCAGCCGCAAAGTTTTCAATTTCTGTTAACATATTGATTTTGTTGTTGTTGAGTTATGTTTTCACATGTGTTGTATCCCCAGACTAACTGCTATTAATTTGAATGGTTTTTGTACTTTTTTAGCTTTCTGCCCACCTAGTTTTGGGGAGCACAGCGGCGATTTGATGGTGAGCCCCTACTCTCGCCTCTGGTGCCCACCTGGAAGCCAGCACTGGGAGGGAGTGTCTATGAGGGTCGCTACGTACAGGGGCCCTAGAGAGGCTAGCTTGTCAAAACATCCCCTGAGCAAGAAATACCCTGCGGCCCACAGTGCTCAGCGAAGAAATTACACTAAGCGGGACCATCAGCCTTGCAGAGGTAGACAACAAGGAAGAATCAAATCAGCATCTTCGGATTCAGTAAAGATGCCCTTGACAGGGGACAATAAAAACTTGGTAGCATGTCACAGCACTTATTACACACAAATTACTTGGTCCCCAGGCTCCAGCAGGGCTTAACTACATATAGCTTATGCTTTCTCTGCTTAGAATCCTACCAGCCTAGACTCAGGGAGCCGAGAACTAGGCAGAGAAGACAGGAGAGATGACATTTATCTCTAGAAATCTCATCTATCTCATATCTATCTCATATCTCTAGAAATCAGAATTTTGTAACCATGGGGTGATTTGTCTTAACCTTTGCTCCCAGAAATCTCACAGTACAAAAGATCATTGTTTCATCCTGACATTGTGATATGTTCACTGTTAAGGCCATAATGACTGGAACGTGAAAGTTGTATATGGAAAAGAATTTAAAAAAATTAAGTCAGGCCGGGCACGGTGGCTCACGCCTGTAATCCCAGCACTTTGGAGGGCTGAGGCGGGCAGATCACCTGAGGCCAGGAGTTTGAGACCAGCCTGGCCAACATGGTGAAAACCCATCTCTACTAAAAATACAAAAATTAGCCAGGCGTGCTGGCGCGTGCCAGTAATCCCAGCTACTTGGGAGGTTGAGACAGGAGAATCACTTGAACTCGGGAGGCGGAGGTTGCAGTGAACCGAGATCATGCCACTGCACTCCAGCCTGGGTGACAGAATAAGACTATGTCTCAAAAAAAAAAAATTAAGGCATAAAGTCTACTCAAAGTTCCAGAAAACAACCCAACATAAACTATGACATCTCCTCAAGTGACTATCTTTTTAATGTCCTTGAAAGGAACCAGAAAGCATCTTAATCCCACACCATGAAAAAGTAACATTTTAATGACACAAGCATAAATGAACTGAAAACATATAGCTGGACTACATTTTTCTCCAAGGGACAGTTTTGGAAAAGTTCATTGAGGATCTGAATCCAAAGTATTTGGAAGAGCTATTTTGAAACAAAGTACTGTTGAGACAAAACCTAAAATGAATAGTGGGGGCTCATTCTAATGTTTAAACGGCATTTCACTACCAATATAGAAAAGCTATTTGTAAAGTATGAGAAAAATAAACCCTGCTTGTTTATACCACTTTTACTTAAAATATCCCTTATTCCTATACCTACGGAGAGTTCTCATTTAGACAGATCTGTTTTTCTTTCCCGTCAACTAAGCTGCCTCGATGCAGAGAATGTTTCTTCAGAATTTCTGAGATTTCACCTATATTATTTTTGCTGCTTCATTTACCTTTTTAGAAAGAGAATGATTGAGATCAAATTCATATATCATACAATTTACCTTTTCACAGTCGACAGTCTAGTGGTTTTTATATGTTTTCAGAGTCATACAACTATTGCATCATTTCGCATCCATACAAGAGCCAGTAGATTTATAATTCAAATGAGCTGAGGTGTCAGGAACCCAGCCTGACCCTCTTTTCTAGTATTTTCTGTATTCTTACCATAACTGCCACTGTCAAAAATAGTTATCTTCAGGCCGGGCGCCGTGACTCACGCCTGTAATCCCAGCACTTTGGGACGCTGAGGCGGGTGGATCACCTGAGGTCAGGAGTTCAAAACTAGCCTGGCCGACATGGCGAAACCCCGTCTCTACTACAAATACAAAAATTAGCCAGGTGGGGTGGCAGGCGCCTGTAATCCCAGCTATTCAGGAGGCTGAGGCACGAGAATCACTTGAACCCGGGAGGCAGAGGTTGCAGTGAGCCGAGGTTGTGCCACTGCACTCCAGCTGGGTGACAGAGACTCCATCTCAGAAAAAAAAAAAAAAAAAAAAAACCCCAAAAAAAAACAGTTATCTTCAGCCAGGTGCAGTGGCTCATGCCTGTAACCCCAGCACTTTGGGAGGATGAGGCAGAAAGATCACTTGAGCTCAGGAGTTCAAGACTAGCCTGAGCAACATGGCAAGACCTCATCTCTACTAAAAATCAAAAACATTAGCTAAGGGTGGTGGTATGCCTGTAGTTCCAGCTACTTCAGAAGCTGAGGTAGGAGGGTGGGTTGAGCCCAGGAGGTTGAGGCTGTAGTAAGCTTGATCACACCACTGCACTCCAGACTGGGTGACAGAGTGAGACTCCGTCTCAAAAAAAAAAAAAAATTATCTTCTTTTAAATGTCTGTTAATGCTTTCAAATGAAACATGAGGCCTTTTGTTTCCAAATGAAATGCAAAATCCTCGTGCTCTAAAATTAAGTTTTTACCTAAATCATCTTTAATTCTAAATCCAGGTCTGTTGACAGCAGAGCTTCTGCTCTTAAATCATTCATGATAAAACCTCACGAGATTGTCCCTGTCCAAGAGCAAGGATGCTACATCTTGCAGACTCCAGCTGAAGGTGGATAATCTACCCGGCTCAGCGCTGAACAGATGGGCCCTCCCTTCCCCCCAGACTATTCACCTTGTAGATCACATGGAATCTCTTACACCTGGCCACTCCCATGCTCTGAGATGCGGTCAAGAAAGACTAGAAATACATCAACAATAAATCTGCAAGTAGCAAATAATTAAAGAAAGCTAAAAAAGGACATAACTGACCTGGGTCCTCAGGCTGAGGGTGCATGAGGCGGAATGGGACCTCAGTGGCGACTTCACTAGAAAAAAAGAATGAAGATTGGTGTGAACACCCATACACACAATTGTAAGTAACACAGCAAAGACCTATGGCTGCGGAGAGTCACAAAAGATCCCCAGGCCCAAGCTGAAAGACAATGCAGTGGGAACTTTTTTTTTTTTTTTTTGAGATGGAGTCTCGCTCTGTCGCCCAGGCTGGAGTGCAGTGGCGCAATCTCGGCTCACTGCAACCTCCACCTCCTGGGTTCATGCAATTCTCCTATCTCAGCCTCCCGAGTAGCTGGGACTACAAATGCATGCCACCATGGCCTGGCTAATTTTTGTATTTTTAAAAAGTAGAGATGGGGTTTCACCATGTTGCCCAGGCTGGTCTTGAACTCCTGATCTCAAGTGATCCACCTGCCTCAGCCTCTCAAAGTGCTAGGATTATAGGCATGAGCCACCCTGCCCAGCTTCATCATTTTAAAGTGCACAATTCGGTGGCATTAAATACATTTACGCTGTTATGCAACCATCACCACTATCTAGTTCTAGAACATCTTTATTACCCAAAAAGAAAATCTCATCCCCCTTAACCAGTCACTCTCATTTTCCCTCCCTATAGTCCCTGGCATAACCACTAATCTGTTCTCTATCTCTATAGATTTGCCTGTTCTGGATATTGTGTGTAAATGGATTCATACAATATGTGGCCTTTTGTTATTGGTTTCTTTCACTTAGCGTAGTGTTATTAGTATAAGGTTTATCCATGTTGTAGCATGTACTAGTACTCCATTCCTTTTTATGGCTCAGTAATATTCCATTGCATGGATATACCACATTTTGTTTATCCCATTCATCTGTTGGTGGACATTTGGGTTGTTTCTACCTTTTGGTATTGCAAATAGTGACAGCTGCCTTTTAAATTATGCACGAAGCAGCAGCAAGTTAAGAAACATTTGAGACAGGCATTGAGGTTATGTACTGCATCATCTCAGCTCTTAGTCGGGCATAGTGGCGTGCACCTGTAATCCCAGCTACTCAGGATGCTGAGGCAGGAGAATTGCTTGAACCAAGGAGGCAGAGGTTGCACTGAGCCAAGATCATGCCACTGCACTCGAGCCTGGGCAACAGAGCAAGACTCTGTCTCAAAATAAAATAAAATAAAATAAAACAAAACGGTTAAAATGGTAAAATTTGCCAGGTGTGGTGGCTCATATCTATAATCCCAGCACTTTGGGAGGCCAAGGCAGGATCATCACTGGAGGTCAGGAGTTCGAGACCAGCCTGGCCAACATGGGGAAACCCCGTCTCTACTAAAAATACAAAAATTAGCCAGGTGTTGTGGCACACGCTTGTAATCTCAGCTACTCAGGAGGCTGAGGCGGGAGGATTGCCTGAACCCAGGAAGTGGAGGTCACGGTGAGCCGAGATCACGTCACTGCACTCCAGGCTGGGCCACAGAGTGAGACTACATCTCAAAAAATAAAATAAATAATATAATGGTAAAATTTATGTTATGTGTATTTTACCGCACACAAACACACACACACACACACAAGCTGGCTGCATGGAGTGTGCCAGTTTTCTGGGTGTGTATGTGTGTGTCCTTACCCAGGCATAGGTCTAGCTGTGGTCCCAAAGAAATCTGGTCCCAAAGAAACGCCTATGAGCCACGGTTCTGTGATGCATCCGAAGGCAAAGCATCATTCCTAACACCTCTGAGCACAACTGTCCAGAAAGCAGCTTTCATCAGAAACCGTTTTGGAGCCCCAAGTTTGCTGCCTTTGATATCTTGAGAAACAATCAAACAAGGAAGGTGAACAGGCTTACCTGGAGGTGAGCTCTCCCAGAAAGCTAGAAAACACAAACAAACGCCTGTCGTTAACTGTCACAGTGGTAACACGACCCTTTCCCATGATTCAGAGGCAGGACACAGCCCAGCTCTCATGGCCCTTGCACCCGAACTCACAACATCCAGGGTCTTCCCATCCCTTAATGTTCAACTTCATTACCTGTGACTTCATCTCTTTCTCAAGATGATTAGTTTAAAAAGGCCGGGCATGGGGGATCATGCCTGTAATCCCAGCACTTTGGGAGGCCGAGGTGGGCGGATCACTTGAGGTCATGAGTTCCAGACCAGCCTGACCAACGTGGTAAAACCCCATCTCTACTAAAAATACAAAAATTAGCCGGGCATGGTGGCAGGCGCCTGTAATCTTAGCTACTCGGGAGGCTGAGGCAGGGGAATTGCTTGAACCTGGGAGGTGGAGGTTGCAGTGAGCTGAGATCATGCCACTGTACTCCAGCCTGGGTGACAGAATAAGACTCCGTCTCAAAAAAAAAAGTTGGCTGGGCACGGTGGCTCACACCTGTAATCCAGCACTTTGGGAGGCTGAGGTGGGCAGATCACTTGAGGTCAGAAGTTCGAGACCAGCCTGGCTAACATGGTGAAACCCCGTCTCTACTAAAAATACAAAAATTAGCCAGGCATGGTGGTGGGCACCTGTAATCCCAGCTACTCAGAAGCTGAGGCAGGAGAATCACTTGAACCTGGGAGGTGGAGGTTACAGTGAGCCGAGGTCATGCCACTGCACTCCAGAGTGAGAGATTACATCTCAAAAAAAAAAAGTCAAGCCCTAACATTCAAGATAAGTCACAAGAGGTCATTGTGAAATACCTGCTGGTTGCTTTCCTTGACTGCTAAAAGAAACTCCACCCTGTTTTTAGATCCTTTTATGCACTATCCACAGTGAAAAAAAAAAAAAAAAAAACACTATGCTAACGAAAAATGCAAAATAGACCCATGTTCTACTTTGTTAGAAATTTGGGAAACTCTTTTTAAACGCTTATTTTCCTCAAGGGAATTCTTTACTACTTAGAAGTATGAAACCTAGGCACAGACTTGCCTTTGATGGCAGAACTACCCAAGGCTCATCCAGGTAAAAGGCCAGAGCCTTTGGCAATGGAATTTGAAACGAAAATGAGAATTCAAGTTTTTCCCTTTTGGTAAGATTAAACAAATGGAAGAAACTGGCTTCACATGAAAATGAAAGTGGAAACCTGTTCCCTTAAAACTCTGAGATATTGGCACTCTTGTATGAAAAGAAGACTCCTGTGCCCTGTGATTACATGTGTGAGAGGGGAGGGGAAAGTCCCCACTTTATGGATGGATACCTTCTAAGATGCAAAAACATGAAGATTTACTGAGAGTTCTTTCACAGCAGTTATTCTTTTCTGAAGGATAACATTTGACTAATCCTCATTCTTGCACATCAGCTTCTACCACATGCACATATGCACACGTATTTTTGCAAAGTGGCGCTAAGAATGCACACATTTCAGAGTCTGCTTCTCCACCCTTTCCCACCTGACATTTTATCAGACAGAAGCATGGTACTAGACAAACAGAATCTCTCCCAAGCTCTACTTGGTAATCCTTGGTAGAAGCTATGGGCCTTTCCTTGCTTTCTGTCTCCCAGTCATTCAGGAAAGGAAAAGTTCAGACCATCTAAGACCAGGACAGAGCAGCCCGAGGGTTGGTGCCGGGACACTTACCCTGACACTGTGAGCTTCACCTTGATCTGGTAAGACACCAGGATTCCCAGGACGGTCCGGTCTATGCCCTCCTTAATGCTGCCCAAACAGAAGGGAAAAGGAGAATGATGGAGAGCAGAGGAGGGTGAAGAGCAGATGGGCAGCCTTTCCATTCGAGGCAGGCATGCCGTCATGGAGGTTCTCCAGGGACTGGTGAACTCACTGAGCTTCCAAAGTCCTAGAAGTTCATGTACTTGGGGAGTGGGTATGGGGACTCCTTGCACGCACTGGAGGAATTCCTGTGTCTTCTCCTCTAGAAGTTCCCAGAGGGCAGAGCATGCAACCCCCTTCTCTGTGCTTGACCTCTATAGATGCACATCCCCCGGTCATCCTCCTCAGCAACTCCCTCCTACCACTTGCCAAAACTGCAAGTCCCCAAGTCCTCCAGCAGGCTTTGCCTGCCTGGATTATCTCAGTAACTCATCTCCCACGTGCCAGGCCCCTTCTCTGAGCTCTGTGGCCATCTGCAGGTTCAGCCTCAGAAGCAGCCTGTGAGCTGCCCTGGCCTGCCTTTGCTACTTCACCCCCAGCTGTGTCCCAGCGCCCCCCGCGCCAGTCTTGCCAACACAACCCTGCACCAGAATGCCCCCTCCTTCTCTCCTGCCTTCCAAGATATCCAGCTGTGTGTCCCCAGCACCCAGCATCAGACCTGGCACCAAGTGAGAGCTGTCAATGTTTAAGTGAATGAGCAGGATGTGCGAGACCCTCAGATGTGCCCCAAAGACAGTGCAATGTGACGTTCCTTGACAGAAATGTCATTCCAGATCCCACTAATACGTACTGAAGTTCTACTATCTGGCAGGCACTGTGCCGGGCATTTCATCACAGATGCTTATCGCGTGGGATCCAACGCGGAGGACATGAGTACTCCAGGATGTCCAATAACAGGAATTAAGATATGAAAAAAATCATGAAATGCTAACAAAAATCATGTAAATAATGATAGAAAAAAAGCCCAAGAAACCTGAAGGCTACAGGCAGAAGGCAGGGAAGGATGGAACAGCTCTGGAAAAAGAGTTGGGGCGGCGGCCAGCAGGTGCTGGGCCTGGAAGAAGACGTCAGCTCGGGAACCTCTGAGGGGAGGTGTCTCAAGCACGTGTTTCCAGGACCACAGTGCTCCCCAGAGAGCTCCTTCAGCTCACTGGCGTCTGGAGCTCATTTAAAAGAGGACAGAATAGCCAGACGTCGTGGCTCACACCTTTAATCCCAGCACTTTGGGAGACGGAGGCGGGCAGATCGCTTGAGTTCAGGAAATTCAAGACCAGCCTGGACAACATGGCGAAACCCCATCTCTATTGAAAGTACAAAATTAGCCAGGCGTGGTGGTGGGAGCCTCTAATCCCAGCTACTCAGGAGGCTGAGCCAGGAGAATCCCTTGAACTTGGGAGGTGGAGGTTGCAGTGAGCCAAGAACGCGCTACTGCACTCCAGCCTGGGTGACAGACTGAGACCTTATCTCAAAAAAAAATAAAAATAATTTTTAAAAGAGGACAGAATATCTTTATCTGGACTTGCGGAGTATGGCCAAGTACCTGGTGAAGAGAGGATACCTCCAAAGGGAAAAAAGGGGTACAAGCTTGAGATCCCCCTCTTTGCTGGGATTGACTTTTTTTTTTTTTTGAGACAGGGTCTCATTTTATCACCTAGGCTGGAATGCAATGGCATGATCATAGGTCACTGTAGCCTCGACCTCCTGGGCTCAAGCTATCCTGTCATCTCAGCCTCTCAAATAGCTGGGACTACAGGCACGTGCCACCATGCCCAGCTAATGTTTTAATTTTTTGTGGATATGGGTTTTCGCCATGTTGCCCAGGCTGGTCTCAAACTCCTGGGCTCAAGCGATTCGCCCACTCTGGCCTTCTAAAGTGCTGGGATTACAGGTGTGAGCTACTCCTCCCAGCTGAGATTAACTCTACCTTGCGCTGAATGGGGCCAAGCAGCTGCTGAACTGAACATGCTCTGCCACGTGCCTGAGAACACCCTGCAAGTCAGAACCCCTGGCATCTTCCTGGGCTGGGAGATTTGCTGTGGAGTGGACTTTGCTCTGCTATTAACTGATTCAGTGACCTTGGATAAGTCTTTCATTCTGGCTCAACCTCAATTTCCTTACCCATAAAATGCATATAAATATACCTTCCTCATGGAGGTGTGGAGAGTCATAAATGATTTTTTTGTTTTGTTGGTTGGTTTTTTTTTTTTTCTGAGATGGAGTCTTGCTCTGTCACCAGGCTGGAGTGCAATGGCACGATCTCGACTCACCACAACCTCCGCCTCCCGGGTTCAAGCGATTCTCCTGTCTCAGCCTCTCGAGTAGCTGAGATTACAGGCACCCACCACCACACCTGGCTAATTTTTGTATTTTCAGTAGAGACAGGGTTTCACCATGTTGGCCAGGATGGCCTCCAACTCCTGACCTTAGGTGATCCACCCGCCTCAGCCTCCTAAAGTACTGGGATTACAGGTGTGAGCCATCATGGCCGGCCGAGTCGTACATGTTTAGAAACTAGTCCACACACCATGAAACATTCCCACAGTGTGGTGAGCCATCATTGTTCATCTTACGATCCCTACGCCCTTGAATACATTGATCTAGGCTCTCAGTTTCCCTGATATTCTCTCTCCCGGAGCTTCACGAATGTGCTTTAGAATCTAACACAGTAACTTGGCCAATTATCCTCAGAAAATCCTTTGACTTCCACCTGCTTTCTGCCAATTGTTCACTGTTCCCCACTCTTGGTCTCAGAGAGTGTGAGCTACTGAGCATCGGAGTCATGGGGTCAAACAATCCAGTCTCCCAGCCATTGGCATCACCTCGGAGGTGGTCTACTGGGGCCACAGAGGGAACCCCCAGCATATCACATGGGGAGGTGGCAGTGAGTGGGCCTTGAGCCCACAGACATGCTCCCGGGAAGGGAAGCGCAAAAGCGTGGCTTGGAAGGACAGTGGACGCTGACTTGGGAACTTCACTGTATAGTCTTCGCTAGATCTGCTGCCCAAATTCAGCCAGTCGTCCTTTGAGTCAGGGTCAGCAGATCAGTACTTAGTTTCATTTAAATTTAATGGACATCTAAAGTCATTAGGACCTCCTGTTCTTTACAATTCCTGATGGAAATGGACGAATGAATGAATGAATGAATGAACACAGCCAAGAGCATTACTCAGTTTACATGCTTAGGGCACCACACTAGCTAGTGATACTTCTAAAAACAGTAGCTGACATTCCTGGAGCACTCTCTGTGTGTCAGGCCCCACGCTTCACATGGATTGTCTCACTGAATCCTTATAATCACTCTATGAGACTTGAACTATTACCGCCCCCACTTTACAAACAGGAAAACTGAGGTTCTCAGAGAACTCAAGGTGTTTTCCCAGGGTCAGCAGCAGAGCTGGGGTTAGCGCACAGCTGTCTCCAAGGCCCATGGGTGTAACCCCCACATCACACCAGGGGTGAGAGTGGGATCCTTGTGTGGGCCCGTAGATATGCACTCCACACTACACACGCCAGACCACCATGCTGCACGTGCGTGCCTGCGAGCCCAGCAGGGTGATGTGAAGGGAAGCAGACCAGCACCAGCCCGCCCTGCCAGGGCTTATTCCCTGAGCCTCGAGGACTCACATGGTGCTGGAGGCAAGGTTTGTGTCCTCGTGCTTGATTTTCCCATCCAGGGCAATGCCTCTCCTTTCTCGATTGTTAGCCAGCAAGGGCAGCAGCGTCAGCGTCTTGGTCAAAGTGCTGTTTGGTGGCACTTTTTCTCTAGAGGAAGAAGAACAGAGGAGATTTATAACCATCAAAGCTGCCATGGACCCCATGAGCCCCTATTTGACATTAGGCATTTTCCAGGATCCACATCCCCTGATGGACCTCCTGGGAAGGTGGGTTCAAGAGCCTGGGAACTTGACTTACGAGAAGCAGAACAGTGCTTGTGAAATCTCAGGGTGGGCTGGCAGCAACAGGAGGATATTTCTTCAAGCAACTCAGCCTATTCTGAATTGCTGAATTTCTAGAATGTTCTATGGAGTTAATGAGACAAACTGGCTCAAGAGTCAGAGACCACAGCCTCCTCCTGAGACTTTGTGAACCACACGGTGGCCTGCAGAACCTTCTGGTTGGTGTCAGCAACGAGTCCAGGCCAGAAAGCCTCTTGTCACCAAAAACTGTCACTATAAGGGGGTCACAGTGTGACTGTGTGGTAAGTTGTCTAGAGGGGCAACGCAGGGACCCACAATTTGTGGATCACACAGACCGAATAGCTTGGGTCCAAAGCAGCACATGCTCTTTCTCTACTGGATCTTCTTCATCATCAGTCGGGGTATAGATTTCTCAACATCTGACAGATGGCGGAGACCCTGTGCCAACAGGCGGGTCTGGGATCCAGCTGGGGACACAGCAATGTGTGTTTCTCCAGGCAGACACACGGCAGCATGGCCAGGATCATGAAGCAGCCTCTGCGGCTGGAGAGTTGGCTCCTCCACTCACGTGCATGCTGTGTGCCAGGCCAAGTGCTAAGGCCTGTCCTCAAAACTCTCACCTTACCCTCATCAACCCCATACCAAGCAGGTGCTCCAAGATCCCCATTTTCCAGACGGGAAGTGTGCCCACAGTCACGTGGCTGCACACTCTCTGACAGCAGAGCCCATTCGTGCCGGAAGCACACCCTCCATCCTGTGCCTAGCCAGAACAAGGTGGGGTGTGGCCAGCATCAGGACCATTCTAAGGCTGTCCTGAGACAGCTGGAAGTCTGAACTGCCTCTCTGGGAAAGGACTTCCTTTCCCTAATCAAGTTTCCCTGGATAGGTAAAAGCAGCTGTCCCCTATCCTGCCTCCAGTGTCTACAGGAAGCTCTTTACAGAAATCTGCCAGAGCCCAAGGTGGCCCACATCCTACCATCTGGGTCCTGGTGGAACCTCTCTTAATGAGCGTAATTTGAGCATTGAAAAAAGCAGAAACAGCATTGTAAAGATGGCTGGAATAGGAAGAGGGCCCTTGGGGTTGGGCTCAGAGGATGGACTTTTTGTGTTTGTGCAGAGCTTGCCAAAGGACTATGCCAAGGCTCTGGGGCCACTCCCCAGAGCTTCAGGATGTGGGTTTGGATGGTGGGGAGCAGCTTGGGAGTCAGGTCTGTCCTGGTTCCGTGGAAGCCTGCCCACTAAAGCCCCAGAAGCCACAGGGCTCTGGGACGATGGCTCCTGCTCTGCAGCTTTCTGAGTGGCCTCTAGCTTCAGACTTGTCAGCATGGTCCAGTCCAGCTCCCAGGCTCCTCCAGCCTTTGGGGGACTTTGGAATGCTTTCCAGTTTCCTGGGAATCTTTGACCCAAAATGCACCCAACACTTTGAAAGAGGACCAGGTGATGGAATACATATTAGGGGAAAACTCAGCCAGGATCCTTTGCTCCCATGTTGCTGAGCACATGAGGAAAGGTGAACCAGGGCCAAGACCCCTCCAGGGCACAGGGATGTGCGAGGATCCCCTAAAGGCAGAACAGAGCCCAATCTTGGCAGAAAGGAGGCAGTGAGTGGTGGTTCTTTCCTGTCTCCCTCCCTTGTAGACCTACAGTTTGAATCTGTTTTGAATAACAGTAATAGTTTCTCCTAAAGTTGCCTTTTAAATATTCCCATATAGGCCAGGTGCGGTGGCTCACGCCTGTAATTTCAGCACTTTGGGAGGCTGAGGCAAGCAGATCACCTGAGGTCAGGAGTTTGAGACCAGCCTGGCCAACAGGTGAAACCCTGTCTCTACTAAAAATACAAAATCAGCCAGGCACGGTGGCTCACTCCTGTAATCCCAGCACTTTGGGAGGCCGAGGTGGGCAGATCACCTGAGGTCAGGAGTTCGAGACCAGCCTGGCTAACATGGTGAAACCCCATTTCTAATAAAAATACAAAAAATTAGCCAGGGGTGGTGGCGTGTGCCTGTAATCCCAGCTACTCAGGAGGCTGAGGCAGGAGAATCACTTGAACCCAGGAGGCAAAGGTTGCAGTGAGTCAAGATCGCGCCATTGCACTCCTGCTTGGGCAACAAGAGCAAAACTCCGTCTCAAAAAAAAAAAAAAATACAAAATTAGCTGGGCTTGGTGGCGGGCTCCTGTAATTCCAGCTACTTGGGAGACTGAGTCAGGAGAATGGCTCGAACCTGGGTGGTGGAGGTTGCAGTGAGCTGAGATCTCACCACTGCACTCCAGCCTGGGCAACAGAGTGAGACTCCATCTCAAAAAAATCTATCTATTACCTTATATTATCTTAAGGAATCAGTTGTCTTTCATCATTCCCCTACCCTAACCTTCCTCTAACCCTGATAATATTTTTTACATACAACGGTGCTTAGAACATGCCAGCAAGGCAAAGAGTTAAGACCTGGTCGAGCTATCCTCTCGGGGGGCTGGAGGTGGGAGATCATCGCCCCCCACTCCAAGCCATGTATTAAATGAATCTATTTGACTTTGTGGCACACAGCAAAGCTGGGCAGGTCTCTCAGGCCAGCATAAAGGAACCATGGCAGGATTCTCATTTGTTTTTGATTCTAACAAAGGGGAAAAGTCATTCACAACAACAGGCTAAGAACAGATATATTCTAATCCAGTTGTCACTGGTATAAGATTTCAATTTGAGATCAAAAGATAGGGAATCCTAGCCTGGGCTGACAGTTCATTTGACCATCTTCTGGGAGGTGGAAATAGTACCAAATTCCTAACAATTCATTCCAAGGATAAATAGAAAAAGCCAGCTGATCCCATGGTGACATTTCTGTCTTTATTTCTCTCCTCTGCGTCATTCTTTGGCTTGCATTAATCCTCAGAACTCCTGTAAGATGGGCACAGAGGGGTGTGGTAGATGCAGAGCTAAGATGCTAACTTTCTGTGCAGCCCTCGAAGGGAGAAAGAGGAAGGAAGTGGAAGGCTGGCGAGCTAGCTGAACATTCTAGTTCCTTCTTCAGCAATAAACGGCGAGAAACTTGACACAGAAGGCTGAGACGCCCAGGAAACGGAAACCCCAACAGCTACTCACTGCGCTTCCTCCATAGCCACGGGCTTGACGTAATAATCACTCGAGTAGAGAACCACATTGGCCACCTGTTCCACTGCAAGGGGAAGACGGGAGTCCGGTGGTCAGCACTGGTCCCCCAACACGTGCACTTTCCCTGCGGCCTCCCAGGGTACACGCTGGTCTCTCCTCTCTGATGATGGTTTCCCTCCACTTCCAAGGCTAGGCTTTCTCAGCCCTCAGCTTCAAGGCTGGGGTTTTGAAGTCCTGTCTCCAGGCCATTTCTGGTCACCCATAACCTGCTCTGTATCAACTCCCACCCATGTCCCCTAAGGCTGCAGCTCCTGGGAGACCCCTCCTTTCCCCTGCTCAGCCCTTTCTAACATCCTCCATCTTACTTCATGAACATTGTCCTTCCTGTCCTCCAAGAGACTAGCTAGAGGCAGTACAGGACTGGTTGGTGGGTGGAACGTGGTGGATAGGAAGGTGGGCCTGGAGCCAGGCTGTTTGGGTGCCAATCTTGGCTTAGCCACTAACTGTGGGGTGAATTATTTATCTATTCTAAGCCTCAGTTTCCCCATCAGTAAAATGGGGGTAATAATTGCATCTAACTCATAGGGACGTTGTGATGATTAAAAAGATGACTTTTAATCACCTTTAAAATTAAGCTTGAGGATTTTTTTAAAAAATAAAGGCAGGGTCTCCCTATATTGCCCAGGCTGGTCTTGAACTCCTGGGCTCAAGGGATCCTCCCACCTTGGCCTCCCAAAGTACTGGGATTACAGGCGTGAACCACTGCACTCAGCCAAAGTTTGAGGATAAAGAAACAATTTGTGCAAGGCATGCAGTACAGTGCCCAGCCTATAGAAAGCAATTAATATTTTGTTTTTAAAAAGTTAACAGCTATCCGGGTGCAGTGGCTCACACCGGTAATCCCAGCACTTTGGGAGGCTGAGGCGGATGGATCACCTGAGGTCAGGGGTTTGAAACCAGCCTGGCCAACATGGCGAAATCCCCATCTCTACTGAAAATACAAAATTAGCCAGGCAAAATTGGTGCACGCCTGTAATCCCAGCTACTTGGGAGGCTGAGGCAGGAGAATGGCTTGAACCCAGGAGCTGGAGGTTGCAGTGAGCCGAGATCACACCACTGCACTCCAGCCTGGGTGACAGAGGGAGACTGTGAAAGAAAGGGAGGAAGGAAGGAAGGAAGGAAGGAAGGAAGGAAGGAAGGAAGGAAGGAAGGAAGGAAGGAAGGAAGGGAGGGAGGGAAAAGTCTAGAATTCCTTAGTCTGCACGCATCAGGATTTCTGACCCTCATCTGTGATGACTCACAGGGAAAAGTGGTATATGACACCTAGGGCCACTGCTCACCCTGGCTTGCCCGGGAGAGCCCATTTTAGGACTGGAAGTTCCACATCCTCAGTCCTGGGCCCTGGGACAGTCACCCCAAGATGCATAAGTCTAACTTTGTCTTGGTCATTGAATGTTTGAGTTAAAAAGTGAACTTAGAGGTTACCCTCACAGGTCATTCCATCATGTCTTCCTCATGAAAGAGCCAAATAAGACCATTATATAAGACCCCCTGTGCTTTGATGCTTTTTGAGCTTAGTTAATGTGTGGGAACAACAGGCAGAAGGCACCTCCCCTGTAGGATATGGGAAGGTCAGCCATGACATGATGGCCATTTGAGCCGAGACAGTCACACTTCACCATTTACAAAGCGCTTCCATGTGGGACCTCCTTCAAGCCACACAAAGCCTGGGAAGGTAGACAAGGAGCCCCTGCTGTGGATGCCAGCTGGGATCACAGAGCCCACAGCATGAGTCCACAAATTAGGCCTCACCCACAACAATGTGCTGCATCTGTCAACCACAATGAGCACTGTGGGGCCCTCCAGGAAGGCATAACCATGGAAAGAGATCACTTGCCAGGAATTTTGTTCCAAGACAAAAACCAGCCGTAAGTGGGCAGGAAGTTGAATGAGATAACTTGTAAGGCCTTTCTCCCTCCGCAGTCCTGCTGCCTATGACAGCAGAGACAAGTAGCCAGTTCCAAGGACCCAGAAGGGCCTTATCAGACCAGAGAAGTGACCTCTCAGGAAACAGGATCAGAAATTCTAGAAGACTATGCCCTCTACTTCTGAGAAGAAGGTCCTACCGAATGCTTTAATCTTCTTCACGGTCTTCTCTGTGTTATTGGTGACAGTCACGGTCACAGGGATGGGCTCCCCATGGAAATAGATCTAGAAAAGTCAGCAGATAGGTCAGAAGAAGAGAACAGATGTGGCGGTGTCTTTAATCTTACTGCTTTCTAGATTCATCTCAATCCCTTTCACTGGAATAAAAGCGGCAGAATTTAAGGAAGATGAAGTGATAGCAATACATTTCTTCTAAGGAAGGGCCTGAAACACATTCCACCCATCTGTGGGAAGCTGGGGAGGGGAACAGAGTTCCGATCATCACATCGGAGGAGGCCAGGGGTCAGGAGGTTATGGGGGCAGGATGAGTGAAGTGAAAGGAAACCACTGGGAAAGCCAAGTGCTGGCATCCCACCCAGCAGAGCCCGTGTAACACAGCCCCTGGCACACCCACACACGTGTATACACACAGTGCACAAATGGCTGACTGCTGACCAGAGGAACCAGAGCCAGCCTTGGCCAGCAGCTCTCACCTTTTCCCACCATGACACCCCTAAGAGATGACATCACAGGTGACACTGCCATCCCACATGGTTTCTGCAAAACTTAAATTTCCCAGGAAGTGAAGAATTTGGGATACCACAGCTATTGATGCTCCATGAGTGAACAAGGCCCATGGAGGTGGACAGGACAAGGACAGCTGGGGGGCAGGTATGTGAAAAGCAGCGCCCCTTCCTTCCCCAGTCCCTCGGGACAGCCAGTGGGTGGAACGCAAGCCAGTTCCGTCCTCCTCTAAGGACCATGCTGACCAGCTCCAGGCTGTGAAAACAGGCCAGTCACTTACGCATGTTGGTGCTTTATCCTAGAAACAAGCTTCCTTGCAAGGCACCCATGTAGTTAAGGGCTGGGGCTGGTGAAGAGAGGGGTGTGGGGCCTGCCCCTAGGCCTGCTGCCCTGCGGGTAGTAGCGATGGTAGGTGGTTACCTCTTTGTTGAGAGAGACCGCAAGGTGCAGGGGCTTGTCAGACATGAAGAACTGCCAGGCCGCCTCAGCTCGGGGCTGGGGACCCATCTCAAGTGGGGCATGCTGTACTTTGCGGATCAGTAATCGCACGGAGCTCCTGTGGGAAACAGCCACAGACAAGCCAGGGATTGGCACCCAGGCCGCTTTAGGGAGGCTTCTGTTCTCTCCCCACTGTCACATGGAGATTCTCCAGGAATGCTCCCCATGGAGACAGGGTGGACGGGAAGAGGGCAACGACACTGGTCAGAGCCTGAGGCAGCCCTGACGGTGGAAGAGCCTGGGGGTCTGGGTCCTGGTCCCTTCCCTGTGGGGGAAGCTGTGGGGCCAGGCAACATCCCGAGGGCCAAGCTTAGCCCCTTAGGCTCCGTGGATTCCCAGCTCTGCCTCCTGTCAGCAAGGCTAAGGTGTGAGGGCGTCAAGGGCCTCATGGAATAGCTGCCATATACATGCGAGCTCCATTACTGCAGCTCACTATCCTGCGCCTCCAGAGATGTGTACATGGGGCACAAGGAGACAGTGCGAAGGGCCAGGCGGAAATCTTGTTTAGGTAAAAAAAAAACAGCACAGGGGGTGGGAGAATGGGAAGGATGGAGCGGTAGGCTCAATGGTTGTAGAGTTCCTGCTCAGGCAATGGGAAAGTTTTGGGTATAGACAGCGGTGAAGGCTACACAACATTCGGAATGTACTTAAGCCACTGAATGGTACATTTAAAAGTGGTTAAAATGGGCCGGGCACAGTGGCTCACGCCTGTAATCCCAGCACTTTGGGAGGCCAAGGCGGGCGGATCACTTGAGGTCAGGAGTTCAAGACCAGCCTGGCCAACATGGTGAAACCCATCTCTACTAAAAATACAAAAAAAAAAAAATTAGCCAGGCGTGGTGGCGCACGCCTGTAATCCCAGCTACTCGGGAGATTGAGGCAGGAGAATCGCTTGAACCTGGGAGGCGGAGGTTGCAGTGAGCCGAGGTCACATTGCACTCCAGCCTGGGGGACAGAGCGAGGCTCCATTTCAAAAAATAAAAGAAAAAAAGAAAAAAAAGTGGTTAAAATGGCAAACTTCATGTTGTGTACATTTTACCACAAAAAACAAACAAACAAACAAACAAACAACAACAACAAAACTTCAACAAAGGGGAAACCCGGGAGCTTTTCGGGGCTTACGTGAGCCCTGGAGGTTGCTAACTTCCCTGTCATTTTCTTGTTTTCTTTTTTTTCCCCAAAAATGATCAACCTTTGACCTCCATCCCACATGCAGATGGTACCCCAGCCGTGCCAGCCCTATGGGAAGAGGTCTGTCCCACAGAGACAAGGTGGAGGTCGTCTCTTCTCTCCACCCCCACCGCAGACCCCTCACCTATTCCGCAACCATACTCTTACTTCTTGGGGATTTTGTCCTCTTCGGCATCGGTGCTGTCTGTGGCGAATGCTTTGACCTCAAAGTCAACCCCACAGGACTGTTGGGGAGAGAGAGCAGACAGGCAGCGATCAGCGACTCCCTCCCTGGGTGCCGGGCCAGAGGGCCACACCTCACACAGGGCACATGATGTGGCACTATCTCTTTTTGTCTTGGCCATGTCCTATTCGGGGTTGCACCATTTAGGGATTTGGAAGCATACTGACAGTGAAACAATTACAGTAGCGCAAGGAGTGTGCCATGGGCCCAAAGCCCCCAGAGGGAGGGGATCCACCTGCCCCATGAGCCCTCCTGCTGCCGTGGAGAGTCATTCACATCCTGGCTATCCTTGCCTCCTGCCACCTTGCACACTTAGGTGTCCCCAACTGTGATCCCATGCATCTTACTGACTTCCACTGCCTACAGCAGGGGCCAGAGGTACAGGCACTCACAGGGCCAGCGCTGGGGTCCAGGAATGCCCTGATAGGGTATGGAAACCCTGACCCCCATGGTCACCTGCTGTTCAGCGGCAGCCTCATGTGGCCAGGCAGCAAGGCACCCAGTGCGGGCAGCACGATTTTTTTTTTTTTTTTTTGGAGATGGAGTCTTGCTCTGTTGCCCAGGCTGGAGTGCAAGTGGCATGATCTCGGCTCACCACAACCTCCGCCTCCCGAGTTCAAGCAATTCTCTTGCCTCAGCCTCCTGAGTAGCTGGGATTACAGGTGTGCACCACCATGCCCGGCTGATTTTTGTATTTTTAGTAGAGTTGGGGTTTCACTAGGTTGGCCAGGCTGGTCTTAAACTCTTGACCTCATGATCCGCCTGCCTTGGCCTCCCAAAGTGCTGGGATTATAGGTGTGAGCCATCGCGCCCAGCCAGCTTGATTTTTAAAAAAGAAACTTCACGTGGAATTTGGAGTGAAATCTCCTAGTTTTTAAATTAAATAAAAAGACTTTTAAGCATTGTGTGGGCTGAATGAACGGATCTGCCAGTGACCTTCCCCCGATTCCCAGTGTGTGAAGCCCCTGGCCCCCAGTGCAAGCCCTTTGTAACCTCCCTCATCTCTGCACGTTCACATGCGTTGGGGAGCCAGAGGAGGGCACCGGCCTGCCCTCCACCACTGCCTGGAGGGGAAAGTAGAGCTGGCAAAAATTACAGGAAGCCAGCTCTGTCCATGGTGACATATGAGGCACGGATTTATTGGTTCTGCAACCAGGGAATCATAGCAGTCCTAAACTCTAAGTGGAAAATAAATATGCATCCTTCCCTGCCATCAGCCGGCCGTTGTTGAGCCACACCAACGCCTGTTCTGCTCGCCCACCTGGGCTTCTCAGCTGTCAAGCCCCCAGGCCCCCAGGCATTCAGGCACTTCTCTCAAGCTCCCTGGGCTCAGGGCGCACCCACTTTCCTGAAGCCCTGCAGCTGTGCTAAGACCTGCTCCTCTCCTAGAACAGAAAATAGGTGGTGCTTTGTTGGGCCTATACAGTGTTGTAAAAATCAAGAAAGGTCACCTAAAAATCTGAATTTGGGGTCTCTCTTATAGAGCACTATAAGATCTAACACAACCAATTCCATTCCCCATTGTTCTGTGCCCCCTTCTTCTGTAATCACCTCATCTTCCCCCATCTTGGCTGCGCACACCCCACCCCATTGTCCTGGACCACTAGCTTCGAGATGTTCTGAAAGTTGGATTTGTAACACAGCCCAGTAAACAGACACAAACGTGCAACAACTCTCCTGACACCATATTCAGCTTCACCATGTGTGACATACTCTGAGATTTTCCAATCCATTCCATTTTGTTCTGTTCTATTTTTTTTTTTTTTTAGATGGAGTCTTGCTCTGTTGCTCAGGCTGGAGTGTAGTGGCACAATTTCAGTTCACTGCAACCTCCGCCTCCCAAGTTTGAGTGATTCTCCTACCTCAGCCTCCCAAGTAGCACACTACCATGCCCAGCTAATTTTTTTTTTTTTTTTTTGAGATGGAGCCTTGCTCTAATGCCCAGGCTGGAATGCAGTGGCACAATCTCGGCTCACTGCAATCTCCGCCTCCCAGGTTCAAGCAATTGGCTGGGATTACAGGCACGCGCCACCATGCCTGGCTAATTTTTCTATTTTTAGTAGAGACGGGGTTTTGCCATGTTGGCCAGGCTGGTCTCAAACTCGTGACCACAGGTGATCTGCCCGCCTCGGCCTCCCAAAGTGCTGGGATTACAGGCATGAGCCACCGCACCCTGTCTGTTCTATTCTATTCCATTCCATTCTGTTCCCTTCCATTTTGGATCCACTACATTGATTTCACGAACCACTAACGGGTCAGATGTCGCAGATGCCCTGCGACAAAAACACTGCCCTTGTCATCACCTATCACTGCCCATCCCATAATCCAGTTACAGAAACTGCCTCTCTGTGTAGCTCCCTTCCTCATGAATCCCAGACCCAGTGGCTTAGAGGGCCTGAACCCACGGGTCCTGGCACCTCCTTCTCCTCCTGTCCCCACCGCCTCCTTCCATGCTGGAGCCCCGTCCACCTGACTCACTCCTCTCTCACACACCCTCAGTCCCCACAGCACATGCTTGGCCATCTCAACTCTGTTCTCAACTCTGTGGCCATAGTGACCATTTGGAAAGTCAGCGCCTGTCATTCACAGCCTGCCAATGGCTCCCATCTCATTCAGGCAAAAACTCAAGTCTCTACAACATCGACAAGGCCCTTCATGATCTGGCCACACCTCCCCTTCCACTCTAACCTCAGCTTCCCACTTTTTTTGTTTGTTGTTTGTTTTTGAGACAGGGTCTCACTCTATCGCTCAGGCTAGAGCGCAGTGCAGTGGCATGATCACAGCTCACTGCAGCCTCTGCTTCCAGGGCTTAAGTGATCCTCCTACCTCAGCCTCCCAAGTAGCTGGTACTACAGGCATGTGCCACCAATCCTGGCTAATATTTGTATTTTTTGTAGAGATGGGGTCTCGCCACGTTGCCCGGGCTAGTCTTGAACTCCTGGGTTGATCCGCCCACCTCAGCCTCCCAAAGTGCTGGGATGACAGGCCTGAGCCACTGCACTTGGCCTCCCCCTTTCATCCCTTGCTCCTCTCACTCAGCAGGCAACCTCCTCACTGCCCCCGGAACACACCAGGCGAGGTGCGCCCTCTACCTGGAAGGCTCTCCCCTGGGAGAGTGTGGCTTTCTCCTTTGCCTCATTAGAGACTGGCTTTAAACATCCTCAACACACATCCCACCAGATACTCCCCTTGTCTCTCACAAGCCTCTTGTTCTCCACAGCATCTGTGGCCACCTGGCATGCCGTGTAGTTCCTTGTTATTTGGGTTTACCTGGTGCTCTCGGTTAATGTGTGAGACTCATGGGGGTTGGGACTCTGTGATTTTGTTCACAAGGATGTTCATGGTTAATAACTGCTGAAGATGAGTGATGGGTTCATAGAGGATCTTTATACTGGTCTCTCTACTTTTGGGTACGTTTGAAATTTTCCATGAAAAAAAGCTATCTTTAAAAGTCTAATGGGCCGAGCGCGGTGGCTCACGCCTGTAATCCCAGGACTTTGGGAGGCCAAAGCAGGCAGATCACCTGAGGTCGGGAGTTCGAGACCAGCCTGACCAATGTGGAGAAAACCCATCTCTATTAAAATTACAAAATTAGCCAGGCATGGTGACCCACGCCTGTAATCCCAGCTACTCGGGAGGCTGAGGCAGAAGAATCGCTTGAACCTGTCAGGCAGAGGTTGTGGTGAGCCGAGATCATGCCATTGCACTCCAGCCTGGGCAACAAGAGTGAAACTCCATCTAAAAAAAAAAAAGTCTATTGAAGGAGCCAGTGCAGTGGCTCACACCTGTAATCCCAGCACTTTGGGAGGCCAAGGCAGGCAGATCACCTGTGGTCAGGAGTTTGAGACCAGCCTGGTCAGTGTGGTGAAACCCCGCCTCCACACAAAATACAAAAATTAGCTGGGCATGGTGGCACACACCTGTAGTCCCAGCTACTCAGGATGCTGAGGCTAGAGAATCACTTGAGCCCAGAAACCACAGGTTGCAGTGAGCCAAGATCACGCCACTGCACCCCAGCATTGGTGACAGAGTAAAACCCTGTTTCAAAAACAATAAAAAAGTCTATTGAAGGAATGAACAAATCCATAAAACCATGGCATTTCTTCTTGAACTAACCTTCCCTGAATCTTGTGGAGCTGGCTGCAACATCACTGAACAGGGCAAGTAGTCAGGAAACTGTGGAAAGAAACAAATAAAAAATCATTTATTTCAGAAGGGGCTGTTCCATTAAGTAATATATAATCATGTAAAAATTAGAAAATAAAGATGATAAGCAAGAAAAAAGAAAAATCACATTCACCTATACTCCTGACACCCAAATACATATTGCTAACATAACCTTCCCAAAATTTCCTGCCTGTACACATAAATATGTATGTTTTGTTTTGAGATGGAGTCTTGCTCTGTCGCCCAGGCTGGAGTGCAGTGGAGTAGCTGGGATTACAGGCACACACCACCATGCCCAGCTAATTTTTGTATTTTTGCTAGAGATGGGGTTTCACCATGTTGCCCAGGCTGGTGTCAAACTTCTGATCTTAAGTAATCCACCCACCTTGGCCTCTCAAAGTGCTGGGATTATAGGTGTGAGCCACTGCAACTGGCCACGCCCAAATATGTATATGTGAGAAGACGTTTTACAGAAATGGGACAAAGTGATGATCACGTTCTGTAGTCTGTTTACTCACTTCATTAATTCTAGCCCTTTTCAGAAAGCATTGTGACCATTTTCCCACATCATAAAATACAGTTCTGAATCATCCTTTTTAGGGCTCTATAATGTACACTTAACGTAGCCAGTCCCCTTTGCTGGCTACTGAAGTGGTCTTTACTTTTTTGCCATTACAAACAATGCTGTAATAAATCAGTTTTAGACAATTAATTCCATAAGCTGAACTGCTAGAAAGAGAAGCACTTTTTTTTTTTTTTTTTTTTTTTTGAGACAGAGTCTCGCTCTGTCACCCAGGCTGGAGTGCAGTGGCGCGATCTAGCTCACTGCAAGCTCTGCCTTCCGGGTTCACACCATTCTCCTGCCTCAGCCTCTCAAGTAGCTGGAACTATAGGCACCCGCCACCACGCCTGACTAATGTGTGTGTGTGTGTGTGTGTGTGTGTGTGTGTGTGTGTGTGTGTGTGTGTATTTTTAGTAGAGACGGGGTTTCACCATGTTAGCCAAGATGGTCTCAATCTCCTGACCTCGGAGAAGCACACGTTTTAAGGCTTTCAATACGTGTTGACATATTGTCTCTAAAAGGTTATGTCACTTCAAACTCCCAGCACAGGTACATGGGAGCACCCAGGACCTTATAACTTTTTTGTAAATGTGATTTTGTAAAACAGTTGTGATAAACATAGAATAACATCAAATTTACCATTTAAGCTCTTTTAACTGTACGGTTCATTGGCATGAAGTACATTCACACCATTCTGCAGTAATCACCACTATCTATCACCAGAACATTTTTCATCTTCCCAATCTGAAGCTCTGTTCCCATTAAACCCCAACTCCCCATCCTCCAACCCCCCAGCCTGTGGGAAGCTCTATTCTGTCTCTGTCTGTATGAATCTGATTACTCCAGGTATCTCCTGTAAGTGAAACCATAGAGTATTTGTCTTTTTGTGTCTGGGTCCTTTCATTTAGTATAATGTATTCAGGATTCATCCATGGTGTAGCACAGAACAGAATTTCATTCCTTTTTAAGGCTGAACCATGTAACTTTGGAAGTGTATATTCTCTTAAGACAAATAAACATGCTCGTAAAGCAGATGGTAGCTTCCCCCAATTGAGCTCACGCCCAAGACTTCAGAGAGTTTGCACGCTGGCACCGTTGGTAGCCAGGTCTCAATGGATGACAGACGGGCCCCCAGAGAGATGAAAATATCTCCTGTGATCCCCCAAGCTGTGGGCAAGGAAAAAGATGACATCTTACTTCGCTAAGCTCTCCTGTCCTGTAGGGAACCCTTTCCTACTTAGAACTCCCCAGGGCCGAGGGGCATTTCTGTGAGCTTTCTTTTTCGAGCTTAGCAAGCAAAGGAATAACACGTGCTCATGTAATTAGGGGGTCGGGTCAAGGGAAATATGTAAACGGTAGGTTGAAAGGGTGTCTTCAAAGGCTAAGAGGCTATTTTCAAGGACTTAAAAAAAGACAATCACAGACCATGCAATCTAGAATTTCTTTCAAGGGTGCAATTTCCAGGCCTGCAGATGTGAAGTTCTTCCTCTATCCCCTTTCCTTTGCCCCCATCCACATGATAAGGTGCTGCGGGTGAAGGAAGCAGGGCTGGCCGGAGGAGTCACCCACCGTCAGGAGAAAGGGGTACGTGTTGCTCCCCAGCTTTTTAAGCAGGCTCTCTTGCAGTTTTGTGGGGGTGCTCGCGGCCCCCACAGGAGGATACACCTGGACCCGGGAGAAGTACAGGTCCCTGCGGAAGGTCAAGCCGATCACGTCAATGTCCTCTTGGCCATAGCGGAAGGCGCAGGTCAGAGTGACATACACTGCAAGGGAGATGAAGGCAGGGTCGGACTTGGCCCTCGGCCTGGCACCCACCACCACTGACGGAATGGGCAGCGAACACGGGTTTTCAACCTTTAGCATCTGGAGGGGATAGGGGCTGGGATTGGAGAGAACCCTGCCACCCAGCTACTCCACACCACTCTGGAGAATCAGCCCCTTCATGAGGGTTCACCGCTCTAAAGGGAGATCCTGGCATCTTCCTCCCAATTGTATCATGTTGCCAGAATGGTAGAAATCTGAAGACAGAGGACCCAGTCCCCTCCATCCTGCCCGCCCCCTTCATTCCCTAGCTCTGTGGCCTCAGAGGCTTTGAGACAGTGCTGGCTGCTCAGGTTCTAGAGGGCAGGATGTCTGGACGAATGAAGGAAGAAGGTAAGATGCAGAGGGAAACAGCGCTGGGCAGCAAAGCAGATGTGGGCCAGGGTCAATCGTGGGCTGAGTGAGGAGCCTGAAGGCTCACAGGCCACATGGGGAGGTGAAATCCAACTTGAGAAGGCTCAAGTTCCAGCCTCCTTTTCACGCTGCTCTGAAACATACTGAGCATTCTCTAAACCCCCACTTCTGAAAATTCTACTTGTTGAACAGACCTGAAGTGTGCGCCCAGTAGACCAGAAGAATTGTATGAAGTTCACTACACCTTCTAAAAAAGACACGAAGCACATATTTCTCAAATATAAAGCACGAGAGGCGGCCCCGCCAAGTGCGTGGTAGCTGTTGGTTGAGAATTTTGCCTGCAAGCCCCAAAGGTAACTGCCCTTCGCTGCTGACTCAGAAGAAACAGTGGCCACTCACTCGCCCCTCATTCAAGCTCAGGACTAAGAAGGTGCCCAGAGACCACGTGGTTTGACAGCTGTCCTGTGCAGTGGCTTTCCCTGAGAACAGGCGCCCTTCTCTGGTCAAGGACTTGGGCTTTCGGGGCTCAAACCAGATGCCTCCTGGTCCAGAGAGGAGCAGGGCACCCAGGAGGAAGGTGGAGAGGACAGAGGGGGCCGTTTGGGGCCCCATTTCAGCCATGCCCCCTCAATGCTGATGGCCCCATAGCTGACGTATTCCAGTGGCACATCCAGGGTTCTGAACAATTCCTTGATGTTGCCAGTAGCAACACTCAAAAAGGCATATTTAGAATGGAACTGAGTCAGTGACATTATCACAAGGATAGCTGGAATCTGTTCTAATTTGGTTTATGCAACTGTTATTAGTAACAAATTACTTACCACACACATCAAAACTGCCAGAAATCTTCAAGGGCGCCGTGACACTGGTTCAGAACCATCGAAGTAAGCACCATAATAAATTCTGGGTCTTACTCCCCCTGCCCCCAGCAGGCATCATTTCCCCCTTTTTGGTGTTGGTTGAGAATTTTGCCTGTCAGCCCCAACGGTAACTGCCCCTCGCCACTGACTCAGAAGAAACACTGCCCACTCACTCGCCCCTCATTCATTCAAGGTCTTGTGTCCTCCTGAGTCCTAGGCACCCCAGGCACCCTCCTGAGTTTGCCCCTAGCACAGAAGTACATGAAACAGGGGCGAGCAAACAGGAATGGGGGCCACAGACCTGGGCTCCGTCTACCATCTACTTATCTGCCACCCTGGACAATGACTTTGCTGAGCGAGTGAGCTCTGGTGTCAACAGGACCTATGTCACGTGAATTAGGTACAGGAGTGTGGGTCAGTGGGCCTGGCACTGGTTCCATGTGCAAGAGCGCTGCCTCTGCCTTCCTGTCTCTCCTTCCATGTAAATGCCCCTTCCCAGAGCCGCCCAGAGAGCAGTCCACTCCGCCCAGAAACCAGCCTGAGACAAGGGGCTTCATCTCACCTTTCTTTCCCTTCACAAGATCAGGATCAACCAACACGACACCATCTAAGGCAAAAGAGGGAGAGAGCAGTGAGGGTGGAGAAGATGAAAGAAACCAGACACCTACTTTAAAAACTGCGCATGTTTTTAATTACACATGTAATCCATGTTCATTATAAGAAAGAAAGAAAAGTCAGGCAAAGGGAAAAAAGTCATCCAAATTCCTACTGCCTGAAAATACCTATTGTGAAGATCTTGGTGCAGATTTTTATTTTATTTTTCCAGGTCAGGTGTGGTGGCCCATGCCTGTAATCCCAGTACTTTGGGAGGCCAAGGCAGGAGGACTGCTCGAGCCTAGGAGTTCGAGAGCAGCCTGAGCAACATAGTGAGATCCTTGTCTCTACAAAAAGTTTTTAAAAAAAATTAGCCAGCAGCCTGGGTAACAAAATGAGAGCCTGTCTCTATAAAAAAACAAAAAAAAAAAATTAGCTGGGTGTGGTGGTACATGCCTGTAGTCCCAACTACTCAGGAGGCTGAGGCAGGAGGATCCCTTGAGCCCGGGAAGTCAAGGCTGCAGTGAGCCATGATCATGCCACTGCACTCCAGCCTGGGTAATAGAGCCAGACCTTTTCTCAAAACATACAAAAAAGAAAAAAGAAAAAAAGTTAGCAGGGCATGGGCCAGGTGCGGTGGTGCATGCCTGTGGTCCCAGCTATGTGAGAGGCTGAGGTAGGGGGAATTCCTAAACCTGGGAGGTTGAGGCTGCAGTGAGCTGTGACTGTGCCACTGCACTCCAGCCTGGGTGATAGAGACACTGTCCCACACCCCCGACAAAAAAAATTTTTTTCCAGACATATATAACTTAATTATACGAATGCTTTTACTAAGTAAAGAAAAAGATCCTATTGTACATACTGTTCAGCTAACTGCTTTCCTCACTCAATTATACATTGCAAACATCTATTCATACTCACATACATACATCTATACACACACGTATATATATACACACACACACATATAGAGAAAACGTGCTAATCATTTTAATAGCTATGTATTACTCCATTGAATGGATGTACCATAAATTATTTAATCACTTCCTATTGTTAGGGCATCTAGGTTGTTTCCAATTTTTCCCATTGTAATTAATATTGTGATGAACATCCTTATACATATGTCTTTATATCTCTCCATGACTTTTTAAAAATAAATTATAGAATTGGATTTGGCTTTTGATAACATGCTGCCAAATAACCTTCCAGAAAGTGTTTTGCCAAGGCACATTTGCATATCCAGTGTCTGAAACTGCCAGTTTTTCTACACTCTTTAAAAGACGTTTTGTGTTGAAATGATTATAGATTCACAGGAAGTTGCAAAGATAGTACAGAGACGTCCCTAGTATCCTTCATCCAGTTTCTCCCAATGGTTCCATCTGCCATAATTACAGTACAATATCAAAACTAGGAAGCTGACGTGGGACATTCTGAGAAACATTTTGGTTCTTTCCGGTTTGGAGCTACCACAAATAAAGCTGCTGTGAACAATCATGTATAGGTTTTTGTGAGGACACAAGTTTTCATTTCTCTGAGATAAGTGCCCGGGATGCAACTGTTGGGTCATATGGTAAGTATGTGTTTCATGTTTTAAGAAGCTGCTGCTGGGTGCAGTGGCTCACGCCTGTAATCTCAGCACTTTGGGAGGCTAAGGCAGGCAGATCACTTGAGCTCAGGAGTTCAAGACCAGCCTGGGTAACATGGCAAAACTCCATCTCTGCAAAAAATACAAAAATTAGCCAGGCGTGGTGGCACATGCCTGTAGTCTCAGCTACTTGGGAGGCTGAGGTCGGAGGATCGCTTGGGCCCAGGAGGTGGAGGTTGCAGTGAGCCAAGATCTCGCCACTACATTGAAAGTAATGGCAAAAAACTGCAATTACTTTTGCACCAACCTAAAATATTTTAGCCATTTTGGTAGGTGTATAATATGCTCTCACTGTAGCTTTAATCTGTATTTCCCTAGTGGCTAATGATACCAAAGATGTTTTCATGTGCTTGCTTGTCTTCATGTATCTTCTTTGATGAAATGTATCTTCCTGTCTTTCCCCCATTTTCTCATAGGATCTTGCTTTTTGTACTGCTGAGTTCTGAGCGTTCTTCATACATTCCAGACATGAGTCCTTTGTCTCTTCACACTCTTTAAAATTCTTTCCAGCCGGACACAGTGGCTCATGCCTGTAATCCCAGCACTTTGGGAGGCCGAGGCGGGCGGATCACCTGAGGTCAGGAGTTTGAGACCAGCCTGGCCAACATGGTGAAACCCCATCTCTACTAAAAATACAAAATTAGCTGGGCGTGGTGATGCATTCCTGTAATCCCAGCTATTTGGGAGGCTGAGGCAGAAGAATCACTTGAACCCAGGAGGCAGAGGTTGCAGTGAGCCAAGATCATGCCACTGCACTCCAGCCCGGCCAACAAGAATGAAACTCCATCTCAAAAAAATAAAAATAAAAATAAAAATAAAAATAAATAAAATTGTTTCCAATCAGCCAGTGGCGCCTCACTGATGTTTTAATTTGCATGTCTTTATTTAGATTATTAGCAAGGCCAGTTTTTAAAAACACAAAGTGAGCGGTTATCTGTGACTTAAAGGAAAACCAGCATTACAGTTTTCTCCAAGCAACTTACCCACAGGCTGGACTTGGCTGACATGGTCTATGTAGTCTCTGTTCCCCAGGTAGATGGTCACCTGCAAGAAGAACAGGTGTGGGTCTAAGGGCCAAAGAATGCTAAGCTAAGGCATCCATGATAAAAACCAGCAGCAGCCCGGGCGCGGTGGCTCACACCTGTAATCTTAGCACTTTGGGAGGCCAAGGCGGGCGGATCACGAGGTCAGGAGTTTGAGCCTGGCCAATATGGTGAAACCCTGTCTCTACTAAAAAAAAATATAAAAATTAGCTGGGCGTGGTGGCACGCGCCTGTAGTCCCAGCTACTCAAGAGGCTGAGGCAGGAGAATCAGTTAAACCTGGGAGGCGGAGGTTGCAGTGAGCCAAGAGCACGCCACTGCACTCCAGCCTGGGCAACAGAGTGAGACTCCGTCTCAAAAAAAAAAAAAAGAAAGAAAGAAAATTATGTAAATGAGACTTTTGCCATCCATTTGCATGTTAAATCTTTTATTTCCAGCTGTGGAATGAAAGGTAGCCCCTCTTTGTCACAAGAACTTCTGGACAGGCTGGGTGTGGTGGCTCACCCCTGTAATCCCAGCACTTTGGGAGGCTGAGGCGGGCGGATCACCTGAGGTCGGGAGTTTGAGACCAGCCTGGCCAACATGACGAAACCCTGTCTCTACTAAAAACACAAAAATTAGCTGGGCATGATGGTATACGCCTGTAATTCCAGCTACTCGAGAGATTGAGGCAGGAGAGTTGCTTGAGCCTAGGAGGTGGAGGTTGCAGTGAGCAGAGATCGTTCCACTGCACTCCAGCCTGGGTGACAGAGCAAGACTCTGTCTCAAAAAAAAAAAAAAAAAAAAAAAAAAAAAGAACTTCTGGACAACGCAAAGAGGTGTGAGTTCTGGAGAAGCCCCTGAAATCCCACCAGGTGAACTACTGCACAGGTAGACCTAAAGCCACGCACTGAGGGAGCTGGGTGGGAAGGGGATGGCCATCATCTGGGCCCACAGGCCCTGGCCCTGTCCTGCCCCTGGCAACGAAGGTCTCTACCCACTTATGGGAGAGCAGGGTTGGGTTTCCCAGCCCTCAGCACTTTAATCCATAGGACTGTGGCTTGGTGGTAGTAATCTGGAGTCTCTGCACATCTTTAAGCATCTACTGCAGAGTCTAGGACACACAGGGATTCAGTGTTTGCCAAGTGCACCAATGAATGAGAGTACACTCTTTCATTGAGTGTGGCCCCCTTGGCTGGCCCCCTTCTTCGAATGAATATTTTGAATTCCAGGAACGGCCTAAATCATTTTTGTTGGCATTAAGTCCTCTCCTATACGCTCCCCTTTCACCCATATCAGATGTCCCGAAGCGTAGCCCTGTGCCCTCTAGGTTACTCGCATGAATGATGCTGAAGTGACTTCCAGCAAATACCACTAGAACCCTGGTTTACAGAGAAGATTCCGTAGGAAACCTTATACTCCCAGCGCTAAGCATGTTTGGGAGGCCTCACTAGCCTGGGTGGTGTGGAAGCCTGGCACCTGTGAGCAGCGGGCTGACCGGGACACACACTGCTACCTGCTGGTTGCTGCAGCGAGTCCCAGCTTCCTAAACACTGTGGGTGTCTTGGCCTTGCCCTCAAGATCCACCCTGCGGGGCTGACCAGGGCGTGTTGCCCTAGTAGATTCCCTGGTCTTCTGGCTTCTGGGCAAGGTGGGCCAGATGTTTGTCCCCACCTTGCCTGCATGGTGGCTGGGCCTGCGGCTGGCACAGCCCTCTAGTGGGGATCACAGTTCCTGGGAGGTAGCCCTGAGGGCCTCGGGGTTCTGAGAATTGTGCGATCCCTCATCCCTTAACCCCAGGGAGGTGCCAGCACCCAGCTGCTCGTCACTGCCGTGTGGCGCATGGAGCTCTTTCTTGTAATTTTTTTTTTTTTTTGAGACAAGGTCTCATTCTGTCGCCCAGGCTGGAGTGCAGTGGCACTATCTCAGCTCACTGCAACCCCTGCTTCCCAGGATCAAGTGATCCTCTCACCTCAGCCTCCCAGGTAGCTGGGACTACAGATGCACGCCACCATGCCCAGCTAATTTTTTATATTTTTTTGTAGAGACAGGGTCTCGCCATGTTGCCCAGGCTGGTCTCAAACTCCTGGGCTCAAGCAATCCACCCACCTCGGCCTTCCAGAGTGCTGGGATTACAGGCATGAGCCACCACTGTACCTGGCTATTTCTTGTGATTTCTTTCACACCTGCCTACACCCTAGCAAACAGCCCCTTTTAAAAACTCTCCTCTGGCCAGGTACAGTGGCTCATGCCTGTAATCCCAACACTGAGAGACCAAGGTGGGAAGGATCACCTGAAGTCAGGAGTTCAAGCCAGGGCAACAAAGTGATACCCCCTCCTCTGTCCCCTGCCATCTCTCAAAAAAAAAAAAAAAAAAAAAAAGATTAGCCCGGGCAAGGTGGTGCCTGCTTGTAGTCTCAACTACTTGGGAAGCTGAGGAAGGAGGATCACTTGAGCCTAGGAGGTTGAGGCTGCAGTGAGCTACGATCGTACCATTGTACTCCAACCCTGCTCTCCCACAAAGGGGGTAAAGAGATCTTCACTGGTCTCCAGAGTAAGACCCTGTCTCAAAAAAAAAAAAATTCTCCCCAAATCAACCAATTTGGAGGCTGCCTTGCAGGAATGGTAACTATGACCTCGCTATTCTGCTGCTCAGTGTCTACTGGCTGCTCACTCCTTCTCTGTGGAATAAACCCCAGCGCCTTGTGCGTGGCCACCCTGAGAGCATCCTCTCTAACAGCTCCACTCTTCCCTGGGCTCTGGCCACAGCGGCTCTGCCACAGCTCCCCCAAACACCACAGATTTGTGCCTCTGTTCCTATTGTTTCCACGGTAAGGAAGGCCCTTCTGCTGCACTTTCACCTGGGGGAAATCCTACCCACGCTTCAGGGGACACCTCACGGTCCCCATCTCTCCCTTTGCCCAGCACCCCCTGGCTTTTGGTGCCCCGGGAGCATGTGGCCTGCGACCACACCTCAGTGTGCAGCACACTGTGTTCTGGGTGCTCTTGCAGGAGCCTGTCTCCTTTGCTAGACTTCGCCTGTCAATTAGGCAAATACTGCTTTCATCTATCCCACACACGGTTACAGAGGCCCCAGCAGCTGCTGGCTACTGAAAATAAAAACCGAAGAAGACATCCCCTTGGTCCCCAAGGTCCCTGCTCTTTGGTTGGGAGCCCAGCAAGTGAACTGGCAATTGTGCCCCTGGAATAAATGCCAGGGCAAAGGCTGGTGGGGAGGAAGCCTGAGGGGAGGGCACTGAGGAGGGAAGGAGAGAGGGAAGGCTCTTGCTTTCAGAGGAGGCTCTACCTGGTGGACAAATGGCATAGCCAGAGGACAGGGGACGGTTGAGGGCATGCTCTCTGAGCAAAATGTATACGAAGCCCGGGGCCCCGAGAATGCTTCTGGAACTGCCAATGGCTTCACCATGCCACTGAATGGGGATGCAGGCTGCTGCTGCTGAAATGGTCTCATAGGACGTGGCCCTAAAGAACCTCAGAAGACGTTGAAGCGTTTTAAGCAGGATGAAAGACTTGAATTAAACAGTATTTAGGAAAGCTAAATAGAGAAATAGCTTTTGGAAGAATTAAATAGCATTTCGAGTGCTTATCATGTATCAGGGGCCAAGCTAAGCACTTTGACCACATGGTTTCACTTAATCCTCACAGCAACTCAATGAGACAGGAATGCAGCCCATTTTATAGAAGGGAGCACTGAGATTTAGCTCATGCCAGCAGCAAACTGGAGAATGGATCGGCAAGGGGAGAACCAGTTAGGCAGCCTGACTGTGGAGCTGATGAGGGGGACTGCAGAGTGGACGGGAGAGACAAGGGCAGGTGAAGAGAGGGCATGTTTCTTCTCTTTCAAAAGGTTTGGCTGCAAGGGAAGAAGAACTAGAAAGGATATAGGGTCGAGGGTAGTTGGTGGTTGTTCTTAAGGTGCATGAGGTCGGTACTTATTTGTTTATTTATTTGAGACAGAGTTTCGCTCTTGTTGCCCAGGCTGGAGTGCAATGGCGCGATCTCGGCTCACTGCAAACTCCACCTCCCAGGTTCAAGCGATTCTCCTGCCTCAGCCTCCCGAGTAGCTGGGATTACAGGCATGCACCACCACGCCCGGCTAATTTTTGTATTTTTAGTAGAGACAGGGTTTCTCCATGTTGGCCAGGCTGGTCTCGAACTCCTGACCTCAGGTGATCCACCTGCCTTGGCCTCCCAAAGTGCTGGGATTACAGGCATAAACCACCGCGCCTGGCTGGTACTTATTTTTATGCTCAGACAAAGTACTAGCAGAGAGGAGAGGCTGCACACACAGCCAGACCAATGACTGAGGCCCCTGAGAAGGTGGCCAACCATGAAACCCAGGGTGTAAGAGGTGGTGAACCTCAGATGGGAGCAAACTACCCCTTCCACTGCAACAGGAAGGACAGGGGCAGGATGGGGGCAGGTAGAGAAGTGGGTGATGTGAGACTGTAGCCAGCCTTCGGGGGCCCATCCAACAGCCACACACCCCTTCTTCCTGGATAAAAGCCGCCAACTATTGTTCAGGGACCACCATCTTCCACCAGGCGGTATGCTCAGAGGAGGCCGGCTCCAGGGTACGATTCTTGATTGGCCTGATTCACTACGATCATCTAATTCTTCTGGCTTGGGATTGGTTTACAGTGGACATGTGACCCAGTTTTGGCCAATGAGATATGAGAGAAGAGTCTTGGGAAAGATTTCCTGACCCTTACAAGAGACCCCAGGAAACCACAGCCTCTTCCTTCTGGATGTTGTCAAGTGTGGGTGAGACGCCAGGAGCAGGGGCAGTCATTTAGCCACCTGCTGGAGGATGAAGGTCAAAGAAGAGGGCAGCGTCGGGAGAATCACAGAGAAATGGGCTCAGAGCCCTGGCACACCATGCCTGGGGCCACACAGACATCGCTGGCAAAATGATCTGAATACATGAGACAGGAATTGAATTCTCTTTTCCCACCTGTGAGGACTTATCTACAAAAACCATCTACATTTCTTGGTGGAAAATCTAGGAGCAAGGGGAAAACAACGTGGGAAACCAACACGAGTGGTTTCCTCTTCAGCCAGAAGTTGAGATAAAATGGACTGGAAAGATACAACTTGGGAAAGGGCTTGGAGAACGAAAGAATCAGAGTACTTGATTAAAATGACCGAGTTCCTTAACTAGGAGAGGAGAAGGCAGAAAGCACACAGGCAAAGCCGGATCTCCTGGGTGGCACGGTAAGGATGGGGAGGTTCTTTGGACCCCATACCGGGTTCAGAAGTCAGCCACAATGGGCCAGGTGCGGTGGCTCACACCTGTAATCTCAGCACTTGGGGAGGCCAAGATGGGCGGATCACCTGAGGTCAGGAGTTCGAGACCAGCTTGGCCAACATGGTGAAACCCTGTCTCTACTAAAAATACAAAAATTAGCTGGGCGCGGTGGCACATGCCTGTAGTCCCAGCTACTAGGGAGGCCGAGGCAGAATTGCTTGAACCTGGGAGGCAGAGGTTGCAGTGAGCTGAGATCACGCCACTGCACTCCAGCCTCGGTGACAGAGTGAGACTCTGTCTCAAAAAAAAAAAAAAAAAAAAAGCCAGAATGATGGCGAGCTACCCTGTCCAGTAGGGTAGCCACTGCTTAAGGTGGCTCCCGGACACCTGAAATATGGCCATTCCAAATTGACATGTTCTGTAAACATAAAATACACATCAGATTTCAATAATTCTTATATTATTATTTACAAGTTGAACTGATAGTTTTTTGGATATAGTGGGCTGAAATAAAATATAACATCAAAATGAATTTCACCTGTTTCTTCTTACTTTTTAAATGTGGCTACTAGAAAATTTAAAATTACATATGTGGCTTGCACTAGATGTTGCTGAGCTAGATTTTTGGCCCACAAGAAGCTTTCGAGTGGAGCTATCCACAGAGGCTGGACGGTGGACCCTCTCCCATGCGAGGAAGTTCATGGGCACACCTGGAGCATCTAACGTGCCCCTGGAGAGTGGTGGAAAGGGGGCAGACTGGGGCATTTTCCCTTATCCAATGGCCCTGCGGGCCCAGCTGAGGCTTGAGACCCCCCGGGTGGGGTAGGTGCACGGAGAAGAAGGAGTCACATTGATCACTGTCTGGGTTTTACCCAGGCAGGTGACACAATAGATAGACAAAAGGCCAAGGGCATCACAGGTACTGACAAAACTGTGTTTAAATAGTAAGTCAAGGGTTCAAGGCTGGCTAGGAAAAGATGCAGAGGTGGGGGTGACAGTGTGGGGATTGAGGGATTCGGAGAAAACTGAGGGACACAGGACTAAAGTCTTGATGAGACTGAAGAGAAGCTCTATTTCTGCAGTTCATTCACTCATTTATAGCTCAGTGATCATCCATCTTAGACAGAGACAAAAATAGACACAAAGCTTCCCTGGCCCTCACAGTGTTTGTTTGTTTTTTATTTGAGACAGAGTCTCCCTCTGCTACCCAGGCTAGAGTGCAGTGGCACCATCTGGGCTCACTGCAACCTGTACCTCCTGGGTTCAAGTGATTCTTGTGCCTCAGCCTCCCAAGTCTGGGATTACAGGTGCCTGCCACCATACCCAGCTAATTTTTGTATTTTTAGTAGAGATGGGTTTTGCCATGTTGGCCAGGCTGGTCTCGAACTCCTGGCCTCAAGTTATCCCGCCTCCGCCTCCCAAAGTGCTGGGATTACAGGCATGAGCCACCGCGCCCTGGCCCTCAAAGAGTTTTGATGTTGATCATGACTACACTGTACTTGAAAAAGCTCCATTTTTTTTAAACAATAATTTCTATCAAATCACTCACTTGTGCACCACTCACCGATTTGTCCCGGGAGATCTTCTTGAAGATAACATGGTTCGGTTCGGACTTGCTGGTCTTCCCGCTGGCTGCCATGTTATCTGTCCCTGGCAACTTCTACCACCTTGGGGTGTTGGTCAGGTGTTAGAGGGTTGGAGAAAGGTAAGACAATCCTAAATATCAAGTCAAGAACATCCTAGTTATGAAACCTACTCACGAGATCCTGTGCGTCCTCACCATGCCCTTGTACCGGCTTCAACATCCGAGTTTCATCGGTGAGTCTTTGCTTAGTTTGTATTTTACTGCAGCATGCTTTGGGGTGTTTTCAATATTTTATTTTTCTTGGTAAGCTTCAAACATTTCTCAGTACACCTTGCCAGGGAGTCTAGCTAGATTCCAATGAGGTTTTACTTTCTGACTAACCTTTGGTGTTATCACACTTAGCCAGGTTGAATTTAAAGTTCTATCGTGACTGTGTCTAATGGCGAATAAATCAGAAAAGTTCCTGAAAACCACAACATAACCACTTCGCAAAGACTGTTTTCAAGAAGATATTAATGGCCGGGCACTGTGGCTCACACCTGTCATCTCAACATTCTGGGAGGCTGAAGCGAGAGGATCATTTGAAACCAGGAGTTGGAGACTGGCCTGGGCAACATAGCAAGATCCTATCACTTTTTTTAAAAAAAAAGAATATATTAAAATCCCAAAAGTTCTATTTGGCAATTCCTACTAAGAGATAGCCACTCTGTTTTACAATTAAGAGGCCATCTTAGCGGTCTAGAATTAAGCATACTCTGAGGTTTTTTTTTTTTTTAAGATATAGGAGCTCGTTCTGTTGCCCAGGCTGGAGGGCAGTGCCACAATCATAGCTCACCGCAGCCTCGAACTCCTGGGCTCGTGATCCTCCTGCCTCAGCCAGCTGAGTAGCCAGGACTACAGGTGTGTGACACCATGCCTAGCTAATTTATTTTTATTTTTGTTTTTTTGTAGAGACTGGGTCTGACTGTATTGCTCAAGTTGGTCTCGAATTCCTGGCTTCAAGTGATCCTCCAGCCTCAGCCTCCTGAGTCACTGGGACTATAGGCATGAGCCATTGCACCCGCTCACTCCAAGTCTCCTTAAATAGCAACCAAGTCTTATGGAAACCACACAGAAAAGGTGAAGGCGGGACATACTGTCTGCAGGAAAACGCCCATCCTTGCTCTTCCCCACACCTGCCCCAGGTTTCTGATAAGGTTTTGGCCTGTGGTGGTCACATACCTTGTGATTTGTCACCAACCAGGTGGGAAGGGCCGGGTGGCAAGGAGAGGGTCTCTATGCTCTGAGATGATGAATAGCCAGCCCCTGTTCTGAGCAAGCTGGTACCGTCTTGCCAGATGAGCCTGAAGGGGCACCGCTGAGGCTCCTGGCCTACGTATGTGGGGAATTTGTAGGGGATCTAGCGAGGATGCCCAGCATCCAGGTCTCAATGTCTAAAAGCCAAATCCCACTTAAGGAGCAGAGTTGGATTAGTGCTGAGACAGTGAACTGGTAGTTTCAGCAGTTCTAAGCATTAAGCAACACCCCCCGCCCCGGTCTCCATACGGAGGGTCTCACAGATGTATGAGTCACCCAGCTGACTTGGGGAAGGTTGGTGGGAGGGCCAACAGCTAAATGAAAGCTACTTTTTCTTCTAAACCTCTTTGGATTCTGGAAATAGACTGATTATCTCTTCATTCCCGGGCATTGCCAGGACAGGAAGAGATTTGATTAAACTCAGCAGGCAGCTAATGCGACCTTGCGGGTGGGGACTAAACAAAAAGGTCAAGGAGAAATGTCAACCTCAAGATGAACCTGGTGTTATGCAAGCCAAGCTGGATCTGTCCCTCTCCTCCACCCGGTCCTACTGATTGATGGCTTCAGGAGTCCTGTTGATCCCCTCAGTGTCTCTGGAACCTGTCTGCATCCTCCCATCCCCAGCACCGCCTTTGCTTCTCAGGACCGGAGTGATTCCCCACTGTCTGACTACATCTATTTCTTTTCTTTTTTTTGTTTTGTTTTTTGTTTTGAGATGGAGTCTTGCTCTGTCTCCCAGGCTGAAGTGCAGTGGTGCAGTCTCAGCTTGCTGAAACTTCTGCCTCCCAGGCTGAAGTGCAGTGGTGCAGTCTCAGCTTGCTGAAACTTCTGCCTCCCAGGTTCAAGTGATTCTCTTGCCTCAGCCTCCAGAGTAGCTGGGACTACAGGCGCCTACCACCACACTGAGCTAATTTTGTATTTTTAGTAGAGACAGGGTTTTACTATGTTGGCCAGGCTGGTCTCGAACTCCTGACCTCAGGTGATCCACCTGCCTCGGCCTCCCAAAGTGCTGGGATTCCAGGAATGAGTCACCGCACCCAGCCGACCACATTTATTTCTACCCTCCAAGCCCTTTTCCACACAGAGGCAGAGAGACCTTCTGAGCCCTGTCATCCCTCGCTTACAATCACCCATTGCTCTTAGAATGCAGGCAAAAAGCTTGCAGCCTCTGGAACCTCTGCCTGCCTTTCCTTCCACGCCGTCTGCCACGCTTCCTCCTTCCCACTATTATTTCTGCCTGGAACAAGCCTCTCCTCTCTCCACTTTGTTGACTCTTCTTGGCCTTTCAGATTTTTGACCAGGAGTCACTTCCTCAGGGGAGCTATCCCCAACCTCCAGGACCAGATTGGAGGCACGCTTGCATTTCACTCTTTTTTTTTTTTGCTTTCGAGATAGAGTCTCACTCTGTTGCCTGGGCTGGAGTGCAGTGGCGCGATCTCGGCTCACTGCAGCCTCCACCTCCTGGGTGCAAGCGATTCTCCTGTCTCAGCCTCCCGAGTAGCTGGGATTACAGTTGTGCACCAGCATGCCCAGCTAATTTTTGTATTTTTAATAGAGATGGGGTTTCGTCATGTTGGCCAGGTTGGTGTCAAACTCCTGGCCTCCTGAAGTGCTGGGATTATAGGCATGAGCTACCGTGCCTGGCCACATTTCACTCTTGCTTGGGAATTATTCTACAGTCTCTCTTCCCTCACTGGAGTCCAGGCTCCATGAGGGCAGGGCCTAGGCCATTTTGTTTCCTTCACTTTTGTCTTCACAGTGCCCAGAACAATGCCTGCTCCCAAGAACACTCAGGGAATGGATGGAGGGGACTCTGCGACCACTAACACACTTACATGGGGGACTGACTTGGGAATGAAACAAGTATATGCAGAAAGCCTGTTCTGACGTTTGGGGTATCAGCATCCACCCAAACATTCCAATGGCTTCCCATTTAAGTCTGGACAATGCTTGCCAGGTCCGGCATGCTCTGGCCCCCCTTTACCTCTGACTTTATTTCTCACCACCCTCTCCCTTGCCCACTTCACTCCAGAGTACTGAGCCTGTTTTCTTTTCTTTTAGAGACAGGGTCTCGCTCTGTCACCCAGGCTGGAGTGCAGTGGTGCAATCATAGCTCACTGCAGCTTTGAACTCCTGGGCTCAAGCGCTCCTCCCACTTAAGCCTCCCGAGTAGCTAGGACTACAGGCACATGCCACCACACCCAGCTAATTCTTTAACCTTTTTGTAGAGATGGGGTCTTGCTATGTTGCTCAGGCTGGTCTCGAACTCCCAACCTCAACTGATCCTCTCACCTCAACCTTCTAAAGTGTTGGGGTTACAGACGTGAGCCACCACCACTGGCCTGCTTTTCTTTAAACCTCCGTCTAGGCCTTTCCACTTGCTATTTCCTCTCCTGGAACAGTCTTCCCACAGCCAGCCACATGGCTCACTCCTTCAATGGCTTTGAGTCTTTACTTCAATGTCACCCTATCCTTAGCATACTCTATGGTTGGCCTCACCATACCTGAACTGCAAACCCCCTATTTTAAAACACAAAGATTATTCATTGGTGCTAAAACCATTAGGTGAAGAGTTGCTGGGAAAATGACTGTAGGAGTGAAGTGATGCCACACGGATCATGGTGTCATCACAAGGTGCACGGCAGATGCCATGGTCAATCTTAGCATTGCTGGTGGTGTCAGCCACATGGGATGTGTCCCCTTGGGTTAACTTGAATCCATGAGCCTTCAGACATCATTTCTAGTTTATCGGAAATACAAGGAACGAGCTACGTGACGCAAGTGAGCAGCCAGACAAATCCAACAAACAATGCCATAGAAATGGGTAGGCCAGGTGCAGTGGCTCACGCCTGTAATCCCAGCACTTTGGGAGGCCGAAGCGGACGGATCACAAGGTCAGGAGTTCGAGACCAGCCTGGCCAACATAGTGAAACTCCGTCTCTACTAAAAATACAAAAATTAGCCAGGCGTGGTGGTGGGCGCCTGTAGTTCCAGCTACTCGGGAGGCTGAGGCAGAAGAACTGCTTGAACCCGGGAGGGGAGGTTGCAGTGAGTCAAGATCGTGCCACTGCACTCCAGCCTGGGTGACAGAGCGAGACTCTGTCTCAAAAAAAAAAAAAAAAGAAAAAAGACATGGGGTTTACTAGATTAAAAGACGCTAAGACACTCGAGACCCAGATGTCATGTGCAGCCCCAGACTGAATACACAACTGGTCAAAAAGGATGTGTAGGACATTTTGGGTTCATTGGGAAAATCTGACTATGGTAAAATGCCTGGAGTAGAAAGGTGAGAGATTGTGACAGAACCAACAAGACTGCAGAATGGTGTGCTTAGCATGTCCACGTTTTGCAAACACACAGAGACTATGTATTTGTGTATACATACATATATGTACATTTACACACACATGCATATACACACAAGCATATTTACACACATACATGCAGGTTCATATGCATGCTATACCTATGCATACTTTGCAAGAATACACCTTAAGCTAACATTGGTAGTTAAAGGTCTCTCATTACCTTGTAATGAAATGGTAGGCTTTGTTTCAATTTTCTTGTCTATAATTTTTCACATTTTCTCCTATGACCATTTACTGCTCCTATAATAGAAAGGTTAAAATACAAAACTGTGTTATATAAGTGAGGTGTGGTGGCTCACGCCTGTAATCCCAGCACTCTGGAAGGCTGAGGCTGGAGGACGGCTTGAGCCTGGGAGGTTGAGGCTGGAGTGAGCCATGATCACACCACTGTATTCCAGCCTGGGCAACAGAGCGAGTCCTTGTCTCAAAAACAAACAACAAAAAAACAAACAAACAAAAAACAATAAATAGGGCCAGGCACAGTGGCACACACCTGTAATCTGAGCACTCTGAGAGGCAGAGGCAGGTGGATCACTTGAGCACAGGAGTTTGAGAACAGCCTGGGCAACATAGTGAGACCCTATCTCTATAAAAAGTAAACAAAATTAGCCAGGCCTGGTGGTGTGTGCCTGTGGTCCCAGCTACTTGGCTTATGCCAGAGGATTGTTTGGGCCTGGGATGTTGAGGTTATAGTGAACCGTGAGCATGTCACTGTATTCCAGCGTGGGCAAAAAAAAAATTGCTGTGGCCGGGCACGGTGGCTTACACCTGTAATCCCAGCACTCTGGGAGGCCGAGGTGGGCGGATCACCTGAAGGTCAGGAGCTTGAGGCCAGGCCAACATGGTGAAACCCTGTCTCTACTAAAAATACAAAAAAAAAAAAAAAAAAAAGCTGGGCATGGTGATGTGTGTAATCCCAGCTACTTGGAAGGTTGAGGCAGAAGAATCACTTGAACCCAGGAGATGGAGGTTGAAGTGAGCCAAGATTGTGCCACTGCACTCCAGCCTAGGCAACAGAACCAGACTCCAACTCAAAAAAAAAAAAACAAAGGGGAAAAAATGACTAGGGTGCTTCTTTCAGTGTCCCCATCAGAGGGCTGCCCTGAGCTGAGGCTGCAGGACCCAGGCCCAGTTTGCAGCTGTGAGTGCTTCCAGATTCCCCCATTCTCCTGCTGCTTCATCGTTCCCGGCTGCTGGAAGGCACAGATCTGCAGATCTTAGTCACTGCTCTGCCAATGCCGTGCAGGTGGGGAAATTTGGGTGGACTGGATGACAGATCTCACTCTTTTTGGAAATGTTATTCCCAACTCTTGGTCTGTGATGATTTTTTCTCTTCTTGGTGGAGAAATGAGAAAAATAAGGACACTCTTGTAGTTTTTCTGGGAGCCAAACTTATTCAATATAAAGGACTGTCCTTTTGAGATTATGAGCTTTTTAATTTTTTGGTATTAAAATATCCTTCTTCAGCCAGGCATGGTGGCTCACGCCTGTAATCCCAGCACTTTGGGAGGCCGAGGCGGGCAGATCACTTGAGGTAAGTAGTTCGAGAGCAGCCTGGCCAACATGGTGAAACCCCTTCTCTACGAAAAATACAAAAATCAGCTGGGTGTGGTGGTAGGCGCCTATAATCCCAGCTACTTGGGAGGCTGAGGCAAAGAATCACTTGAACCTGGGAGGTGGAGGTTGCGGTGAGCCGAGACTGCATTCCAGCCTGGGTAACAGAGTTATACTCTATCTCAAAAAAAAAAAAAAAAAAAAAGGCATTGTTCTTCTTCTTGCCCTCTATCTTTATTGAGATATATATATATGAAACGGGTGAATTTTGAAATAGTGACAGACATAGATGAGTGCAGGCAGATACATATAGAGAGGTAAAATATATCTATTTAATAACCAACAAAATTCACCCATTTTGAGTGTACAGCTTGATGAGTTTTGGTCATCATATACATTGTGTAACCATCACTGTGATCAATTCCACCACTCCCCAAAGTTCCCTGTACCCATTTCCATCAACTCCTCCATTCACGCTCCTGCCCCAGGCAATCACAGATCTGCCTTCTGTCATTAGCTCTGCATTTTCTACAATTTTATTATGAAATTTTAAAGCACAGAAAAGTTAGAAGAACAATACAATAGACACCCACACAGTCAACTTCAAGACTTGACACTTAACACTTTGCTGCCTGCAATCCTCTGTGTCTATCTCTGTTTTTTTCCTTTTTAACTATTTGAACGTACATGCAGACATCACGACATTTTACCCGTATTTCAAAATGCAGCTCCTAAGCATAAGGAGAAAAATGTCCTTTCTTTTTATGAAATAATAACCAAGAGTATATGGTAGTTTAGAAAAAAGTCCTTACTTGGCAAACATTAAAAGCTGGCAATCTTCCCCTAGATTTATTTTTGCGAATTACTGGTCTATGAATTCTCAAAGTCTGGGAACCAGTGGCTATAGCATGCTTGTTTCTCTGGGGTTGGCTTCCAGTGAGACAATGCTATGAACCCTGTGTTTCATCTCCAAACACTAAACACAGCAGCCGGCTTGCGGGGCAGGGGAGGTGGGGGCGGGGTGGAGACATCCAGCTAAGAGGCTTATGGGCTTTGGGGTGGGGTTGTCGTCTTAAGGGTTTACTGGGGCACATGCACGAGGAAAATGGGTACACTCTGCTAAACATCAGCTACAAAATGAAAATCTTGTGTCCTCATTGCCTTGATTTTACTGAAGCAGAGAACACCTGGGAGGTTTGAGGTATCTATAAAGAGTGCCAGGGAATCGGAGCTTTTAAAAGTCACCTTATTTCCAACATGTATCTCCTAGACTTAGTCAATCAGTTTAAACAATAGAGGGCTGTTTTGGGTTGGGCTGGCTAATAATATCTGAAATCATAAACGCAATCCTGTGGGTGCACAAGGTAATGAGAGACCTTTAAAAAAAATCACTTTGTTCCCATTCCATCCCTTACTTTGATCTCCTCTGTTAACATCCCCAATAAGTTACTGAATGCTTCCAAGGATGGGGAAATCACTACTTTGTTGTATATCCATCTTTTTTTCAAATAGCATAAAGAGTGACAAAACTATTATTTACTAATTATTAGTATTTACTATTATTAGTATTTACTAGTATTATTTACTATTAGAATTAGTAAATTATGATTTACTAATACCAAATTATTAGTATAAAGAGTGAAAAATTATGTTAGGATGGAATTGGCTTCCCTTCTGCTTCTCTCCATTGCTCGAAGTTAATCTCTCTTCCACACGTGAATCCTTCCATGATTAGCCTTGTAGGCACTGAAACCCTCTCACCACCCTGGAGGTCCCACCCCAGACAGATTTCCAATGTCTGTCTGGAGGCATCGTGCTAAAAATGGTACTTAATGTTGCAGGTTCCCATGTAATAGGAGCATGATGTACAAACAGCCCCAGATGGAGTCCTGGGTTCTTGGCCTACTGCTGAATCCATTGTGACCTTGAGGGAGTAGCCTGGCCTATTTCCTTTATCCGTCTGTCTGAGGGGACCCCCCAGCCTGCCTTGTCTTGCAAGGTGGAAAGATTTATGGAATGTGCAGATGGCCTTCAGAAGGTCAAGTCTTGTGCAGGAGGATCCTGATCAAGATTTTCTCGTCCTCTCCAGCGGTGAGGCTGATGTCTATCTTGTGTGCTTCTTCACCCTCTGGTCATGCCACCTGGGCCCCAACACTAAAGGGGGTTCTGATGACGATGAGGTTGCTTCTACAGAAGAGTTGAGAGCCAACCACAAACCGAGGGCTTACCCTGGGATCCCTGGATGGGCTTCGGGATCTGTGAACCTAAGTTGCATGCAGAATTATGTACATATGCCTTTTTCTGGGGAGAGGGCTTGCAAGTTTTCTTCAGACAGATCCACTGCTACTGATCAGAAAAGTCTGAAAAGCACTGATCCTCTTTCTTGTTGGAATTAGAAGGGGTGGTTGCACAACACTGTGGATTTATTAAATGCCGCTGAATTGTTTACTTTAAAATGGTTTATGTTATGTGAATCTCAAATTTTTTTTTTCTTTTGAGACACGGTCTTGCTCTGTTGCCCAGGTTGGAGTGCAGTGGCATCATCACGGCTCACTGCAGCCTTGACCTTTGGGGCTCAGGTGATCCTCCTGCCTCAGCCTCTTGAGTAGCTGGGATTACAGGGATGTGCCACCACACCCGGCTAATTTTTGCATTTTTAGTAGAGACAGGGTTTCATGATGTTGCCCAGGCATGTCTCGAACTCCTGGTCTCAAGTGATCCGCCCACCTCAGCCTCCCAAAGTGTTGGGATTACAGGCGAGAGCCACCACGCCTGGCCTACTATTACATTTTTAAACGATTTTCTCTTCCTTTCAGCTAGTTATATCTTGGGACAATCTTGGGGCTGTTTTGGTTTGTTTTCCACTAATTCTACTACTATAGACCCACCATGTGCTAAGCACTCTATCGGATGTAAAGCATATGATGGCCCTGAGATCTCTTTAGTCTCTTATGACCATCCGGGTGTACTTCTGGGGGCAACAGGACTTATGGCTTCCTAACTAGAAGCCAGGCTGTTTACAGTTGATCCTCTTACTGCCTGGCTCACAAGCATGCCTACCTATCCTCTCCTCACTAGTTCTCTGACAAAAATGAAGCCCAAAGTCAGAATTTGCCTGCCGTCATCTTCCTGTGCCTGGGGTCAGAGCAATCCACAGTGGGGGCTGGGCCCACAGTCATGTGCAAGACTAATGTCCCCACTTGAGACGTAAGTGTATGCTTACAGAGAAGTCAACCACATCCAGTGTAGGGCATTCAAAAAAAGGTCCGCAAGAATTACTGTTCTAGAATAAATACTCAGGTGATGGGGGAACAGCATGTAGACCCTGCTGCAGCCAGCCGCCGAGATGGCCGCCCCGTTCCCCTTGCTGTGCTCTCACTGCAGTGGCGCTGCCTGTGCCATCCACGTTAGACGATGGAACGTTAAAAAGGTGACCCAACGCCGGGCACAGTGGCTCACGCCTGTAACCCCAGCACTTTGGGAGGCTGAGGCGGGCGAATCATGAGGTCAGGAGATCGAGACCATCCTGGCTAACACGGTGAAACCCCGTCTCTACTAAAAATACAAAAAAATTAGCCGGGTGTGGTGGCGGGCGCCTGTAGTTCCTGCTGCTCGGGAGGCTGAGGCAGGAGAATGGCGTGAACCCAGGAGGCAGAACTTGCAGTGAGCCAAGATCGTGCCACTGCACTCCAGCCTGGGCAACAGAGCAAGACTCTATCTCAAAAAAAAAAAGTGACCCAAGCAGAGTGACAAGGGCTTGCTTACACACAGATGCTTGCTTGCTTGCTTGCTGTGCCAGCAGTCCCCCCAGCAGACATGTGAACAAAGCCACCTCCACCATCCGTTCCCACTAGGCCAGGCCAGCTGCCTCACAGAATCTTAGTAAATAATCAGTCTTAAGCCATGAAGTTTGAGGTAGTGTGTTACGCAGCAAAAGCTAACTGGATTTTGTTTCAAACCCATCATAAGAAACAGTGCTGCAACAATTAGGAACATTGGACTGGAGGGTGCGTGATACTGTCACTGTTAATTCCAGTAGGTTAATCACAGCCAGGTACCTTTGCCGGTTTGGGTTGGGATGCATGGTAATTTATGGGTAAGACAACATGCTTGAAATTTGCGTTAAAATACCCTGGGGGGAAGCATCAAAGAGGGCTGACTGAGACTGACAGGGCTGTTAAGTGGTGGGAACACTGGACTCATTAGAGACAATACTGTCTACTCTCTTGGGTTCTGCATTTGTCCTGGTTTGGATGTTCTCACTGTGCTCGCCAATTGCAGGTTAGAATATGAAGGCAACATGGTGCCGGGGAAGCTTCACTAAGGAGCGGGGAAGGTTAAGAGGACAGGAACAGTTGGAGCATGCACAGAGAGGGAGGATCTGGAACAAACAGGCCAGGAAGGGTTGAGACCTGTTAGGAAAGCCAGAGTTCCTGGAGGCCAGAGAAGTCAAATTTTGCTTAAGTGAGGCAGCTAAGAATCATTTTGTGATTAGTCCTATCTTTCACTGGCAGGCATCACATACCTCATGCACTTTTACAGAATCTATGCAGATACAGGCATACCTCATTTTACTCAAGATTGCCAAAGGTTGTTTTTTTTTTTTTTTTTTTTTTTTGAGACAGAGTGTTGCTCTGTCGCCCAGGCTGGACTGCAATGGCGCGATCTCGGCTCACTGCAACCTCCACCTCCCAGGTTCAAGTGATTCTCCTGCCTCAACCTCCTGACTAGCTGGGACTACAGGCACACACCATGCCCAGCTAATTGTTTGTATTTTTAGTAGAGATGGGGTTACACCGTGTTAGCCAGGATGGTCTCAATCTCCTGACCTCGTGATCCGCCTGCCTCAGCCTCCCAAAGTGCCGGGATTTCCAAAGTTTTTTAGATGAAAAATAGGAATTTCTAACGTAAGCAGGACTTATTAAAGCAGGACACGAGAGAAAAAGCCATGCGGAGGAGTACAGCCCATTCACTTTTGAAGGCACACCTTAGTGTCACGCCTGTCCCTGTGGGCCTGGTGTGGCAGGCAGTGCTGAAGCAGATGGGCCCAGGACTCTAGGACGAGGATAACTTCTTGCTGAGCTGTTAAACATTTCCCCATTTGCGAAATGGGGTACAATCCAGATTACAGAATTTGAGAGCCACAGACTTATTTTATTACTACCCAAGCCATCTTATAAAAACAAAAATGCTTGTGGTTTCTGTATCAAAGTAACCAGACTTGGTACAAGACAGTATTATCACTGTCATTCTTGTCTCCTGGTGCTGGAAACAGGTATGAGTGGAAAGTCCACATTTTACAACATCTACTCAGGCCAGGTGCAGCGGCTCATGCCTATGATCCCAGCACTTTGAGAAGGCAGGTGGGTGGATTGAGTCCAGAGTTCGAGACAACCCTGGCCAATATGGCAAAACCCCATCTCTACTAAAAATACAAAGAAATGTGCCAAGCGTGGTGGCACGTGGCTGCAGTCCCAGCTACTCGGGAGGCTGAGGCGGGAGGATCACCTGAGCCCAGGTCAAAGTGGCAGTGAACTGAGATTCTGTCACTGCACTCGACTTGGGCAACCGGAATGAGACCCTGCCTCAAAAAAAAAAAAAAAAAAAAAGAAAAAGAAAAAGGTCTAATCAATTAAAATTGCTGTTCTGCTACAGACACTCAGGTAGTTCTGCAGGATTTGGTACACTCAGCAACCTGGGACTTCCCAGCCAACTTGCTCCTGGAGCCTAAGAGCACCTTCTTCATCCATTCACCCGTGTCCACACAAAACGTCCTGTGCCATGCTGTGAAAGCAGGTGGGGCTTTGGGACATCTATAAGAGGCAGCATATGAACAGTATGTGCTTGAACAATAAGGCTTTGGGCAACATGGTGAAACCGTCTCTACAAAATATAAAAAATTAGCTGGGTGTGGTGGCACGAACCTATTGTCCCAGCTACTCGGGAGACAGAGGTGGGGGGATCACTTGTGCCTGGGAGGCGAAAGCTGCAGTGAGCCAAGATTGCGCCACTCCACTCCAGCCTGGGTGACAGAGACCTTGTCTCAAAAAATAAAAATAAATAAAAAAAATAGGGCCAAACAAAAGTGGCTCCACTCCTGTACTCCTGGCACTTTGAGAGGCTGAGGCAGGAGGACTGCTTTTGGCACTGCCGTTGGAGACCAGCCTGTAACATATTGAGACCCCATCTCTATTAAAAATAAAATTAACCAGGCATGGTGGTGTGCTCCGGTTTAGGGAGTAGATCACTTGGGCCTGGGAGGTCGAGGCTGCAGTGAGCAGTGATCACACCACTGTACTCCAGCCTGGGCAGCAGAGTAAGACCCTGTCTCAAATACATACATACATACATACATATACATACATACATACATACATACACACACACACACACACACACACACACACACACACACACCCCTATGCATGCCTCCTGCTCTGACCAACAAAACTAGCAGCTGGAAAGGCCCTAGTCCATGCGCTAGGCAGGGAGTTAAACGGAAGTCACATTCCCCGGTGCTGTGAGACCCCCTTACCTTTAGCTCAGCATTGGCAGTTAAGGGACTGGAATGGAGCTCAGGCTGAGCACAGAGAACAGCCATGCTTCCCTCCAAATGCAAAAACAGGATGATCTGAGACTACTCGAACACTTATTTGGGGACTATTTGGAGAATCACCTTTTTGAAGGTGATTGCAAAGGGCTCGTCTAACTTTTTTTTTTTTTGAGACAGGGTCTTACTGTATCACCCAGGCTGGAGTGCAATCATAGCTCACTGTAGCCTCCAACTCCTGGCCTCCAGTGATCCTTCTGCCTCAGCCTCCCAAAGTGTTGGGATTACAGGTGTGAGCCAACACATCTCGCTTTCATCCAGCTTTGTGCAAGCATTGGCTGCCTCAGACTTCAGACTCTGATGGCAGCTTGACTCCAGGTGCTAGGCTAAGTGGACGACTGGCTGAGTTTCCTGATAAGGGTGGTCATCATTTGCTACAGCTCAGGCTGTGTGTCAGGAATCTGAGCCACCACAAGTGAATGCCTCTCTGCTGCGGCAGTTCACTGGAGAGAGGCTCCGTGCAGAGGGCTGAAGAGCAATCCGTGCTGGGCTCTTCTACTGCAGCTGGTAATGTTCTGAAGAAACATCTTTCCAATGTCCGTTAAGATTTGCGCGACATGAAACTGGAACACTGGTGTTTACAGAGAGAGATACTTTGTGGAATGGAGCTTACATGATGAATGAAAAAAGACCGTTAAAAAGTACTAGCCGTTGTTTACAAATAACTACCAGGTAAACAAAGAAATCACTTTCTTTCCCCTTTCTAAGGATAAGGGAGAATAAAATAATCACCAAGAGGCATGGAGTTTGAAAAGTATATAACAGATTTCTTTATTATTATTTACAATCAAGTTCTGTTGGCCAACATAATGAAATAAATAAAAGATGTGCCCTGGCCTGTGAATTTCAACTCTCCTTGACTTAAGTTCTCTGAAGGGCAAATTGGAAAGCGGTGATCAGGCAGGGAAGAGAGGGCAGGTGGAGGCCAGGACCATCGGTGGGAAGGCCACCTGACTCCTCTCTCACCAGCTCTAACACTCACATCCCCAAATGTCCAGAGAACAAGCATGGAAGAAAAAAAATAAAGTGCAAATTTAAAAGTGATAAAAAGGGTGTTTCGCACACCCAATGAACTAAAACTTTATACGTAGGTAAAATAGTAAAGATAAATGTTTTTCCTTGGCCTTCATCACAACCCCTGAAACGGAAAGATGGCGCTGCTGTGCTTCTGAGCCTAGGCTTCTTGCACTAAAGCACCAAGGGCATCGCACACAGGCTTGGCAGAGGGGCCATGGCCAGAATCACCACCTTCAGACAAGTATGTTGGAGGTCTCGAATCCCTTGGCACCCCCAAGCATGCAGTGTGCACCCACCTTCTGGGTGTCTGCAGATCGATACAGGAACACATCCTTACCTCTGCAGCGAACCCATTTCCCTGGAAAAGATTTTCACACATCCTCTCCCACCTCAAAAAAACAAAAAAACAAAAAACCATTTTTTAAAGCCACACGGAGATTTTTAAATATGTCGAATTTTGTGGGGGAAAGAGAGCCAGAAAGCTCTGAAGAACAGTGAAAGAGATGTGAGGACATTTCAGCAGTAATGAGACACATTCATGCAACCCACCAGGGAGGGGTCTGTAGTTCGGGAGTTTCCGTTAATCCAATGCTTAAAGTGAGTTCACCGGGCAAATGAACCCAAGGTGTTGGGACATGCGTTAGGCCAGAACCGACTTTGGAAGGACGAGAGAAAGCACAGAGAACACCACCTTGATGTGGGGGCTGATTTTGGCACTGCCGTTGGTGAGGAGGCCCAGCGGGGCCCTGTGCTCCCCCAAGTGAGGTATGGAAGGTCAGAGCTAGTAGTGTTTCCCAAGGCAAGAACCTGAGCCTCTGCTAAGTGACCGCAGCGTCAGGTTTTTTCAGTGTTATTCTTCCAGGCCAAGAGAGACCTCAGTCAAATCTTCAGAAATCCCATTCACGGCAAAGCTACAGTGCCACATAGCTTGAGCTTCTCTGGGAGGTCCATGCTATACCCAGCACATCACCTGCCAGGACAGGGCTGCAGGAGCCCATGTGCTTCTTCTGAGGAGGGCACTGGGGTCCTCCCAGCCCTGAGAGCCCCGTCAGTACTGTGCCCACAGCACAGCTTTGCATCCTTTGTCCACACTGACAACGTGCGAGCCAGAGGGCGACCACGCCACCGCATTGATGGATGAGCTTCAAAGGAGAGATCAGAAAAGCACCAAGTTTCAGAACATTTGGGATGAGATCTTGGTAAACCAAACACCAGAAGCTTGTGCATTCAGGGAGTCCTAATTTTTCCAACTTCCATTTTACTCTCTGGCACTGTGCCCGCGACAAGGCAGGAGCTCACTAACATGCAAAAGACCTCAGAAAAAATCCAGTGGTGTACTTAATTAAGTCATGCTGGGATGAAGGGAGTTTGGCCCCTCTGGCAGTCAGGCCTTATCACACTCTCCCTAAGAGAGGAGCTCTGAGTGAGCTGGAAAGACAGTACACATGCCTCTGAAGAGCCGGGCAGTGGTGGTCAGCACTGGTTAGGTCTGGGAGCAGTTGCTGCTGCCCAAGGACAGGGAGAGAGGTTCTGAAGGAAAATGGTATCTGGGTTCCAACTAGCAGGTGGGCTTGTGTGGGCAGAACAAAGCTAGGAAAAAAGGGGGTCTGGGGCCTGCCTATCAGGTGGAAGATAAAAGAAGGTGTGTGGAGATCAGTGTTTAGGACACGTCAATGCACTGAAATGCACTGACAACAGGGACTTCCAAGGGAGACAGGGAGGCGGAAAGGAAGGAGAGTAGGGAAGGGGAAGGAGACACAGAGGACGTGGACATAACCAAAGAGTCAGGGATGTGTTTCTATAACCCTTTCTCCAGCGGCTGCCACTCTAACCGCTCTACCTGGCGTACTCTGTAGACTGTGGCCTGCTGTGCTGTGTGAGTGGCCCCAGCTTCTCTCCACTGACCTAGCTCAGCCAGCCGAGCAGGTGGGCGGACAGTGCCCTCACAGCGCCGACTGAGGTCTAAACCGGATGACCCCTGAGATGAAGTCAAAGGCCTTGCTCACAACGCAACGGGGGGCTGAGACAGGGTTCATCTTACCTGTGCTGCTTTGAAAGAACCTTTTCCACTTTCCCTGTGAGCACACTCCAGATATACAGAGAGCCCTCAGCAGAGCCTGCCGCCACGTAACTGCCATCAGGGCTACAGAAGACAGTAAGAAAAGAAAGGTTGTCAATTCCCCACCCCCAATTCAGCATCTCTGTGGCCTTTTTCCCAAGAAGGAATGTTTGTTCTTCACTGATGACCACTCCTGTGTACCCAGACCTCAGAATGTGTGCTAGTCATGGCCCTTCCAGCCAAATCTGCTTTTCCCCAGTATTTCAGCCCCGTCCGGCTAATGAACAGTGGCATCACATTGCTTCTTGGGGCTCCAAGTCCTTAACCATCTACAGACTTCAACAAAACAACATATAGGGAGATCAAAGCCAACCTCCACATAGCTAAGGGTTTCAGCCCATGGACTGCCTTGTTACATGCCTCAAAGAGAGGAGGGAAGAAAAGAAACATCTTAGCAACTGAGCCTGGAAAGGTATTTGGAAGAAGCAGGATACATGGAAGAAGGGAACAAGGAGCAGAAAACTGCAGACCACCTGCACACCCTTCTCCAAAAAGCCTTTTCAGTCCCGCCCCAGGCCCACGGCCACTCCTGCCCTTTTCTAAAGGCTCTCCAACAGCTCTTGCGTGAATGAGTGATGAGAAGTGAACCTAATGGGCTCACCCACAACAAAGCAACCAGCCAACTGTTATTTTTTGGTACAACACGTTAGGTTCATGTAATCACAAAAGGAACACTGGAAAGGAAGAGACAATAATGGTGGCCTGCAATTATGAACTTACAGGCACACTCCTGGAAACATAGGTTGGGCACTGAACAAAATTTAGCTCTATATCCCCAGTGGGAAAATGCCCATGCAGGACTCTTTGTGATGAACCAAATTGGCGGGGGGTGGGTCACTACTAACCTGAAGACAACTCTGGTCCAGTCAGAGCCGCACTTGAACCCAGGTGCACTGAAACAAACAACAGGGCACTGTCACTGAGGGAGCTCAGGCCACGCAGCACGTTAAGAGAGCAGGGCTGGGCCTCTGGTCTTCATGCAACCAGCACATCTTCAGTTACCTGAATGTCTGCTTGATAGCATTTGTTCGGAGATCAATAACTTTTAGCAAGTCATCACGGGAGCAGCTCAGGAGCTCAGTCCTTTCTGGGTTTAAGTCCAGGGCAGTAATCTTTCCCAACAGCTCCATCTCTCGAACTATGCTCTCTGATCTAAGAGGGAGAACAGATCTGAGAAATGTAACGTAGGCCAGAACTACTTCACATCATGCCGTGGAGGAAAAAAAAGGCACTGCAATTCAACTAGCATGCAACGCTCTGCCAGCGCAGTCAATGTGTTCCCAGTCTTCTAATAACCTGTGACTGCTTTTCTTACTTTCCCATCAACAGACCCTAAGACAGTCATTCCCAGACTAGAACTCTGAAGTTGGTAAGAATTTCCTCATCCATTTTTGGAATGACAACAATCGCCCATCGGTTTCTGATCAGCATGAGCTAACTAGGGCTACTACCCAATTCGTATTATTTTCAGTGATGTGATTTCAACTTTTGGATAAAGTTGGCAAAGAAACCTGCATTAGTGGGCCTGGGCTGCCTTGTAAGTGTAACTCTAGCCTCTTGCAGGTTTTCTGCCCTATTCACTGTGGCTCTGTGGCCCTCCACCTCCAGATATGGGGCCAGGAAAGCCAGGGCAGAGCCACGGCCCTACGCACCTCCCTCTTCTTCTCTGTGCTGTGGCCCATGTCCAGGGTGGCTAACAGCCACCCTGGGCAGGGCCCTGTTGGTGACATTCATAGCCAAAGGGGGTGCTGACCTGTTCTGTGATGATTTTGTTGTAGGCTTTCAATGAAACCTTTTCCTACCTCCCACCTTAACTAAGCAAGAATTTATCTTATTGTTGCTAAATATGCAGCTTGAAGCAAGCTACTCCACTTCCTTGGGACTCAGGGTCTTCACCTGTCAAATTATGGGATGGACTAAGAGACTTCGAACATCCAACTTAACTCTCAAATTCCATCTTTCAAGTTCCAATTTCAGGTTTTAAAAGCAAACTAAAGATTATGAATAAAATGTGAAGTGGTGTCCAGGAACCATGAGCATTGTCAGGACTTTCTGGTGCCATGCTGTGTTTCAAAGCATCATCTATCACCACAGGCCCTGTACCCCCACCCTCTCTACAACCCTGCTGGGAGGCTGTCCTCATTTACTCTCCATCCTGTCTTCCCCTTCCTCCAACCTGTCAATAAGCCCTGTCCAAATTCTCCTTCAAATAGATTCTCTCCTCCACATGTTCCTCTACTGACTTGAACTTAGGTCCTTATCAACTCTATTGGTTTCCTATTCCCTAATATGCCCTCTCAAAATGCCACCAAAGTCGTCTACTAGACTCCTGCAAAGCAACCATTTCCTTGCTAAACACCCAACGACTTACAAGATCGAGTGATTTGACAATGGCTTATCAAGCCTGTGGCAACCTGATTTCAACCCCTCATAGCCCCCTCACTGGCTTCTGCCCTGTTTCCTGCTCACTTGCCATGTATCAGCCACCAGACACACACTCAAAAGTTTGAGTGGCTTTCCTGCCGTGTGAATCCTACTCACGTCTCCGGAGAAATCTGGAGAGGCATTCTTTAACACACTGGAACAAACGTAGCTGCCTCCACTTCAACACACTAGTCACTGACTTTTGCGTTCTGCCTTCCCTACTACAGTTTAAATTACCTAAAGGTAGAAAGAGTATCCTGTTTGCCTTTTCTTACCTGCCAGCTGGTGAAGGGCCTAGCACTCACTGCATGCTCAATAAATGATTGCTAAGCTCCACAGTCTACTTCATGGGAAAGAACAGCCAAGTGTTAATAAGCTAACACTATACGTGTACCGAAACTCATTTCTGCCATGTCCTGAGATCTTAAAAGCACAACCCATGTACAGAACCATTACTGTGGAGACTCTTATGTGCCTCCAGTCAGGAGCTTGGGTATCATACCGAATGTCCCAGAAACGAATTTTCTTGTCAAAATGTCCACTCATTACACATTGCTCTGTGCAGACAATATCATTGCAACTGGATCCTGCAAACACTGTCTTTATGCCTGAAAGAAATGCAAACATCATTAATCAAGCAGAGGCACCAACGTGGCTGTTTACATAATGCTGCCACCCTCTAACCACTGACTTGTCAGAGTTACTCACTTAAATGAAGCTTTAAACAAGAAAAACTATCACTATCCTCAGTGCCCCTCTAAACATGAAGCCAGATCTGAAATTCAAACTATATTACATAAATGCAGGCTCTGACGTGCAAACACACACCTCCACGCTAACATCTAAGCATATACACAGACAGAGAGACTGAATTTCCTCACAGACTTTGCTGCGTAGATCCCAGAGTTTGAGAGTCCGGTCGTGACTTCCTGAGACAATCCGCGCATTGTCCAGCAGGAACTTAGCAGACAGCACTTTCCCACTGTGTCCCGTGAGTGTGTGCTAGGAGAGAGAACACAGCCAGGGTGAGCCTCAGGGCGCCAGGCCCTGCCTATGCTGGCAAAGTATCCACAGCATCCTTACCTCCAGAGTCAGAGTGTCAGACCACCCTGAGATCCGGCCAGGAACACTCAAAGCGATAAGACAGCAAAGGAAAAAGAAACAGGTCAGGCACAGTGACTCACGCCTGCAATCCCAGCACACTGGGAGGCCAAGGTGTGAGGACTGCTTGAGCCCAGGAGTTCAAGAACAGCTTGGGCAACACAGTGAAACCCCCATCTCTACAAAAAAATTTTTTTAAAAATTTGCAGGGAGTGGTGGCATGCGCCTGGGGTCCCAGCTACTTGGGAAGCTGAGGCAAGAGGATTGCTTGAGCCTGGGAGGTTGAGGTTGCAGTGAACTATGATAGTGCCATTGTACTCCACCTGAGTGATAGCAAGATCCTGTCACACACACACACACACACACACACACACACATCCCAAACAGGACAAGAAGCAACAATTTCATTCACTGAGTCTTATCCAGGGGCCATGTATCTCATAGGAAGCCTATCTTTGAGTGTTGGCCAAAGGTGAGGTATCAAGACCAAAAGGATAAAACTCCCACTAAAAATAACATTAAAAACAAAAATTCAACATCACTAGCACCAAGCTTCACGTGCTCCCCATCCTCAATCTTGAATTTGAAATCAGCTCTACCACAGATACCTGCTGTACTGTTTTTGTAATTTTTCTATGTCTGAATTATATCAAATTAAAGAATTTTTAAAGCCTCGATGTTGCGCCATGCTGCTGAAAGTCAGTTCCATATTTAAAGTCAGACTAGACAAGGTCACCACAGGCATAATTTACAAAAGGAAACATCAGGACTCCTTATGTAAACAATTAAAACCCCTGGGGGATTTTCAATCAGAGGTCTCAGCTTGAACAAGGCAGATCATAGCCACAGATACCAGCACTCCCAACAATCAAATCCCTTTGTGACTAAGCTGTTGGATGCCAACCAGTGTCTTCCCTGAGCTCACGGAGGAACACAGAATGAGGGACATCACGGAGTGTCAGCTGCCCTTCTGCCCATCGCAGCACTTCTGAAGTGCGATGGAGGAGAGGCAGCTGGGGATAACTGGGATGCCGGGAGGGGATCTGAGGACTCAGACCTTTTACCATTCATCATTGACCTCTATGCAGTGCATGATCAACATTTTTCTATGTGTAAAACACCAGAGGTTCAGAAGGTATTCACTGATGTTTTCTTTCTAATTAGAAAATGCAAGGGTTGGCAAAGTGGCTCACACTGGTAATCCTAGCACTTTGGGAAGCCAAGGTGGGAGGATTGCTTGAGCCCAGGAGTTTGAGACCAGCCTGGGGAAATTAGTGAGACCCTCATCTCTACAAAAAAATTCGAATTAGCTGGGTGTGGTGGGTACTTATAGTCTCAGCTGTTACAGGGGAGGCTGAGGTGAGAGGACTGCTTGAGCCCAGAAGGTCGAGGCTGCAAGGAGCCCAGATCATGCCACTGCACTCCAAACCTTAGTTCCCAAAGATGAGACCTCATGGTTCAGGGTTAGATTTTTTTTGTGTTAACATTTTTGAAACCAATCCTTCCTCTATTTTCAGTGGGGTTAACTCCACTTTAGCACAGAAGCGAAAACTTCGGACCACATATACTCCCCTCTCAGCTTCAATGAGGGAAGCTTGTATGAGTTCTCAGACTGCCTTATCCCACATTCAAACCTCTGAAACTGGGACAGCATCTTACAACTGCTGCCAGTCGGGTGCCGGCTGTGCTGCGGTTGTGTGAAAACCTCCCACTGATCCTTCCGTAAGATCAAGAAAGCTCCAGTAACAAAGCCTACACTAGATACAGTCCATGAATAATGATTCCATTCAATATAAAACATCCACTCTGCACAAATCATGGGCAGAGACAAAACTTGGGTAGGCTACTTCTTAAATTCTATCTTTTTTTCTTTTTTGAGACAGAGTTTCACTCTTGTCACCCAAGCTGGAGTGCAGTGGCGTGATCTCAGCTCACTGCAACCTCCGCCTCCCAGGTTTAAGTGATTCTCCTGCCTCAGCCTCCTGAGTAGCTGGGACTATAGGCGTGTGCCACCACATCCAGCTAATTTTTGTATTTTTAGTAGAGACGGGGTTTTACCATGTTGGCCAGGCTAGTCTTGAATTCCTGACTTCAAGTGATCCGCCTGCCTCGGCTTCCCAAAGTGCTAAGATTACAGGCATGAACCACTGTGCCCGGCCTTACATTAAATTCTGAATAACTATTTTATCAAAATTTCAAATTTGTATTTATATTCACTATCTGTTTCTTTCTTAATGTTAAGAGTAAAATCACATTTCACAAACACAGGGTAGAAAAAGACATTGTTCATAAGTGGGATATGGCAAGTACAGATGATCCTCAACTTATGATGGGGCCAGTCTTGACAAACACATTGTAAGATGAAAATACCCTACATTGGGGACCATCTGTATATTCATTTTTACATACTTCACAGGAACATGTTAATCTTTACACAATTATACTCTTCCTAAAAATTTATCCATTACTCTTTTAAGCTTATAGCGTAAGCATTTTTTCATGTGATAGCTGAAAATTCATGGGCTTTGGGGTTCCACTGATTTGAACACCCTGGGTCTCTGTAACATCTGTGAACAGGAAACATCCTTGTGCTATCTTAGTACGGACTCAGCAAGATGAATGGGATCAAATCTCTTCCTTGTTGCACCTCCCTTTCTTTAAGAGTCTGTCACAGATGCTGTTGCAGTGAACATCTATGAGCACACAGCTTTCTTCTCTTGACTTATTTCCAGGAATGAAACTGCTGAACTAATGGAATAAGGGAAAGGGACGTTTTGTTTCTTGGCTCCTCGTACGTATTGTCACCTTGCTCTTTACAATGTTTGGGCTTGGCCAGGCGCGGTGGCTCATGCCTGTAATCCCAGCACTTTGGGAGGCCGAGGTGAGCGGATCACAAGGTCAGGAGATCGAGACCATCCTGGCTAACACGGTGAAATCTCGTCTCTACTAAAAATACAAAAACTTAGCTGGACGTGGTGGCGGGCGCCTGTAGTCCCAGCTACTCGGGAGGCTGAGGCAGGAGAATGGTGTGAACCCAGGAGGCAGAGCTTGCAGCGAGCAGAGATCACGCCACTGCACTCCAGCCTGGGTGACTGAGCGAGACACTGTCTCAAAAAAAAAAAAAAAAAAAAAAGTTTGGGCTTCTGCTCACCTTATTCTCAGTGAGAATAAGCTGGAGCTGCCTGAGGCTGACTCACTGTCTCGGTGCTTCCAATGGTATAGAGCTGGGCCTCCTACAGGCATTCATTCACCTCTATCATTTATAGAGTCCTTTGAAATGGATCAGATTTAAAATTCTTCTATCTGTTAGGTGTTTCTGAAATTCATTTTTATGATTAACAACACTTTTAGGTTTCATCTTCTACTTTTAAACAGGGATTAACAATAGCGGGGCAGCGGGTTTAGATGTCATCAAGGCCGGGGCCTCAAAGTGGGGAGGCTTCAAGATTTCTCTGCTCCACTGGGCTCTGCACAGACTATCTCTGTGCCTCATGGCAGATAACGAGTGCCGACCCCTATTTCTAAACACAAAATTGCTCATTCAGGTAACAACTTAATCATGCAGCTAACATAACACCAACCAAAGACAGCCGATTCCAGAAGAATGCAGAACTCAAAGAGGAACATTCCAAACAGAAACCATCACCTAGCAGCCATAGCCAATCCTCACTGTGGCCACTTCACCACACCACGAGAGAAGTGGGCAGGGGGGTTCTCAAGCAAGTTTCTCAAGTCAAATCTTACCAAGCAGCCAGGCAGTTTTGTACTGACTTTAGATTTTTAACGGAGGCATCACAGAGGACTCCTTTCAATGCCAGGTTGTTTCTAGGGTGCATTTACAAAAAGGATGTTAAAGCAAGCACTCAACCAGCTGCTTCTTGTTTGCCAGTCTCTCCCAACACCATTCCCTTGTCGTAAGAGCAAAGGAGACACCGAACAGGGCATGGATGTCTGTGAGTTTCACAACATAGATGAATGGATTCCTGTCCTCCAGTACCATCTGTTAACTGGGGTCTAAAAAAAAGCCAGCACTCCCTAGAATAAGGAGCCTATTTTACTTTCTGGAACCTGGTAAGGTTTTCGGGAGACTTCTCTGGGTGCAGGGAATCTGCTGAAACAGGCCTCCCAATCTTCACACATTTACCAAGTAACAGGACAAGGTTATGAGCAGGCCAGAAACTCAAAAGCCAACTAGTCCAGCACAGGAGGCTCCTGCCCCAGCACGGCATCATCAGAAGCAGCAGCCCAGCAGCCTGCGCCCTGCTCCAGCATACTGAGAACATTTCCCCAGTGAGACCTGTGTGCCAGCTCAATGTTATGACCTTCATCTGTCAGTCTAGCTCCCTGCTCTAGGTCCCCTTCTTGTTATTTCTGACCCAAAGGCTGATGCCCACCTGTATAGGACTCCTCTATTACCAATTAAAAAATATCCTGCACTACTGGTTGACTCAACTTCTTCCTCTTCTCCTCTAAGGGACTATCATAAAAAAAAGGCTGTAGGCCCCTCTTCAATAATTGGTCAGTTTTACTGTATCTCAGTCTAGAATAAAAGATCAATGGATAGATAAATCACAGTATACCACAGGATGGATTAGAACGTAGCCATGAGTACCGGCTAGGCCATCTTTTCCATGTGTACAGTACAGAACTACAGGGCTTCAAATGACCCTATTCAAGCATCTGAATTGGTGTGCCCCATGGCAGGCTCTCTAGCAGTGCACTTCCCTAGTCCGTCATTAAGACAAGAACATAGGCTCCTCAGCTCTCACAACATGTCCTTGTCATCGTCAGGGCTCGTTATTTTGCATGTTCGGACCTGGATCTTCTTTAAATTGTGAATTAAGAATGACCACCCCTGAGGTATTGGCTAGCATCTAATACTAATAATCTATACAACCCTCTCAAGAAAATCACCAGAAACCCACCTAATATACCATTCTACTACAGCTCCTCCACCTCCCTTGTAGATTTAAGAAATTCATCTGGGCCAGGCGTGGTGGTGCATGCCTGTAATCCCAGCACTTTGGGAGGCCGAGGCAGACGGATCACTTGAGGTCAGGAGTTCGAGACCAGCCTAGCCAACATGGGGAAACCCCGTCTCTACTAAAAAAATACAAAAATTGGGCTAGGCGCAGTGGCTCAGGCCTGTAATCCCAACACTTTGGGAGGCTGAGGCAGGTGGATCACGAGGTCAGGAGATCGAGAACGTCCTGGTTAACATGGTGAAACCCCATCTCCATTAAAAATACAAAAAAATTAGCCAGGTGTGGTGGCACGTGCCTGTAGTCCCACCTACTCAGGAGGCTGAGGCAGGAGACTGGCGTGAACCTGGCAGGTGGAGCTTGCAGTGAACCGAGATCATGCCACTGCACTCTAGCCTGGGCGACAGAGCAAGACTCCATCTCAAAATAATAAATAAATTTAAAAAACGAAACAAAAATTAGCCGGGCGTGGTGGAGGATGCATGTAATCCCAGCTGCTTGGGAGGCTGAGGAAGGAGATCACTTGAACCTGGGAGGCAGAGGTTGCAGTGAGCCGAGATCACGTCATTGCACTCCAGCCTGGGCAACAGGCTCCATCTCAGAAAAAAAAAAAAGAAAAAAGAAATTTAGGCTGGGCACGGTGGCTCACGCCTGTAATCCCAGCACTTTGGGAGGCCGAGGTGGGTGGATCATGAGGTCAGTTCAAGACCAGCCTGTCCAAGATGGTGAAACCCCATCTCTACTAAAAAAAAATACAAAAATTAGCTGGGCGTGGTGGCGGGCGCCTGTAATCCCAGCTACTCGGGAGGCTGAGGCAGGAGAATTGCTTGAACCCAGGAGGCAGAGTTTGCAGTGAGCCAAGATTGCGCCATTGCACTCTAGCCTGGATGACAGAGCAAGACTCTGCCTTCAAAAAACAAAAAAAGAAATGTATCTTGCTGGGCACAGTGGCTCACGCCTGTAATCCCAGCACTTTGGGAGGCCAAGGTGGGCAGATCCCTTGAGGTCAGAAGTTCAAGACCAGCCTGGCCAACATGGTGAAACCCCATCTCTACTAAAAATATAAAAATTAGCCATGCCTGTAATCCTAGCTACTCAGGAGGCTGAGGCAGGAGAATTGCTTGAACCCAGAAGGCGGAGGTTGCAGTGAGCTGAGATCACACTACTGTACCCCACACAAGAGCAAAACTCCATCTCAAAAGAAAAAAAAAAAGAAAAAAAATTCATCTTAACATTACTTCCTCTGTTTTTGGTGTGGGTTGACACACACAAACGGCTTGTGTTAACTTTTTAAAAAAAAATTTTTTTTTTTTTTAGTAAAATGCCTACTAATGCCAAATTCATCCTCCATTATATCTTTCAATAGCTTGTATTTAATAAGCTTATGTGATGATTCCTTCAGGCTTATGGGGAAAAAAAATGTCTGCAAATTAAGTTACATGCTTCGCCCTCCGCCCCCTGCCCCAATCAAAAATGATACAACCAAGTTTTGGTCTCTCTGTCAGATGCCAAGAGAATTCTTGGCAAGTTTTGGTTCAAATGCAGCTTTCCTCAACATCCAATCATTTCTCCCTGCTCTGACACCTGTCCCCTCTTTCTCAGCTTGGAGTTTTTGTTTCAGAATTGTCTTATCCCTATGATACATCCATTTGTACTTCTATATCCCACTTTAGGTAATTAGGTTTTAGAGCCCACAGGAATCACAATTCACATGCTGTTGCTAAGTTCTGTGCCATTAAGCCAAAATTGCTATCTACCAAAGTATTTAGTCCTTATGAAGAGTATTCCAAGGTTTTCATGCAAATGTGAGGGTCCCATTGCAAATATTTTGAAACTGAGTTTTGGACAAAGAGTATAAAGTGGAAACACAGATTTCCCCAAGGAGGAAAGGAAGGGCAGGGTGAATCAAGCATGATTTTTGGGAAAACAAAGTCCCCTAATTAAGCACCTGCCAGTTTGTGCCTTGATAACACCACATGAAGTTTGGAGATTGCACTAACTTTCTTAACTGGGTCTTACCCGTAATCGATAATCATCCACAGTCCAGATTCGGCTTGCAAAATCATTTGAAGCTGCTAAGAGGTAAGATCCCTGTGGGAATAAAGAAGAGGAAAACCAATTTTTAGCCAAATCAGAGGAATTCAGTTCACACGATATAAATTCCCCAATAATCAAGTACAAGAAGGTTTAGATGCTTCACCCTATACAACCAGCCTGAATACCAGCTACTGTCGTGAGTGTGCTTCAACTCGCCAGTCTCCTTCGAGTTCAGACCTTTTTTTTTCTGAGCTTGCTCAATTTCATCAGAATATTGCAGACACCTCAAGCTCCAAATGGAACCCAGCCTTCCCTACTCACTTTTCCCTTGGCAACCTTCACTAGCAGCAAATATTAACAAGTCAGAAACCTCAGAGGCACCCTTGACTCTCTCCTTGCCTAATCTCCCAACTCTCACTCTGAGAACTGTTCATCTTCAATGTGTCGAGCCTGGTCCTCTCCTTTCTCCCCTATTTCCTCAGCCCCCACCTGGGCCTTCTGCATCTCTGCAGAAGCACTGAACGCACGGGCCACTGCAGACCTGCTTCCTCCAAGCCAGTCTTCAGCACTGTCACAGTTCCACCACAACTTAACACCATACCCATTTCTAAAAATCTCTCAAGTCTCCACATGGCTTTACAAAAGTCTAAACCTTTCAATACAACATACCCTCATTTTCCAACCTTATTTCCTTATCATTCCCCAATTAAATTCAAGGAGTGGTTATTTAGAACCTAATAGGCACTGTGCCAGGTGCTGGGGGTACAAAGATGATTAACGCCCAGACACTTGTCCTCAGGTAGTCAGCTCTCAGCTTAGTAAAAGAAACAGATATAGACCACCACCGTGCCATAGAATAGGTTTGCACAAGATGCTGGGAACATAGACACTCAGCCCACCCAGGAATGTGAACAAGGCTCCCCAGAGATGACAATCAAGATAAGGACTCTTGGTAGATGAGGACGCTACCTTGGCCTCACCCAGTCATCACCTCCACCCAAGCTCCTGCACTCGCCCAGCCCAACCTCCTCTGCTCCCTCTGCCTGTGGTGTCCGTCCCTGGCTTTTTGCCTCTGACCTTTGATTATCTTTAGATCTGCTTTAAATGCCTTACTATGGCCCCTAACCCTTGCCCCAGAATGAGCTACTCTCTCATCAGTATTTCCTTTCTACTCCACACACATCTCAGCCATAACTCAGCACAACGCTTTGCAGTTTAATGCTTTCCCATCACTCTCATTTAGATGGCGAATCTCGGAGGGTAGAGACCACGCTGGCCCCTGGAGTACAGCATCTATACACTCAAAATACAACTATTAAGTGAAATTATACAAAGTACTGAGTAACATCACAAGCCTAATGCATGAAGCAGAACCCAAGGGTTTATCAGAGTTGATACAGCAATTAACCCTATAATCTATTTCCATCTTTCTTTAACATGGATTTGGCTTAAGATACAGAGAATGGCAGAGAAATCGGGTAAGTTATGTTATAATTTCAAGAACCTAATGTCTTAAATTATTTCTAAAAACCTTTAAAATCATAGCTATTCAATACTTACAGCACTATCAAATTCAATGCTTGTAATTCCTGCATTACTGCCAGATAGGGAACCCTTGAACTCACATTTTTCTGTATAAAAAGAAAAAATTAGGATGATGGGAAGTTAAATAAAGCCAATAAATACATTAAAACAGGGCACTGAAATACAATGGAAGCCAATTACACTGCTAAAACAATAGCTATCCTGTACCTTTACAGAATCAAACAAAATAGCAGGACAAAGAGAACATGAGAGATAAAAGATACTGCTAGTTTCTAAGAGGAATGCAAGTCTAAGTGGACACTGACCCCAGCATCTTGGATGTGTGTTCTGTTCTTTAAGAAATGTAGTTATTCATTCTCTTTAGAAAAACAAAGTGTAGGAATTTATAAACCATGTCAATCAAACTAGAGACTGGGTTTATTCAGTTCCACTATTTCTCAGTACATTTTAAAAACTTACATACATAAATATTTGGGTTGATCAGCATTTGTGCCAACTTAACTACCACTTTTGTAGAAACTGGCAGTCAATTTCTGGACCCATGGTGTGGTAATTTTCATTAAGGTGTGAAAAGAAATTGTGTTAGTTACATTTAAATGACTACTCATATAGAATACCAGTCAAGCTAGTTTGGAGTTTCTGGAATTTGCCCTCATACTTTATCTCCATGAATCTAAGATCCTGGCAAGCGAACTAAGTGCCAGCACCTCCCATCCCTCTACACAGCTCTCCCTCACCAACAGAGCCACTGTCCACTTTATCTACTCTGCTTCCAGACAGCCTGGCCACCCACACGGAAATTTCAGTAACGGGCAATCCCAAACTGAGAAGAGCAAAAATCTCAATGATTTGATTAAATTCCTTTTAAAAGGGTAACTTAAGGATGATCCACACAGATAAGCTAGAAATTAAGGAACCATTGTAATCATATTTGTAAAAGAGGAACACAGAACAGAAAACATTTCAACACATTTTTATCTTATTCAGTACTTCTAAGTAGTAAAAATAATGATTGGAGCCAGATATCAAGGTGACACGAATACTGGTTTGAAGCTGTCATGTACATTCAGGCCACAGACTGTTAACCTGGTTGATGAACCTCTCCTCTGAACTCACTTGCAAAATACAGCATATTTAATGGCTTTTTCTGGATCCTAGCTTTCTTAAGATTTTCAAAAGGGTTGAAAAAGGCTAATATTCGCTAAGATTTTCCTTTAGATGAAATCTTCACAGATAAAAATATTACTGCAAATTCTAAGAAATATCTCTTTGGCTTATGCTTAAAATACTGGTCTATTTGCTTGGCACTTAACACAGTGCCGAAATGTAGGAAGTGACCAAAAAATTAATGCTATTCAATATGAGAGATTGATCTCAAAAGAACAAAGACCGTATTAAAACTCTTAATTATCTACAAGATACGGGGTTGGGGGCGGGGGGTGCTATGTCAACAGCATTTGTATAATTCCCAGTGGAACTTCTGCTTTGGAGAAAATGAGCAAAAACAGATGTTCCCACTGGGTAGAAAGTGTGATTCTTCTGATAATCTAAAAGGATGAAAAAACAGGACCCCCAAACTATTTCAGAAAAGGTCTCTTGAACTTGGCCTCTTCCAAGATTCAGTAAATAAATATTTGCCAAGACGAAAAATCTTGTAGACTGAAACAGCTGTTTGTAGAAGAAAGGCCCTACACAAAACTGTAAGAAATGCCGCCACACATTCTGCTATTTCTGTAGATTAGGTAGAAACTTGATTTTATTAACACAAATTATGTGCTGGCACAGATTATGTCAGTATTAACTTCAACTGATGTTCGTTTCTTTTCAGCCGCAAAAAGGTTACTAGAATTAAAGGTTGGTACCTCTAATTTTCTTATAGGTGTTTTTACTGACCAAGGAGTAAAACGAAAATATTTCTAGTGTTATTTTTATTTAAATCTCAATGGCATACTCAAAACAGACTGTTTACTTTGATTTTGCAAATCAAATTCCCTAAAATTTCCTTTTTTAAAAGACACAGGGTCTTGCTCTGCTGCCCATGCTGGAGTGCAGTGATGCGATCAGAGCTCACAGCAGCCTCTCACTCCTGGGCTCAATTGATCTTCCCACTTCAGCTTCCCAGGAAGCTGGGACTGCAAGTGCATGCCAACACACCCAGCTACTTTTTAATATTTTTTTTGTAGAGGCAGGGTCTCATTTTGTTGCCCAGGCTGGTCTTGAACTCCTGGCCTCAAGCAATCCTCTTGCCCCAGCCTCACAAAGTGAAAATTTCTTATGATTTGTTTTTATTATTGTTTTCTAATTGCTTCAGCCATTATCATTCATAAGCTAAATGTTTCTGGGCAAAATAGTAAATTTTAGTATGCTTCAATGGGCTCTAACTGCTGAGTCCCTTTCCTGAAAATCAAAGGCCGGGGCAGATAGGAGGGGTGCTTTACTAATAACCTATTCTAATAAGTTGCTCCTGCTCTGATAAACCTTAAAAGCAGTACCCCTAAGATTTTTCAGTTGCTAGAGAAGGCTACAGTAAGAGCATGGAATTTCAGGTCTTCTGGCCTGCATTAGTCCTAGTTCCACCACTCCCTCACCACAGAAATCATTCACTAGCCATGTAAATCACGTAGTATCTGAGTTTTATTCCCTTTATCTGTGAAATGGCGCAATCTCTACCATTCTAACCACACAGGGCTGTTGTGATGATCAGGGGAATTAACAGACAAAATCACTTTGGAGCTATTTATTGCTCGACAGGGATAATGTGTGTGTCGCAGCTACAGACACTTGGCAAAGTGGTTCCCGTTAAAAACCTTAAGCCTTATTCTTCGGCCTTACTTTAGTAAAAATACACGCATATTTAACTGAATCTCGAAAACGTCAAAACTGGGAAATGCCCGGCTTCAGACTTCTAAGAGATGGTTTCATTAACTTCCATTTTCTGTTTTAATGCCATCCATCTCTGAGCATCCTAAAAGTCCAAAGAGACTGAGTCTTGATCTAAGGGCCCTCGTCTGATACACTGTTAAATACATCTTTTCTAGGTAGTACGCCTCTGTTTCCTCAAGCTTAGACATGACTCCAGTCATTTTTTCCCTAGGCTATTGCAATTGTCATTAAATGCATCAACCACAGCTTAATGTATAGTTTAATTGTAGAATCCATGATCATAAGACTTATTTTCCTCATAAAAACGGTACTATTTTGCAAGATGCTCTGATTGGTATATACTTGAGAAAAACTACAGAAACCTTACTAACATAAACATATCCATAACTTAACAGTATTTTCTGATCACTACTTAGAAAATGAGAGCAAACATCCACTCGGAAGTAAAGAATAACTGAGATGTATGATGCTTTGGTCAAACGATCCCTTACATAAAATGTATGTTTTGAGAAAATGAACAATTCACAGTGCCTGAAAGCAAGGTCAACCAGATGCCAGCAACACAGCTTCTTTCTGCAGTGCAAGGGTGCATCATCTCAAGTTTTCAGTCTGAGAACATGCAGCAGGCTCTCACCTCCAAATACTTCCCAAAGCTTAACCCTGCGGTCCATGCCTCCAGTGGCCAGTAACCGGGAACCTGGACTGAACTGCACAGCGTTGACTTCCCCATCATGTGCATCCTGCAAGACAAGCACCCTGTGTCAAACCCAGTCATTCTCATCCCAAGAGCTCAAGATGCGCGAACACTCCAAATGCCTAATTCATGGGGAAACACTCATCCTTAAAGACAGGTGGAGCCAATCATAAACTAAACTGGACTCCTAGCCCAGGTCAACTAAGATTCTATTATCATTTTATTCTTCTAGTTACAGTTGCATTAGAGTGCAGTGCAACCTTCTCAAAAAGTACTCAAAATCTGTGTAGACTGCTTAAAGTTGGTCCTTGCATTAATTTCATCTGTTCTAACAATAATGGCCTATATTTATCTTAATAGTTTAAAAGTAAACCTAGAATTAATTTTGGTCCAGACTGAGTTAATACTACTTATTGATCTACTAGTAATTACTAATTTACTAATAATATTAAATACTACATATTTAAATAATGTATAGCACATGGCCTCTCATAATACAGCTTTCGCAATGAGTCCTAATATAAGTAGATGGCAAAAACATCAATCTGTGTTATAATGGAATTCTATGTAGTTCTTTCTGGAAACATTATGGGACTAGTGTGTACTGGCAGTGTGACCTCTGCCAAGTTTCTGAAATCTCAGTTTGCTCAGCTCCAGAAAGGTTTTTGCAACCCAGAATGGTGCCTGTTAATGCATAAGCCTTAGATAAAAATGACAGTCGTTATTTTAAGAGAATTTATATTCTTCACAGGGAAATTTCTAATACTGGCATAAACACTGGCAAAAGATGGTACTTATGTTCAGGATAAGAAAGAAAACCAAGTAAAAAAGCATCCTGGCTGGGTGCAGTGGCACACATCTGTGATCCCAGCACTTCGGGAGACCGAGGTGGGCAGATCGCATGAGCTCAGGAGTTCAAGACCAGCCTGGGCAACGTGGCGAAACCTCGTCTCTTAAAAACTAAAAAACAAAAATTAGCCAGGTGTGGTAGCGCATACCTATTGTTCCAGCTACTCAAGAGGCTGAGGTGGGAGGATTGCTTCAGCCCAAGGTTGAGACTGCACTGAGCTGAGATTGTGCTACTGTACTCCCGCCTGGATAACAGAGTGAGACTCAGCATCCCATTCTAGAATGGGAAAAGGGAATAATCGAAAAATTCACTATACTCTCTTAAGAAGATTATGGGCAGTAAAATATTTTTGGATGAAATATAATGCCTAGAATTGGCTTCAAATTGCTCCAGCATAAGTGTGGGGGGGAAGAGATACTGCGTATGTTTGGAAATTTCTATAATAGAGAAGGAAAAGAAAGACTAGAAAACATAGACTATCAATATGAGATTGTTAAGTAGATAATCACTTGTCTAAAAGGTCACTTGGGGAAGAGAATATGTGATATTTACATTTGCTTGGGACTAAAAAAAAATAAAATGCTTGAAGTATCACGGAGGGAGTGACTATTAACAGGCTGGGCAACAGGCATCACTTTGGTAACTTCATTTTCCACTTTGCCTCCCTCTTGTGACCCACTGCTGAAAAGTATGACAGGTGACCAAACCTTTTACCCCCATGAAATTTCCTTTTCTTTTTTATGGTTTCTTTCTCCTTAGGAGGTCTCAGATTGAAAACTTGAGATCATGCACCATCACACCCATGACTGCCACTCGTCAGTCTCCTGTGTAACTGGTTTTGTTGGATACTCGTCAGCTGTGAGCCGATCACTCTCAGAAACACACACTGACAGAATCCCAAATTATCAGCTGCTCCATGATCCCATACACATGACTTAAATGTGACGGGAGGGAAAAAATGGGCTGCTGGGAGTTGAGGGCAACAAAGGGACCGTGACATTCAGTGCAATCAGACCTTTTACCAATCATCATCGACCTCTGCAGGTGCCCGGTGCATCATGGAATCACAGGAGTGGAGTGGGACTGGGAAGGGGCGTTGATGCGCCCCATCCCAACTCCTCCTCCAAAGCGGAACTCTCTTTACAACAGTCAAGGCAGTTCATCACTCAGCCAGTCCACTGTGTAACTAGCTAAGTCCCTCCTTATACCTGGAACCCAAAGCTCCCACCATATAAATTCCATCCCATTTTTACGGCAAAATCTTCCCTGCTTTGAAAGCTGGCTCCTTTCACTTACCCGCTGCCAGTTATTAGGCCAGTACTGGAGTCAGTCCAACTCTCCAGGTTCTGTTCTTTGTGCTCTGTTTCCTACCCTCCTCATGCTTTGACAGTTCTGAGCCAGGTACTGAATGTTTCCCCAGGCTGGTTCAATTTCTGCTCAACTACCCCAGCTGGGATGCAAACTACCTGCTAGTACTAGGACCCAGCTCTGAACTCCGGGTGACAGCCCTGGTATCCATCACCGTGGCTTCTGCCCAGGACTGCTTCCAGTCATAGACCCCTAATGGCTGGGAGTCATACAGATAGGGATATAATTCATGAAACCAACAGCTGTCCTACTGAACTTCCATAATACACCACTGACTGGCAACTCACTCTAAACTGGAGCCAATTGGTGACAATAATTATATAAATCCCTCTCCCATTTTTCACAATCCCTAATTACTTTTCCTTTGCCCCATCCCTCATGCTAGCAATCCTTTCTCAGTCAGCTCTGCCATTACAGAGGATGGTTGTAACAAATTTTGTCCTCTGAAACTAAGCAAAATATATCAATTTCTCACAGCTGACAGAGCCAAAAGGTGGAAAGGCTTGATATAAGTAAAACAATGGAATGCTTAGCTGCAGGCCTAGAAAGGACCCTTTAATTGCCAGGCTCTGTCACCATATCAAGCGTGGTAGGGTTCGGGGCTGAAGCATACTTACGAAGACACACAAGGCAGTAGCTGGTACCCTCACTTCTTTACCAGAACCAGGATGAGTATCCACATTGTCCTGGGGGACTGGGAAGGAAGAGACAGAGCGTCTCCTAAGAAATAACATAAAGACAAATATTAGACAGGATTGCAGAGGTTTACTGCTCATCAAATTGTTAGAAAGGACTCCAAGACGACCTTGCTTAAGCAGACTGCCTCTGTTGATAGCCTGTCCTTCTAGATTCTTCAAACTACAGAACAATTCACAAAAAAATCAAAAGCACCCTCACTCAAATGAGAAAGAGAGCCAGCACATGCCTTACTCTCCTGCACACTAACCTGTGGACTCCAAAACCCAACAATGAAAAGCAATCCTGAACAACTGCTTACCCAGTCAATAAGCTGCTGGGAAACTTTCTCAACTTAATGTAACAGCTAGCTCAGAGGTAGCTCTTTGGTCTTTTTTGCAAAACTATTTTATTTCTATGCCTAGTTAGAATCAACCTCATCACTTGTGATCAATGTGGAGTCTAACGCATGCCAAAAGAAAGCAACAAGAGCATGAGTACTGTACAAAGTGTTCAACCTGGCAGCCCTGCTCTGAGGGCTCCCGGCATTCCTAGGAACATGCAAAGCATCCTCGTTAGCACGTGAACATCTGATGACTGAGGGCAGTGAAGCGGTGATTGGCATAATTGTTAAGGACCCACACTCACATGCTGGACTAAGAGAGGATAATAGTTTCACCTGGCAGCATCAGAAGAAGAATGATGTCCCAAAAGGGGAGACTCGGACAGACTAAAGGGAAAGGCCAGAGATCAGCACGCAGCGAGATTAAGAGGAAAGGAAGTTGAGGAAAAAAGGAAGAAGCTAAATGAAAAGCTGATATTAAGGCATATGTATACTCTGCATCACTGACACCTGGTGTACATTTAAAGAATAAAAATAAGTCATGTACATATACTTAGGTATACTTATACACATTTAAAAAGGAAAGGTCTTCTAACCTACCCAAAGATATTAGTGATAGAATCCAGAAGGCCTCCAGCAGGCTGCGAGAGTCGCTTACTAAAGAGGAGGGGAGGATAGGTTTAAACCTTAGAAACATTTTGCCCAAATAATCAATCAATAAACAGCCCACAAAAACAGGTAACTGGGAATATGTTTCCCACTTAGTTCCCAAACCCCAGCCAAGAGAAACCCAACACAGTACCAAACTGCCAGAAAACAGTGGGAAGGGAAAGGGAAAACCCAGCCTAGAAGTTTCAAAAGAAACAAGGTTCCCTAGTATTAAATTAATTTCCCTGGAAATAAAGCATTAGACAACTAACCTCACAATTCCTGGCTAACTAACTTCACAATTTCTGACTGTTAGTAACCAATCCCCACTCTTGAAGGGCGGTGCGGGCGGGGGGAAGCCCTAGTAAGAATGAAACAGGATGATCAAACCTAAACAATCATTCTGCTTAATAAGGTTTCACTGTCCATATTTGAGTAAGCCACTACATTTTTTTGTATTTAGAAGCATTTGAAGCCACCCGTGTTCTGCTTCCCTCCCATTAAGCAGAGGTGAACTGAGAAAGACTGGACACCTCTGTGGTGTGTTCGACGCTGGGTGTCCCAGAAAAGGGGTAAGGGGTTGGGTGCATCTGACTGCATTCTTTGTCATGTCCACAGATGTGCCTTCATATTGCTCCTCAAGCTGTCTTTTCCCTGGCCCAAACCTGCCTACTTACGTGGCTGCTCTGCTGATGGCTCGCACAGGAGAGGTCTCTTCTGTGTGATCAGAAGTTTCATCCACAATGACCTCAATGTCATCATCCCTGGAAAGAAAGGCAAGACATTCTTTGATTCTCCTGAACAGTTCTGTGATTAATCGGTTCCGCAAATGCTAATGTCATTTTCTAGTTAGATCCTAAACCACTTGGCTATGACAGCAATGCGTTAAAGATTCTTTGGAGAAAAAGGAAGAGCTGCCATGTTCTGAACAACACTACAATAAACATTTAACCTGTTCAAATCAAATCCAGAATTTCAACTGAGAATAAATTTAAAAGTGAGCTTTTGATCCTTTTAGGTATAAACACAGTTCCCACTTGAAGCAATAAAATATGATCTGTTGAGTCTATAACCACATAACCAGTGCCAAAGTAGGGCATTCCATCAACAGTCAGCATCACTGTTGAAGGGCTGCAGTACTCACCAAGCACAGTTCCCATGACACAAGGGCTGAGGGGTACCTAGGGTAGTTAGGGGCAGCAGCTATGGAATATAAAACAACAGTGTAGGGAGAATTCAGGGAAAGAAGGGATGGCTAAATGGGCCATGAAATCAACAGCCAACTTAACCCAGTTTCAAATATTACTTTAAAAAATAGAAAAGCAAAATTTAAACACTATGCATTTTTGACTCTGCGCATTTTATGCTTAAATACATAGTGTCTCTGACATTAGGAGAGCCCATCACACTTCAAATGACATAATCAAGTCATAGGACATGCTCCCTTTGTTGCTGTTTATCCCAGCGGATGCAAAGTACCTCTGGAATCCCCCTTCCTCATTTTTCTGGGCCACGTCTTTCCTACTTGGAGGAGGGCAAGTAATTATTTTGGTCTTAATGACCTCCTACTGAGATGCAACCTTCATGGAGAAGATAATTAAATGTAATAACCCAAGATTTCATCACCTACTGTTTGGATTCATAAGAACTTGACAGAAAGATTTTTCCTTTTCAATAAATAATTATCTGGATTAGGTAAATATATACTTAAGAACCTGTTACTAAGCAAGTTAAACCTGGTCAAAGTAAATTTATTTTCCTTAGCTATTTATTCCAGGACTATGTGTAATTATTGCACCACATTCTTGGCCAGGATGTAGAAGGGAATAAAAGGCAGGTCGAAAGAAAAAGGACAAGGCTGTGCTTTATTTTCTTGATTGGCTTTCCCAGGGATCTAGGTTTGCGAGAGTCACCTGTGCCCATACAAGGAAGAGAGGAGAACTGCAAAGACAGGAACTGCAAATATGAGCTGAGCCTTTGACAATGTCCTGTTGAAAATAGAATTTTATGGTTTTAAGTACTTGCAACTGTGCTTAGGCCCGGGACCACAAGAAAACACTAGCATTTGCTAAGTTATCAAAACCTTTCAAAGATGTATGTCCTCTGACCCAGAAACTCCTTAGGGAAGCATAGAGATTAAGGAGAGGCCTTAGGCCGGGCTCGGTGGCTCATGCCTGTAATTTCAGCACTTTGGGAGGCCAAGGCGGGCAGATCACCTGAAGTCAGGAGTTCGAGACCAGCCTGACCAACATGGAGAAACCCCATCTCTACTAAAAATACAAAATTAGCTGGGCGTGGTGGCGCATGCCTGTAATCCCAGCTACTTGGGAGGCTGAGGCAGGAGAGTCGCTTAAACCTGGGAGGCGGAGGTTGCAGTGAGCTGAGATTGCACCATTGCACTCCAGCCTGGGCCACAAGAGTGAAACTCCATCTCAAAATAAAATAAAATACAAAATAAAATAACAGGCTTTTACAGCCCTGTGTTTGCATCCTACCTCGGCCCCTTCCTGTATGATCTTGGGCAGGATGCTCAACCTGTCTAAATTATCCCAGTCAACCCGGTTATGCAAATGACACTTTTATAAGCTGTTATTCTGAAGAAACCAAATCTCATTTCCAGGTCAACTATTTATTTACTTTGTGGCTTGGGAAAATACAACTGAGATTAATCTTCCACATCTGAGAGTGCAGACACACACGTACCCTACATATCTAAAGCAAAGGCATGATATGGGAACCTTTGTTTCTTTGTAAATTAAGACGTTAGTTGGTGAATGACTCCTAGTTGAATTTAAACCCCTCCACTTACAGGGAAGCAACCAACATTTTAAAAAATAGTGGATCAAAACTCTAAAACTATATTCCAAAACACATTTCAATAGAAAAGAAACATCCTAGAGCGAAGGAAACTCTTTTCTACCACTATGAAAGCTTCAAATCTCAGAGAAGATACCCCACCTTAACTTGTAGGCAGATTAGGAAAAGCTCCAGAACTAGTTTGATTCCTTTTGTTCCAAGAGATCTTAGTTTTCGCTTAAGTTTCCACTTTAAGTTACAAACCAAAGGGAGCAAGGAGGGAAAAAACAAACAAAACAACAACAACAAAAACCCCACCGCATTACATGGCAGGCACAATTAAGAGGCAGAAAACTGATCGTTCAAAGTGTCAACAGGAAACAGTGAGGCAGTAACGGGTACTGAGTGCAGGAAGTTAGAATTCACATTCACAGCTGATGAACACAAACTTTTTGGAAGGTTATTTGGTGATGTTCCAAAAGCTTTGACCCATCAAATTTTATTTTCAATAATCTATCTCAAGTAAGTAATCAGAAATAGGGTCAAAGGCCGTATCAGTACATGATTTGTGAGAAATTAGAAGCCAGCAAAATACAATTAAAATGATATATGGATGTTAGTTCTGAGTGGTGGAAGAACTGTATGTTTTCATTTTCTTCCTTTAACATTTTTCTTTCTAAAATCTGTAAGATGATTTTACAGAAATAAAAACATTAGAAGCTATGATCACACCACTGCACTCCAGCCTGGGCAACAGAGCAAGACCCTGTCTCAAAAAAAACCAAACAAAAAAAAAAATAAAAACAAAACTTTTAAGAGAGCCAAATTTTCAGAAACACAGTTTTGATTCATTTATCTTTACTTACTGTTCGACTGGTAGAGGTTCCTTTGCTGCTTCTGCAAGCTCTTTCTGCAGCCGGGCTTGCCGCCTCCTGTTGGGAAAAAAAAAAAAAAAGCCCACCATTTATGTCTGCTTAAGAAAGCACGGGGTTTGGGCTCTCTAGAAGCCACCAGTTCTAATAACACATTCAGTGCATGTAAAATAACAACTACCCTGAGCAAAATACTCAAAAGTCACAAGCCCAAACTCATAACATCAGTAAGGCTCCCCTTTTAAAGGGTTTCAGAGTAAAGCCTAGAAGAGAGATAGGCCACATTATTAGAGAAAGCAGTGAACTGGCAAAGGAGGAGGCCTGCCTTCTGGGACCAAGGGTATCTTAGGATAGACACATGCCTCAGGCTCACTGAGGGTTAGTCATGGTTGTGACTTAAGTTTTCTGCAGCAAATAGTCTTACACGGGTTGAGCATCCATTACTCGAAATGTTTGGGACTACCAGTGTTTCAGATTTCGAATTTTCTCAGATTTTGAAGTTTTGCATAAACATGATATAAATCTTGAGGACAGGATCCAGGTCTAAATATGAAATTCAGTTGAAATTAATGGTAAATCGGAAATCTGAAGTGCTCCAATGAGTACTTCCTTTGAGTGTCATGTTGGCACTCAAGAAGTTTCAGATTCTGGAGCATTGTGGAGTTTGGGATATGGGATGCTCAACCTGCATTAACACACCCACAGCCTGATTACTAACAGTGAAGATTTACTTAGGACTTCCCCTTACCTGACATTGTTAATTACTTTACAGACTTTAACTCATTTAAGCCTTATAACAACCTTTTGAGGTAAATATCATTATTGCCATTTATAAATGAGGAAACTGAGGTATAGTGAGATTCTTGAAATGTCAAAGTTTACATAACATTAGTAACTTTAATTTACTAAAGCTTGACATAGAAGTCTTGGCTGTGACAAATTTTTAACATGGTCAAAGTCTCATCCACTAACTCCCCTTCTCAGAATCATTTTTGTCTCTCATTCAAGTCCTAAATTCAGAAACTCCCTAACTCCTAACCCTGACCTTACTCTCTCTTCTTTGATAAATTTCACTTCTAACTATGGCTATGCCTGCTAGGTGGAGGACCCCTAATGTAGAACTCTAGCAATGCTACTGAGCTGCAATCAAGAATTCTGCTGAAATTTCTCGTAAGTTTTTACCACGGTGGTAATTCTCAAAATGAAGGAAAGTCCTCTAGGCAGTATAGCAGAATCTTGGGAAGGGATGTGGGTATAGCTTAAAAAGTGCATTACACTCTTGATTTTATACCTGGAAGATGAAAAATAAGTTTTACAGGGCAAATTACCAAAAATACAATTTATCCAAATTGTCTTAGCTGGTAGAGACAACTGTGAACTAACTCTCTTTGAGGAAAAACCAGAATCTCGGTATAAGGTGTGTGAGTACCACTACTCTATGATTAAAGCACTTGTTGACTGTCTGAAATCTACTTTCTATAACTTCAGGTCCCAGTTCTGCAAGGTGGAGATAAAAACTTGACTTAGGGTCACAGGGAGAGGAAAACACCACCTGTTATCAGGGATTCATCACTATAGCTGAAAGGAAAGGTCTTTAATAGCTCAAACAGAGTCTCTCTCTGTCACCCAGGCTGGAGGGCAGTGACATCATCTCGGCTCACTGCAATCTCCGCTTCCTGTGTTCAAGCGATTCTCCTGTCTCAGCCTCCTGAGTAGCCGGGATTACAGCCACCTGCCACTACATCCAGCTAATTTTTGTGTTTTTAGTAGTAGAGACAGGGTTTTGCCATGTTGGCCAGGCTGATCTTGAACTCCTGACCTCAGGTGATCCACCTGCCTTGGCCTCCCAAAGTGCTGGGATTACAGGCAGCAGCCACCGTGCCCAGCCCTGAGTGCATCTTATGAAGCAGCCACTGTGCCTGACCACAGGGACACGTGGCAGCATAAGGGAAGGAGGCAGAGTGTGAAGAGCTATCTCAAAACAGTGTGCTACATATGGCCCAGGTAAACCACAGCTGCCTGAAGCAGGAAGATGAGGGACATCTAAGCTGGGGAGGCAGGAAGTGGGTAATGACGCAGGAAGGCTTCTAGGAGGAGAGGCTACCTAAGCAAAGTAATGAAGACTCCTCAGGTCCCACATCTGCAATCACATGATACCTCCAAGTGCACAGCCCTAGGAAGATGCTTCAAAGGGTGGGCTAGGGAATGAGGACAGCATTTTCACTAGGAAATGTGCATTACCCCCCGTCCACTGCACTGCTCAGGGGCTCTTCCTTGGCATCACCACACATCTCCCCAACTTCTCCCTCCAGCAGCCTCTCAGCTGACGTGAACATGCAACCTAGCAGCATCCAGCTCACCTGGGGCCCCCAACACCCTCACACTGCTGTCAAGCTCCATGGCATAAGCCAAACAATTCTGCTTAAAGTAAATGTGAGACAGAAACAATACAAAAAGGACAGCTTATTTTTTCTTAATAGAAACCGGAAAATTAGAAAATACAGGTAAGTATAAAATGAGAAATCAAAAACCATAATCTCACCACCCCCAAAAATAAACACCAGTAACAGTACATATAATTCCTTCCAGTCATTTTTTTAAAAAAGTATACAAAATTGGGATCATCTGTATGAAAACATTTTGTGTCCTATTTTCGGTTATATTAATTTTAGGCATTTTCCACAGCACTAAGTATTCTTTTCGTTTTGCTTTTGAGGCAGAGTCTTGCTCTGCTGCCCAGGCTAGAGCCTAGTGGCATGATATTGGCTCACTGCAACTTCCACCTCCCGGGTTCAAGCGATTCTCCTGCCTCAGCCTCCTGAGTAGCTGGGATTACAGGCATCCGCTACCACACCCGGCTAATTTTCGTATTTTTATTAGAGACGGGGTTTCACCATGTTGGCCAGGCTGGTCTCGAATTCCTAACCTCAAGTGATTCACCTTCCTTGGCCTCCCAAAGTGCTAGGATTACAGTGTGCGCCACCACACCAGGCCAATCTTACACCTTCTAACAGTATTTTTATATCCATTTACAGTATTTTTGTATCCATTAAGTAATCTCTCTTTAACCTCCTTCCCCACTACTCTTCCCATGCTCTAGTAACCACAGTTATACTCTGTATCTCTAGGAGAACATTTTTCTTTTAGCCCCACATGTAGAAGCACGCAGTATCTGCCTTCCTGTGCCTGGCTTATTTCACTTAATATACTGTCCTCCAGTTCCATCCAAGTGGTTGTAAATAACATGATTTAATTCATTTTTATAGCGAATAATATTCCATTGTGTGTGTGTACAGCACATTTTCTTTATCCATTAAGCCAATGATGAATATGTAGATTGATCCGTATCTTGGCTATTGTGAATGGTGCTGCCACAAACATGATGGTAGTGCAGATTATCTCTTTGATATGCTAACTTGTTTTTCCATCATCACCCTTTAAAAGACTCTTTCCTATCGTCATTTATTCCCTTTAAAAGACTCTTTCCTATTGTCATTTATTCACTTTTAAATTAACTGGAATAATCTCTTCAAACTCGAAACTACTGATATGGGGATTTAAAAATATGTATGTTCTAATCTGTAGAGCTTTTTTGTTTGTTTCTGGATGGGGTCTCGCTCTGTCACTCAGGCTGGAATGCAGTGGCACAACTTTGGCTCACTGTTGCTTTAACCTACTGGGCTCAAGCAACTCTCCCGCAGCAGCCTCCTGAGTAGCTGAGGCCACAAGCACATACCACCATGCTCAGCTTTTGTTTTTGTTTTTTGTACAGATGGAGTCTCACTATGTTGCTCAGGCTGCTCTTGAAACTCCTGGTTTCAAGCGATCCTCCCGCCTCCGCCTCCGCCTCCGCCTCCGCCTCCCAAAGTGCTGGGATTACAGGCATGAGCTACTTACTGCACCTGGCATCTGCTGAACTTGTGTTAACAGCTTTTCAGCTCATTTTCTTAGGTTTCTAGGTGGGTGATCACTCCTTCTTTTCAATGGTTGGTTGGCCAGAACATCCAGATCGGTGTTCTCTGTGAGTTGTGAGAGTGAACCTCTCCTTGTTCTCTTGCAGGTTTTAGTAAGAGTGTATATAGACGGTTGATCAGTGGACCTTGACCAGGGGATGACTGGGCTCTCTGGGGCAGCTTTTAAACACGCACATTTTCCACAACAGAGATTCAAATTCCTAACGTAATTGATTTCTTGATAATCCATCTTTTAATTCCCATGTCTCAGTAGGTTTCAGATTTATCTTAAATAAATAGACTTAGCAGGATTGCAGGGAATTCTTAAAAAATCTATCAATGGCCAGGCGGTGGGGCTCACACCTCTAATCCCAGCACTTTGGGAGGCCGAGGCGGGTGGATCCTGAGGTCAGGAGTTTGAGATCAGCCTGGCCAACATGGTGAAACTCCACCTCTACTAAAAATACAAAAATTAGCCAGGCGTGGTGGTGTATGCCTGTAATCCCAGCTACTTAGGAGGCTGAGGCAGGAGAATCACTTGACCCCGGGAGGTGGAGGTTGCAGTGAGCCAACATCATGCCACTGCACTCCAGCCTGGGCAACAGAGCGAGACTCTGTCTCAAAAAATAAATAAAAATCTATCAATGAGTCTGATTTAGGAATTTCACATCTATATTCATATAAGGTTGGATTATAGTCTTCTTGTGCATTAGCAAGATCAGAATTTTTATATGGATACAAAAAGCTTCACAAAATTATGGGGAAGAATTCTAATTGTGGTGTATTTCCTTTTTCTAACTCTGGTTTAATTTATATTGTTCAGAATTAGCTTTTCTCCTTGAAACACTGAAAGAATTCCCTGGTAAACCTCCTGTAGTAACTGCCAGGTTTATCTCTTTCTTTTCAAAGACCTAGGTTCTACTCTACTAAGGATGGAAACCACTAACTGTGGATTGATAGCCCACCTGGAGTCTTTTTCATTCTCTGCATTAAGCCGATTGGCTTCCTGGGCTTTCTCAGCCATCCATCTGGTGACCAGCTCCTGGTTCTCTTCCGTAGTTTTCCTCAGTTTTCCCTCCAAGGCAGTAAAAGTGATCTGCAGGGCATCATATTCATCCTTCAGGGTCTGGTTGGCTCTTTCAAGGTCACAAAGCTTAGTGCGCAGGTCTAGGCACTCCGTCTCCAGGTCAGAGATAGTCTGCAAACATTCTGCAATTCTGGAAGCATGACATCAGAGGACGAATAGTACCTCGCCAGAGCCCTGTGCCAGAGCCAGACGGACCTGGCTGAGTGCTTAACACTTTGTGTCTGTTACAACATCTTTTAGCCAGGCCCATCCCCATGGTTTACAGGATAATCCATTAGGAGAGGAAACACCTAAGGTGAAATTCATCCTATTAATGACTAGGAAAAACACGATGTGAAGGAAGAGAAACTTTCGATGCTTAGATTGGTAAAGGGGATTTAAAAGGAGGCTGGAAACCGTATATATTTCACCAGCTCTGACATTTCCTGAGCAAAAGCCTGAGCAAGCGCCCTGCCTTTCCAAGCCTCTAGACCCCTTTCCACATATTAAGGAAACCCAAGCACACGCTACCCCAGCTCCAAGGTCTCAGGATTCAGAGTCCCCATTTATCTTGTCTGCCAGGCTTCTCCCTGGTCAGCAACAGTTTTGCTCACAAACTCATTTCCCTTTTCCCAAGGGCCATGCGCTCAGCTATCCTGGCCCTACCACCTCCACCACAGGAACATACCAGCTCCCACACACAGCGGCCACAGGAGAGCTGCTAGTGTCTCTGGGCCACTTGCAAGAGCCAAGGTGACATCCCTAGGAGGATGCTAGAAGCCTGTGGGCACTGTCCTTGCTTTTTCCTTCTCAGAGCTGGTAGAAAAGGATCCCAGAGTGTGTATGCACTGAAAATCAAACTCTCGCTAAGTGCACTGTGGCCACTCACTGCCACTGGCCCTGCTCACAAGAGGTCAGCAGAACAAAGGACATGGGACCCAATGACCAGGCTCCAAGGAGGCGGGGTCTCTACTCACTTTGCTTCATTCATCTGCATCTCCCTGTCCTTCCGCTGCATTTGGTTATTCAGGTCAATCACCAGTTGAGCTAACTGGGAGATAAAGAAGAATACTTTCATAAATAAAAATTTTAGGACCTCATTTGGAAACTACACAGTGGGTGGCGATTTATTTTTAAGAAAGAATAAATGAGCTGGGTGACAGCAAGGAGCCGAGGCGCCTATGGGGACACAAAGGGGAACTATCCCTGCCACTCCCTGTTGAAGGACAGCTTGGCTGGAATGAGAAGTGTTCCAGGTGACTGCCAGGGGCTTGCTGAGGACAGCTGTCTACTCCTCAACTTCAGCTACCTTTTTGGAGACTCATTTCTGCTGAAAAGATAATCAATTCAGCTGTACTGATGGTGAACTGTATTTTCCCAACTGGAGCTTTGCCGTAAGACCACCATCCAGGCGAACACAGCCTAGGACTTGATTCTTTCTCACGAATGTCTCTGAAATTTCAGGGTTTGTACTGAAAAGCTTTATGAAACCATCAGTGAGGCCTTCAGCGCACCAGGTAGCAGGCTTTTTTGTTCTTTAAAGCCTCTCCACTCTTGCCTCTCATGCTGATTTTGGAGCATGGTAACTGGCAGCGCTCTCACAGGATTGCCCTTCTGGTGATGGGCCTCAATCTGCCTGGTCTTTTCATTCTGTTTTCCTCACCCTTTTATTCCTATGGAGGGGACTTTTGATGCCACATATGGCTAAGGCTGCTGCCAATTCTGGTGAGAAGTGACTGAGCTCCCCCGCTCCCCACAGGACTCTCATAGAGGGCAGAAGACAGATGAGGAAAAGGGCTAGCTTTACCTCCCCACGTTTCTTGTGTAATTCAGTCAGTTCCTCTTGGTGCTTAATCCTCAGTTGGGCCATTTCTTGTAGCTGATTGTCATTCCATGTGCCATCATGTCCGGGACTAAATTGGCAAACCAGGCAGATGAAGAGAATGTGCAAAAAACGGAGGGGGAAAAATGAGACTCCAAACCTTTCCAATTAGGCAATGAAACCATAACTCCAGAAACATGTTCACAAAGCCAATAAACCATTCGGGTGTCTCCAGCAGCTGCGGTTACAGGCACTATGAGTGGAAAGGAGGAGACATGAAACACATGGAAAAAAGCAAAGCAACTGTGACCATCAGGCACATCAGGAATAAAGGGTGGAAAGTTCCTGAATGAAGTCCCAGTAACAGGCACCAACAGGGCCCACTGGCTCAGCAAGGACCTGAGTGCCGATGACGCAGCAGTGAGTGCAGGGCTCTGCTTCCACACAGCTGACAGTCAACTGAGAGCACGTGTGAGGTCAGCAGTCACATGTGCTTGCAGAAAACTCAAGCACAAGAAGGGGAACAGAGGGAGGGGGTCCTATTTTAACGTAATTGAGGAGGGTTTCTCCTACGTGACACATGACTAGAGACTGTAAGGAAGTGAGGAATAAGCCATGTGGACCCTTGAGGGAAGGGCCCTCTGGGCAGAAGGAGCAGCAGCAGCAGAGCCTGGAGAGGTGTACAGCAGGTGGTGTATTTGGAGGAAGGGTGACTGAAGCCCAGGCACAGGGGGACAGAGGAGGTGCGGTCAAGGACGAGGTGGGGAAATGATGCAGAGCCTTGTGGGCACCTCCGAGGGCTGTGAGGTTTACTAGGCGTGAAGGGAAGCTGCTGGAGGGCTCTGAGCAGCTGAATGACTTAGGTTTTAAAAGGAGAGCAGATTGCAGTGGGGTAAGGGCCGAAACAGGAAGACCAGCCAGCAGGCTACTGTGAAGTGCAAACATGGGACAGTGCGGCTCAGACCAGGGTGGGAGCAGTGAGGTGAGATACGGTCTGATTCTAGATCCATTCCAAAGACAGCGCTAACAGGACTTGACTTTGAATTGGCTATGGGGCATGAAGACAGATAGGAGTCAAGGATGAATCAAGGCTTTTGGCCTGAGCAACTGGTAGAAGGTAGGTGTCACCCACTGAAATGGGCAAGACTGTGGGAGGAGCAGGTTTTGGAGGAGACCTAAAGAGTTCGTTTGTGGCCATTCAAGTGAAAACTGAGTACTGTCAAATGGAAACTGAGTATTAAGAGTCTGAACCTCAAGAAGAAGTCCAAGCTGGAGGCTAACATGTAGACACTGTCAGCAAACAGATGTGCCTAAAGCCACAGGAGTGAGTTCAGATCACCTCCAGAGTCAATGCAGTTTTGGAATCTTTGCCAAGTGTTTGCATAATATCTCAGATACAGCAGAAGACAACTAGAACTGTGGATTTATAGTTCGAGAGAAAGCTGGTGTCACAGGTGAGAATTATCAGACTATAGTGAGCAGCTGAAACCACTGTCTAGGGAAAGCTTGTAGATGGAGAAAAGGAACAAGGCTGGACACTTGTTCCTCTCATCCAACATCCGATGAGAGCGGAAAGAACTGCCCCCTCCATATGACCCAGAATAAAATAAAAAGAGGGGGATAAAGGTGGTAGTATAGCAGTCCTTCCATCTCTATATGTATTGTTATTACATAGCTAAGCACAAACTAATACCTTATCTTGAGGCAACCTGGCACTTCCCCAATCTTAACCCAAGAAGTAATGCCAAGAGATTAGACAGTGGAACACACTTTACATGAAACCATCCTAAATCAGGCAGAATAATTATCAAATCTCCCCCACCTTTTAAAAAATTATTGAGATGGTATCTCACTATGTTGCCCTGGCTGGCCTCGAACTCCTGGACTCAAGCATGTAAGATGTGGACCCACCTTCCAAGGAGCTGGCTAGCTATAGAACAGATTCATGAAATAAAAACTAACAACAGGCCGGGAGCGGTGGCTCAAGCCTGTAACCCCAGCACTTTGGGAGGCCGAGGCGGGCGGATCACGAGGTCAGGAGATCGAGATCATCCTGGCTAACACGGTGAAATCCCGTCTCTACTAAAAATACAAAAAATTAGCTGGGCGTGGTGGCGGGCACCTGTAGTCCCAGCTATTCGGGAGGCTGAGGCAGGAGAATGGCATGAACCCGGAAGGCGGAGGTTGCAGTGAGCTGAGACTGCGCCACTGCCCTCCAGCCTGGGCGACAGAGCAACAAAAAAACAAAGCAAAACAAAACAAAAACTAACAACACAAAGAAAAACAAAAGTGTATCAAAGAGTGACGATGGAAAGTGTTAATCATGTTCAGAGGCAAAGATTTCCCCAGACAAGGATGGTTTCATTTTGGGAGGGGTTTCCAAAGAGGAACTAAAGTAGGAATCTCCTAGGAAGGGCAAAATGGAGGCAAGATCATCAGGCAGAGGAGCCTCAGGATTAGATGCTTAAACTTCAAAGTCTACCAAGACACAGAACACAACAGAAATGCTAGGAGAGACTAAGGCAAGCAGGATACAGCTCTTTCCATGACCCAAAGCCTCCAAGGACTTCTTATTTTACTTACAATGAATATCAGCCCCCTAAAGTGCTTCGGCAAGTAGAAAAAACAATCACTCCGAGGGCATGTTTCAAGCACAGATTCCTGGAGCCCACTAACAGGTGACCTGCTTTCCTGGCAAGGCCCAGCCATCTGCATTTCTGACTTTCTGCGCTCTGGTGATGGGAATGTTGCTGGTTCCAGGAAGTCTGAGTAGCAGTAAAGGTGGTAGTGCTCAAACTTCAGAGGTCACTACAATCAGCTAAAGCATTTCTGAAAACACAGATTACCAGGCCCCACCCCCAGAGTTTCTAATAGAGTAGGTCTGAGGTGGGGCCCAAGAATCTTCGTTTCTAACAGTTTCCCAGAAGATGTCACTAGTCCAGGAACCGTGCTTAGAATAAACAATTTCGAGGCTGAAGAGTTTGATTTTAAACTGTAGGCAAAGTGATGAAAATACTTAAGAGAAAGTCTGATAACTGATGCAGATCACTATTTAAGCACAGTGTGCAGTGTTTTACGGTTAATTAGGATGAGACAGGCAGGAACTTTGGAGAGACAGGAAGGAGGGGAAAGGAAACCAACAAAGTGCCCAGCTTCTGTGAACACCCTTACATTCTCTAGCAAATGTCCCTTTGAGTTGGTCTCCCCCACTAGACTCTATTCCTCCTCAGAGCAGGGACTCTGGCTTACTCATCTCTACAGCCCTAATGCCCAGCCCACACTACGGTCACAGGAGTCTTTTGAGTGAATGAGGCTCTCACCACAGTCTGGGAATAAGAAGATAAATAAACAAAGGAGGTGGCAAAATAAATGCAAACCAAAGGATGCAAGAGGCTAGGGGGTGGAGAACCAATGGGCTTGGTGAATATGGGGAATATGAGGAATAAAGGAATATGGAGATGGGAAGATCTAGAGGGAAGAAGGAACCATAGATGACTAGTGGAAAACAACGATACTGTGAATGGAAACAAAGAAGTCAGGAGGGCAGGCTTATTATGGATAATGTTTGTGGAAATGGAAAGACTGAACAAGGGGTAACCTGATGAAGCCCACCGTTCAACCTGCCTTGCCTGCTTTTCATCACTTTTTTCTAGTTCCAAACTCCCACTAGCAAGTCGAGTTGCCAAACAACACATAACTAAACTCCCAATAGCTTCCTTATAAATAATAACTGACTGTGGCTCACTACAATAACTGGTGCTTAAAGTTTTTCTCCAGGAACTAGGAGGCAGCTCTTGCTCATTAAAGCTGGTTGAGACCCCCAACCCTTCAACTGGGCCTGTGTGAATGCCCAAGAGGTGATCTTTTGACATCAGAGGGCCAAAACACTCCTCCCTCAGATGGTGCTGACGCCACCATTTTCTGCATGTGTCCTATGAGGAACCACAAAGCTAGATTATGCTTGCGTGGAAGCCCCAATTACCTCATCTTTCCTACCCACCAATCACCTCTTCCCACACTTTAGACCACCCTGCTTTCTACTGCCTAAGTACCCCCAATCCCTGTTTTCAAGGAGGTGGATTTGAGACCTGTTCTCCTGCCTCCTTGCTTGGCCACGTTATGAATAAACTCTCACAAAACCCATCATCTCAGTGATTAACTTGCTGTGTGTGGGCTGAATGAACCTGGTTTATAACAAGACCTCCAACTAAATGACCATCCCCCTGGGTGTGGTGGCTCATGCCTGTAAACCCAACACTAATGGAAGGTTGAGGAGGGAGGATCACTTAAGCCCAGGAGTAAAGACCAGCCTGGGTAACACAGTGAGACCCCTATCTCTACAAAAAATTAAAAAATTAGACTGGCATGGTGGTGCACACCTATAGTCTCCCAGCTACTCAGAAGGCTAAGGCAGGAGGATTGCTTGAGCCCTGGAAGTTGAGGCCGCAGTAAGCCATGATCATGCCACTGCACTCCAGCCTGGGCAACAGAGAGAGACCCTGCCTCAAAAAAGTCTATCCCAGTGAAATTTAGCCAAAAGAACGGCTGCATATTCCAAGCACATGAGTTTGGCTAACAGATAAAGAATACAAGAATATAGTCATCAAGGGTTTAATCAGATAGAAATGTTTTTAGTTTTCAATTGGATGAATTTAGACGAAAATGGTGAAACAGCATTATCTACACCTAAAATTAACCAAAATACTAAAACTAATATCTTAAGTACTACAGAAGGCCTCCCAGGGCCACAGCCAGGCAGGATCTCCTGAACTGTTACAAAGCAAGGATGGAAGCTAGGCCCTGCCAAGCCATCTGTTCTCTGGTATCTTTCCCACTCTGTCCTCTATCAGGAGACCATCGTGCCAGATGAGGAGACATGAGAGCAGCTACAGCTCTAGGAGTAAATACATCAGGCTACAGCTACCATTTCTAGACACCATAAATCACCAACCTTGTTTTTACAATTGCTAAATGTGTGGAGATTTCAGAGCAATAATGGCTACTGTCCCCATACCAAATTTAACATGCAAACACAATGAATATTACAGAAGAGGATAATAAGACTTCAAATATACATAAATGCACACCAGTGACCCAGTAAACACAAATACCCCGCCATGAACAAATATGTATTTCATGAAATATTCTATCAATACACACCAAGAGATAGATATAGATATATAGATATATAGATATATAGATATTTTTTTTTTTTTTTTGAGACGGAGTCTCGCTCTGTCACCCAGGCTGGAGTGCAGTGGTGTAATCTTGGCTCACTGCAACTTCCGCCTCCCAGGTTCAAGCAATTCTGTCTCAACCTCCCGGGTAGCTGGGATTACAGGCGCCCGCCACCATGCCCGGCTAATTTTTGTATTTTTAGTAGAGATGGGGTTTCACCATCAGGGCCAGGCTGGTCTTGAACTCCTGACCCTGTGATCCACCCGCCTTGGCCTCCCAAAGTGCTGGGATTACAGGTGTGAGCCACCAAGCCCAGCACACACTGATATTTTTCTAATCTAGTTCTTAAAGAAAAATAAGAGCTTACTGCAATCTGCTAATTTGATTTCACAATCTACTAATACTGATGTTCCTCTACTTACTGAGGCTATGTCTCTTTAAACCCATCAGAAGTTGAAAATATATAGTAGGTTGAAAATACATTCAATACATCTCACCTACTGAGTATCATAGGTTACACTTACATTAGCCTACAGTTGGGCAAAATCATCTAACACAAAGCCTATTTTATAATAAGTTGTTGAATATCTCATGCAATTTATTGAATACTAAACTGAAGGGGAAAAACAGACTGGTTGGATGGATACTCAAAGCACAGTCCTACTGAAAGTGTATCGCTTCTGCACCATTATAAAGGTTAAAAATTGTAAGCTGGGCTGGGCGCGGTGGCTCAAGCCTGTAATCCCACCTCTCTGGGAGGCCGAGGCGGGCGGATCACGAGGTCAGGATATCAAGACCATCCTGGCTAACACGGTGAAACCCCGTCTCTACCAGAAATACAAAAAATTAGCCAAGCGTGGTGGCGGGTGCCTGTGGTCCCAGCTACTCGGGAGGCTGAGGCAGGAGAATGGCTTGAACCCAGGAGGCGGAGCTTGCACTGAGCCCAGAACGCGCCACTGCACTCTAGCCTGGGCGACAGAGCGAGACCCCATCTCAAAACAAAACAAAACAAAACAAAACAAAACAAAAAAAATTGTAAGCTGGCCAGTGCGGTGGCTCACGCCTGTAATCCCAACACTTTCGGAAGCTGAGGTAGGTGGATCATTTGAGGTCAAGAGTTCGAGACCAGCCTGGCCAACATGGTGAAACCCTGCCTCTACTAAAAATACAAAAACTAGCCAGGTGTGGTGGTGGGTTCCTGTAGACCCAGCTATTTGGGAGGCTGAGGCAGGAGAATTGCTTGAACCCAGGAGGTAGAGGTTGCAGGTTGCAGTGAGCTGAGATCGTGCCACTGTACTCCGGCCTGGGTGACAGAGTGAGACTGTCTCAAAAAAGAAAAAAAAAAAAAAGAAAAAGAAAAATTATAAGTCGAACCACTGCAAGTTGGGGACCATTTGTATGTTGAAAAAAACACCAACCTAAAAAGGATCAAATAGACCCATACTGCAGGAAAGCAATTTTTACGTATGTGCCAATCAATCCTACATTAACAGGATCTACACAAACCCGCTCAGAAATACTTGTCTGTGATTATTTAAAAACAAAGAAACAAAAAAACATGAATCCTGGCAGGTTAGATGAGAAACTGACCTAGGGTTACCACGTGAACCTGCCTTAAGAAATTTCTCAAGCTCAGAGCACTGTACTGATAATAACCTTTCTAGGTATGACATACCTTCTAAAAAACAATTGTAATTACATGGTTTTAGTTCTTATTTGAAAGGAGCTGACAAAAACTGGAACACAGAAATAGTACTTGATTTGCTTTTAAATTAGAGAAGTGACAACTGAACTGAGATAAATTTCCTTAGAGGAGACATAAATAATACAAGTTAGTTTCAAAATACCTTATCTCGTGCCTGTTTGGTACGTCATGCTTTTCAGCCTGTAGTTTCTGGGCCAACACTGAATGAAGATCTGACTTTTCCAGCAATTTGTTATCTATTAAAATAAAAAAGTCAGAAACTAAGTTATTTATTACAACGTATGTACACTTGCTAGGTACCTACCTTGTCATGTATTGAAGGATGCAATACAGGAACATACATTCCTCAGCCACAGTAACCTACAGAATCACCTGCAAGAATGTCTTCCCTATTAAAGGGAGCTGAAAATGCTTTCTACCCCAGAAGTTATTTGTTTCTACCTTGGGAGGAAAAAAGAAAAACACACTAAACACAATGGCAAAGTGAAATGCTATGTACCTTTAAGTAAGACAGGAGAACTTTACCATAAGTTGACATATCTAATTACTTTTTAGGTCAGGGAACTAGAAATACAAATGACAGTCTCCAACATGGAGTTAACATTTAATTCAGTCAAGTATAAAAAGGTACAGAGAATACACTCTGTACTCATTTTTATGAATGGTGTCACAGGAGGTGATATATGAGTTAAGTCTTAAAAGAAGATGATGGGCCATGCAGAAGGAATAACAGAGTCTTTTGGTAAGTGGCTGGAAATAAAGGTTGGAGCCAACACAGGAAAAAGCAGGATCAGAAATTTAGACTTCTTACTGGCAATGATTAAATAAAAGATTATAAAAGCAGGCCGTTACGCTAACAGATCTGTATTGGTAAAAAGTCAAGGATTATTCTGAGGCTCCTCGCTCAAGCAACTGGGCGGAGGATGCTAACGTGTGAGAGAACACAAGAGGGGAGAGCTTAGAGAGGAAATGAGTTCTCTTTCCAAACATAATAAATTTGACAGGAGACAGAGTACAGAAATTCAAAACACAAGATTAGAAAGAACACGTAGTTAAGTGTAATAGGCACACAGGCCTATTACTGTGGCTCACGCCTGTAATCGCAGCACTTTGGAAGGCCAAGGAAGGCAAACTACCTGAGGTCAGGAGTTCGAGAACAGCCTGGCCAACACGGCGAAACTACTAAAAATACAAAAATTAGCCAGGCACGGTGGCACTTGCCCACAGTCCCAGCTACTAGGGAGACTGAGGCACAAGAATCGCTTGAACTCGGGAGGCAGAGGTTGCAGTGAGCTGAGATCGCGCCACTGCACTCCAGCCTGGGCGACAGAGTGAGACTGTCTCTAAATAAATAAATAAATAAATAAACAAATGAAATGAAATAAAAAATAAGAGTAATAGGTACACAGGCACCAGTAAGATCAGATGTGGGTACCTGTTCTGCAGGTACCAAGCAGAACAAGACAGGGTTTATGCTAGTGACTATTCCTGTTAAAAGAGCTTGTTTCTCCTTTTAAAGAGTTTTGAGTCCCACTTTTTGATACCTGAAAAGAGAACTCCTGGGTAGAAACACTCTCATCTATTGGTCAAACGAATTAGCCAAACTGGACATTGGTTTCAACCTGGGAAATTATGGTTTAAAATCCACCAGTGTCAAAGGGCTCTAGTAAGACCTTCAGATGTTAAACCAAAGCTTAGTGCCCTGTGATAATTTTAGGTTCTTTCAAAAAACACAGGCGTTCAAAAGGAGTCCTTCCCAAAGGTTCCTCCCTGAAGAGAAGGCTGGAGATGGAGGGAAGCCTTTCCCTCCCCCTACGGCTTCTTTCCACCTTTCTCTTCAGACTCAAAGGCACGGACTGAACAGAGAATAGACTCCAGGCTGATGGAGGGTCAGAGCTTGACTGGCCTGGGAAGGCTGGAATGAGTGGAATGAAGGTGTTTCACAAACTATAATAGAAATGATCTCCCTAAATGTCAATCCCTCTGCCTAAACAGAAGATCTTAACATGCAAAGCCTGTCTCACTCTCCTGCCTCTTGTTAGCTTCTCATCCCGGTCTCCTGTCCTGGTCCCTCAGGCAGGTATTACTCGCTACTCTAGCACCCTTTAAAGCTATCTGCTCTCCACAAGTGACCTCTTATTCTGACTGTTCTACATGCTCCTGCCCCATCAAGATGCCATTTTCAAAGTGCAGGAAAACATTCCATTTGTGTCAAAGAGATAACGCTTTACAATTACAAGCTATTATACAGATGGCTTTGAAAGCACTTATATGCACAGCACTGTTTTTATGAAGTGGGCAGGGCAAGCTTCATCCCCATTTTATAGATGAGGCAAAACAGACTCAGAAAGTAAGTGAAAATGTTCAGTGAGGGGTGAGTCAAGCCTCCCACCCAATTTGACTTTCAAAGGATATTAGCTTTTAAAGCATAAGCACCTAATAAGCACCTAATGAACTGATTTATGTCATCTGTCAGGGAATCATGTTTTGAGGAAGAGGGACTTCTTGTGCTTCTGGCTTTCTGAAACAGCACTGTTCTTCAGGGCCTCCTAGAACAGCAAAGCATCCTCTTTCTTCTTAGTTTTGTTAAAACAATGGGTGCAGTGAAAGCAAAGAACCATTTGCTGGGGGAGCCAGTGAGAAAAGCAAATGCAAAAGTTAGTCATCAAGCCTAAGTTCAAATTCCAGTCCCGGCTGGTCACTGTGGCTCATGCCTGTAATCCTAGCACTTTGGGTGGCTGAGGCAGGTACATCACCTGAGGTCAGAAGTTCAAGATCCGCCTGGCCAACATGGTGAAACCCTGTCTCTACTAAAAATACAAAAATTAGCTGGGCGTGGCGGTGCTTGCCTATAGTTCCAGCTACTAGGGAGGCTGAGGCAGGAGGATCTCTTGAACCTGGGAGGTGGAGGTTGCAGTGAGCTGAGATCACGCCACTTGCACTCCAGCCTAGGTGACAGAGCAAGACTCTGTCTCCAAAAAAAAAAAAAAAAAAAAACAAAAAAACCCAGTCTCACCATTAACCTGCTGTGCAACCTCAGAAGTTACCTAATCTCTCTTGGCCTCAGTTCCATGTGTGAAAATGGCAATAACAGTTCCTGCTTCATACACAGAATTTTGGGAAAGATAAAATAACACATGCAAATACTTACCACAGTACTAAAATTTGTCTGCACAGTAGTCATTTGGGAAGCATCAAAAAACACTGATAACTTGGCATGCAGTTCTAGGCTTAATCTCACACAAACACAAACACACACACACTGATACTTGTGTACTGTGATACTTGTGATTTAGTTGGTCTGGGGTGTGGCTTGGGATTTGTAATTTTTTAAAGATCCATAGGTGATTCTAATGTGGAGCTAAGTTTGAGAACTACTGATTTTGCACAATCAGAATGCAATATAAGGTAGCAATTATTATTCTGAATATCATCAACAGCATAACTTGAGAAAGTCGTCAGGTTTACTTTCAGACGCAGATGGAACCACCTTAGGACCATTATAATTTAGGTAAAGGTACAAACATTTTTGTACCCTTAAGCTGCAAGCAGTAAGGGGAAAGAAAACCACCTCTTTCATACTGAAGATTTCAGTAACAGTAAAGGTTCTGTCCCGCCTAAAAGATATTACGATATTAACACCAAGGTGGGGCCGGGCTCGGTGGCTCACGCCTATAATCCCAGCACTTTGGGAGGCCGAGGTGGGAAGATCGTTTGAGCGCAGGAGTTGGAGACCAGCCTGGGAAACACAGTGAGACCTCGTTCCAAAAAATTTTTTTTTAAAAAAATTAGCCGACCGTGGTGAAGCGCGTCTGTAATCCCAGCTACTCGGGAGGCTTAGGTGGGAGGATCACTTGATCCTGGGAGTTTGAGACTGCAGTGAGCCGTGATCTCCGCCACTGCACTCCAGGCTCGGCGACACAGCAAGACCCTGATCCCCTATCCCGTTTCCCCGCAAAAAAAACCACCAAGGTGGAGTAAGGGAAGTAAGTTTGAGGAATCAAAGGCCACCCGTTCCAGTGCATTGAGAAGGCAATGTTAATTCTGCGACTGAAAGTCAACGACCGTTTCATTAACATGACCCCATAGATGGGATGTTTCTGGGACCTATTTAAGTGCATAAGCATTGTATGAGCTACTGGGATTTACAAATACAAACACGAACTGTGCCTCCCCACAAAGATCGTACAATTTAATAGGGAAAATCCTCCAAAGATAAAACGCAGGTTAGAAAAAACATTTAAAAGGCGTGCGGCGTCCCAAGCGCGGGTTACCCGGGGCGGCCGCCATGCGTGCGGGCGGCGCCAGGGACTCGGCCTCAGGTTCCCGCTGACGCCCCGCATGCCTCCGCGGGGCCCGCCCGCCCCACTCCCAGCCCGCACCGGCGCCGCTCACACTGCAGGATGATCTCCTCGAACGCCTGTCTCTGCAGCCGGTCCCGGCGCCTCAGTTGCTCCGAGATGTGGCGCTTCCAGCGGGGGAAGTCAGCGGCGCGGAGGCCCGACGACATGTCACTTGCTGCCCCGGCACCTCAGCGCCACCAATGCGAGCGAGGGCTGACGGCCGCAGCCTGCAGCATGAAGCAACCAGCAGAAGCGGGAATGCCGGCAATCCCGGAGCTCACCTCCACACACTGGCAGTCCCCGAGGCCATCCGGGACGGTCTTCCGGCTCATGCCGGAAATGATTTTCGAGAGGGCCGGAAGACCCGCCCCCTCACCCGAAGCACGGGCTCAGGAGCCGGTGCCTACGCAGGGCGCTCGCTAGTGACGCCAGCCTGTAGCCGGAAGCGTCAGCTGCAGAGAGGTGGCCGCTTGGGGGCGTCCGGGCCCTGCGCAAGGCCCAGCGCCGGGCGGGAAGGAGGCAGGAAAGGGGCCGTTTCCGCCTGACTGCTTACTTTTCTTTTGCTGCTTTTCAACCCTTTTCGTGTTTTTTTTCTTGGCCTGTCTCCCCCCACTTTTATTTTTAATCGCAGTTTAGGAACAAATGGGGTTCCCTCCATAGTAGCTCTGTGGCTGTGGATGAGTGACAGCCTACCTAAGCCTCAGTTGTCTCATCTGTAAATGGGGACAGTAATGATACCTACCTCAGAAGGTTGTCACGAATAGTAAAAAGAAAAACCCATGTAATGCAGTCAGCACTGTGCTTGGTACAGGGGAAACCTAAGTTTACAAAGACACCTGGTGTCTTCCCAAGGCCTACCCTGACAGCAGGAGCATTGCCATCTTGGACAACTGCCACCATTTTAAGTTCCCCTTGATTAAGAAACTGCCTAAATCCAACCCAAAAACATCAGCCTAATGGCTAATGTCAGCATAACCAGAAACATTCCAACCCTAAGATAAACCCACTTCCAACCAGAAACATGCCAACCCAGAGATAGCCTCCCCTCCGGCCAGAGACTTTCCAACCCTGCAATAAACTTTCCCTCATACAGAAACATTACGAACCTGCAATAAGCTCACCGCTTCGTAAACCCTTAAACACCCTTAGTGTGTAAGAGAAAACGCTCCTGACCAAAATCGACAAGAAGCCCCTCTCAGGTTTATTCTCCAAAATAAACCTGTCTTTGATTGTTAAGCTGCTTTTCGTGTTTCTTTCTTGTTTCTTAACTCTTACATACCTGAAGTCAGGGTGCGTTGGGAAGAGTGTCCCACTGAACTTGGAAACAGGTTTTGTGGTTTGTTTGGGGTTTTTGTTTTTGTTTGCAATGGAGAAGAGAACTGGAAACGGGAGCTAAGAAAGATGTGAATTGTGTATCAGAGTTTGTCTTCATTGTTAGAATCCTAGAAATTGTGGCCTGACAATAAATGGAGCCTTAGAAGGTAATCTGAGGCTGTAGATGTTGAAAGGGGGAGATGAAGACACACTGGCTCCTGAGAAAGTTGTGTCTGTGAACAAGCTCAGTAGAATGGAAAACCCAGTTCTGTAATAGAGTTGCTGGAGCTCCATCTGCCTTTAACAATTAGTGAATTTACTGCATGAAAATGGAGCCAGACAAAGTAGTTGGCCAAAAGAGGAAAGGAATATCAGAAACTACCTTCTCTTCCAGTGTGTCTCAAGTCCAGAGGAAGGTCCTTCAGAGACAGATAAGAAGAACTTAGGCTGAGGAGAGGAGGACAGTCAGGCTTCTAGCACTGTAGTTGAAGATGGTTCACTGGTAGTCAGTATTGAGTGGACCTGAAGTCGTTGGAAGGATCCAATGGGATCAGAAATAGAAGTGACTTCCTCACACGCTGAAGAAAATGAAAAAGTTCTGAAAGTGACCGAGAATGCCTTCAAATGCAGCAGTGGCACCACCCTTAAAAGACCATTACACCAAATCTTGACAGTTGAGCATGTTAATTTCCCACATTTATGATTAAAATATGTTTCCAAGGTTGGGCATGGTGGCTCACACCTGTAATCCCAACACTTTGGGAGGCCAAGGTGAGAGGATCACTTGAGCTCAGGAATTTGAGACCAACCAGCCTGGGCAACATGACACAACCTGTCTCTACAACAATACAAAAAATTAGTTGAGTGTGGTGGCGTGTGCCTGTAATCCTAGCTACTGGGATGGGGCTGAGGTGGGAGCATCGCTCGAGCCTAGGAGGTCAAGGCTGCAGTGAGCTGTGATAGCACCACTGTGTTCCAGCAGCCTGGTCAACAGAGCAAGACCCTGACTCTCTCTCTATATATATAAAAATATGTTTACAAATTTGCAGTTTGCCTAACCAGCAATTCCACTTGCAGGAATTTATGCCAAGAAATATTTGGACACATGTCCACATACAAAAATCTTTGTTGCAGAATTGTTTTTAGGTTGGTGTAAAAGTAATTGCGGTTTATAATAATGATGAGAAGTTGGAGAAAAAAATCTACATTTCCAACAATAAGAGATTGGTTAAATTACTGTACATTTATTGCTGGAAATTGTTGATAGTAACAGCAGTATATGTCATAATTTATGTAAAATGAGTATGTCCCTAGCTCATCATAGACAAATATTTGTTGAACACATGAAGAATAATTTCTAAAGAAAGAATATGAAGCTCTGCTAGTCCTGCCCTCCTCCTAACTCACCAGCTTTATCTAGCACACAACCACAGCCACGCTGAAGCCTCTTACTTCCTTCTGCTTACCGTGCTCCCTCTCGTTGCAGGGCCTTTGGATTTACTGTGTTGGGCACATCTTCCCTTCTGACTTCTCCAAATTAATTTCTGTGTGTTCGTTCTCATTTCAGTAGTCACTTCCTCGCAACAGTAGGATGAGAGACCTTCACAACCTGTTACAGATCTTATCTCCCTGTTACGCGTGTACCTCTCCTTTATAGCATTGATCCCAGTTATAGGTTCACATGTATTTGTATCATTACTTGATAAAGGTCTGTCTCCCCCAGTAGACTGTAAACTCCATGAGACAAGAGCTGTGTCTGTTTTTGCACATCATTATATCTCCAGCAAGAGCATGAAGCCCTTTATGTATTAGGTGCTCAGTAAATGTTATTTAATTAATGAATGGAATATGTGAAAATACTGATAATAGTATTATCTGTAGGCAGTGGTGTTGCTGGGTTTTTTTCTTATATGTGTATTTTATATGCATTTTCTAATAGGTAGACATTATATATATATATACTACATATGCATGAAAAAGTTGGGCCGGGCGCGGTGGCTCACACCTGTAATCCCAGCACTTTGGGAGGCTGAGGCAGGTGGATCACCTGAGGTCAGGAGTTCATGACCGGCCTGTCTAACATGGCAAAACCCCATCTCTACTAAAAATACAAAAAATTAGCTGGACGTGGTGTCAGGCGCCTGTAATCTCAGCTACTTGGGAGGCTGAGGCAGGAGAATCGCTTGAACCCGGGAGGTGGAGGTTGCAGTGAGCCGAGATTGTGCCATTGTACTCCAGCCTGGGCGACAGAGTGAGACTCTGTCTCAAAAAAAAAAAAAAGTTATAGAAATAAACACATATTTATTGATGAAACCACTTATGTCAAAGCATGGTAGACTCTGGGAGATCACAAATAAGCAGGAACACTTCTACAGTGCTACGGGCTGTGCATTCTTCTGAGTAGTATTTCACATATTATAACTCATTTCCTCCTCACAATAATCCTGCTCAGTAGCATCTTCATCCTTATTTACAGACGAGGAATCTGAGGCACAGGGAGGTTAAGTAACTTGCATGAGGATACCTGGCTAGTAAAGTGGCAAGACCTGGGTTCAAATACAGGCAATTTAATTCTAGCATCTGTGCCTTTAACCACTGCACTCCATCATCCAGTCTCTGTTCTGGCTGTCACTGCAGTATGACTGGACTAGAATACATGAAACAGAATAATTTTTAAGTAATATGTGACTCACTCCTAAATTAGCCAATAGGGAGGGCAACCTGGTGAAGAGCAAAGTCAGTGATGGGGAGGCTTCAGGTGTGTTCACAGGCCCTGAGGGGAATGACTGGCTGGAGGGTGAGTAATACAGGGGATGAGTAATAGGAAGGAGGAGGAAATAGGTTGTCTGAATACTCTGGTGACAAATAACAGATCTTGAGAGTTTTTATATTTGTTCTGGTAAATAGTGATTGTCTAAAGGATTCAGCATGCTTTGCTGGGAAGCAGCATCTGTGAAATGGAGTCTGACTGCCTATAATGGATGTAAGATAAATGTAAAATATCCCAAGATTCTTGTAGCAATATGTTAAGCCTCACGAATTTGCTCACAGGAAGTAGAAAAGGCGTCACTTATCAAAGGACTTTTTTTGTGGAAAGTCTAGTTTCACTGAACCAAAGTTCCACCAGCTTTAACATAACAGCACCTCTGTGGCAGCATTTCCACTGCTAAAAACTTCCAAGAGATTCTCACCTCCATCATTGATGCCTACACATCTCATCTGTGAGATCCTCTAGTTATGCTCCAATTCAGAGGAATTCAAGGGCCAACCTTCAAACTATTGTCCTATTTACTCTTTTCTCTGCCCTTTGGGTCTTCCTGATTTCCTTTACCTTCCACTCAGCAGGTTAAAAAAACAGTGCAATTCCAGTGTGGGTTGGGCATAGGGATGGGCATCCTGACTTCAAAGAATTCACTCTAGGAAGGGAGATTGGAACACGTATCAGTTATGGGTGCAAGGAACATAAAGTACAAAGAGCCGGCCTGAT